>NC_000010.11:126613344-126924825 GCF_000001405.40 Homo sapiens | reverse complement strand
CTCTGAAGGCTCTTTACACATTAATCCCACCTTTAAGTGCCTGTCTATAAATCACAGAGATCAAAGAGGGAAACTGTGCAGACAAACGTTCTAGAGCCCTTGACCACACCTGGCCCTCCATGGTAACTGCTGGTCAGACGAAAACTGCAAAATGAGATTTCATTTTCTGTTCTTCTGGAGGCAACACGGTGGAAGAAGCAAGAATCCTGAAGAGTTGGATTTCTGTTAAATTGCTTTTTAACCTTTTGGTCAACTCTCCCCACCCTGCCGTTTCAAGGGCCGTTTGCCTTTTTTAAGGCTCCAGACAGGGCTCCCCAGAGACAGTTCCAGCACTCACAGCCTCCCCCTACTGAGTTCCAGCATGCACAGCCTCCCGCTACTGAGTTCCAGCACTCACAGCCTCCCCCTACTGAGTTCCAGCACTCACAGCCTCCCCCTACTGAGTTCCAGCACTCACAGCCTCCCACTACTGAGTTCCAGCACTCACAGCCTCCCCCTACTGAGTTCCAGCACTCACAGCCTCCCCCTACTGAGTTCCAGCACTCACAGCCTCCCCCTACTGAGTTCCAGCACTCAGTTCCCCCTGCTCAGTTCCAGCATTCAGTTCCCCCTGCTCAGTTCCAGCATTCAGTTCCCCCTGCTCAGTTCCAGCACTCAAGTCCCCCCGCTCAGTTCCAGCACTCACAGCCTCCATTTCCTCAACTAGAAATCAAGGAGGGTGGGGTACCCTTCAACTCTCCTATTTCTCTGCCTGTTTCTCTCTACACATGGTATCTACCTCTGTTCGGGCTGCCATATCAAAATATCATAAACCAGGCAGCTTACAAACAATGGAAATTCATTTCCCACAGTTGTGGAGGCTGGGAAAGTCCAAGACTGAGGGGCAGGTGGATTTGGTGTCTGGCAAGGGCCTGTTTCCTGGCTCATAGAAGGCACCTTCTCACTGTGTCCTCACAGGGTAGAAGGAACAAGCTCTCCGGGGCCTCTTTTAGAAGGACCCTCAGCCCTCATGACCTAATCACCTCCCAAAGGCTCCATATCCTAATCCCATCACCTTGGTGATTAGGTTTCTGTGTATGAAGTGGGGAGGGGGAGGGTACGGACCATCGCACATGGAGAGAGATGCCGAGAATGGCGCTCCTTTCTCCGTGGCAGATTGCTTGGAGAATGCCTAGGATTTTTATTGTTTTTGTTGTTGTTTTGAAACAGAGTCTTGCTCTGTCACCCAGGCTGGAGTGCAGTGGTGCCATCTCGGCTCACTGCAACCTCCGCCTCCCGGGTTCAAGCGATTCTCCTGCCTCAGCCTCCCGAGTACCTGGGATTACAGGCACCTGCCACCACACCCGGCTAATTTTTGTATTTTTAGTAGTTATGGGGTTTCACCATGTTGGCCAGGCTGGTCTCAAACTCCTCACCTCAGGTGATCCATCCACCTCGGCCTCCCAAAGTGCTGGGATTACAGGCATGAGCCACCACACCCAGCCATGCCTAAGTTTTTTACATCCTTTTAACTTTAATATAGTTTGCAATCTTTTAATAACTAGCATACAATATTATTACAAAAATAATGGTCATTATTCTAAAACTAAAAGATTCTAAGACTCTAGACCAGAGGTCAGCAAACTACAGCCTATGGGCCAAATGTGGCCCACAGCTTAGCTTTATACTGCCCATAAGCTAAGAATGGTTCCCATCTTTTATTCTATTTTATTTTTTTAGATGGAGTTTCGTTCTTGTTGCCCAGACTGGAGTGCAATGGCACAATCTCGGCTCAACGCAACCTCCGCCTCCCGGGCTGAAGCAATTCTCCTGCCTCAGCCTCCCGAGTAGCTGGGATTACAAGCATGCACTGCCACATCCAGCTAATTTGTATTTTTAGTAGAGATGGGGTTTCTCCATGTTGGTCAGGCTGGTCTCAAACTCCCAACCTCAGGTGCTCCGCCCACCTCAGCCTTCCAAAGTGCTGGAATTATAGGCGTGAGCCACCGTACCCGGTCCTCATCTTTTTTTTTAAAGGAGGTAAAACTAACATAACAGAAAATTAACCATTTTAAAGTATACAATTTAGTAGTGTGTAATATTTAGTACATTCCTAATGTTGTGCAACCACCACCTCTGTCTAGTTCTTAAGTATTTTCATCACTGCATAAGGAAACCCCAAAGTCACTGATACCATTTGGATGTCTGTCCCCTCCAAATCTCTTGTGGAAATGTGATCCCCAATGTTGAAGATGGGCCTTGTGGGAGGGATTTGGATCATGGCGCCTCCCTCCGGAATGGCTTCGCACCATCCTCTTGGTGAGGACCAAGTTCTTACTCAGTGAGTTCCCGAGACACTGGTTGTTACAAAAATAATGGTCATTATTCTAAAACTAAAAGATTCTAAGACTCTAGACCAGTGTGTGGTCTAGACTGGACTAGAGTGTGGCAGCTCCTCCCCTCTCTTGCTCCTGCTCTTGTCCTGTGATGCATTGGCTCTCCCTTCCCCTTCTGCCATGATTGGAAGTTTCCGGATGCCTCTCCAGAAGCAGATGCCAGCACCATGACTCCTGTACAGCTTACAGAAACATGAGCCAATTATAACTCTTTCCTTTTTTTTTTTTTTTTTTTTTTTTTGATACAGGGTCGTACTCTGTCACCCAGGCTGAAATGCAGTGATGCAATCTCTGCAACCTCCACTTCCTGGGCTCCAGGGACATAATCCTCCCACCTCAGCCTTTTGAATAGCTGGGACTACAGGTGTGTGCCACCACGCCTGGCTAATTTTTAAATTTTCTGTAGAGATGGGGTTTTGTCATGTTGTCTAGGCTGGTCTCCAACTTCTGGGCTCAAAGGATCAGCCTGCCTAGGCCTCCCAAGGTTTTGGGGCCACAGGCATGAACCACTGTGTCCAGCCTTATACCTCTTTTCTTATAAATTACCTAGCCTTGTGGATCACCTGAGGTCAGGAGTTTGAGACCAGCCTGGCCGACATGGCAAAACCCCATCTCTACTAAAAATACAAAAATTAACCAGGCAGGTGGTGCATGCCTATAGTCCCAGCTACTCGGGAGGCTGAGGCAGGAGAATCGCTTGAACCCAGGAGGTGGAGGCTGCAGTGAGTTGAGATCGCGCCACTGCACTCCAGCCTGGGGAACAGAGCGAGACTCCATCTCAAATAAACAAACAAACAAATCTCTGTCTCTCTCTCTCTCACCCGTCCTCAAGTATTCCTTTATAGTAATGCAAACAGACTGACACTCCCACTAAGAGGCCACTCCCCATCACGCCCTCCCCTAGTCCCGGGCAACCACTAATCTGCTTTCTGTGCCTACAGATTTGCCTATTCTGGACATTTCATATAAACAGAATCACATTTCCTATTAATAGAATCATGTATGTCCCTCTGTGACTGGCTTCTTGCCCTTAGCATGTTTTCAAGGTTCACCCATGCTGTAGCATGATCGGTGTTTCATTCCTTTTCATGGCTGAATAATATTCCATTATAGGGACATACCATGTTTTGTTTATCCATTCATCCAATGATGGACATTTGAATTGTTTCCACCTTTTAAGTATTGTGACTAATGCTGCTACGAACAATTGTAAATAACTACTTGTTTGAACTTTTTTTTTTTTTTTTTTTTGAGATAGAGTCTTACTCTTCTGCTCAGACTGGAGTGCAATGGTGCGACCTCGGCTCACTGCAACCTCTGCCTCCCAGATTCAAGTGATTCTCCTGCCTCAGCCTCCCCAGTAGCTGGTATTACAGGTGCGAACCACCACGCCCAACTAATTGTTTTTGTATTTTTAGTAGAGACGGGGTTTCACCATGTTGCCCAGGCTAGTCTCAAACTCCTGACCTCAGGTGATCTGCCCGCCTCGGCCTCCCAACGTGCTGGGATTACAGGTGTGAGCCACCGTGCCCGGCCTGAACTTTTTGTAAAGGCAAGTGAAGCAGTGGGAGTGGAGAAGGAACAATGACATCAGTAACTGGTTGTGATCAGCTAGTTGTAAACACCACTGCACTCGGACCAGCCTATGTGAACTGTTTCTACTTCTTCTGGGTGCACACCTAAGAGAAGAATCACTGGGTCAGATGGTAGTTCTAGGTTTAATGTCTTAACATAGTATCCTCCATTTTGCCTCTTGGCCTGCAAAACCTAAAGTATTTATTTTCTAGATCTCTGCAGAAAAAGCTTGCCAATCTGTGCTCTGAACAGAATTTATTATTCCTTTTAGCTGTTTAATGCTTTATAATTACAAAGTACTTTAGCATATATATTATATACTTTGATTTCATTGGCTTTTCATTACTGCATTTGGGAGCAGAAAAGACTGGTGGCAGGACCCTCATTTTACAGATGATCAAGACCCGAAAGCTCTGGGGAGCCCCACTGGGGTCCCACAATGACTAGGAGCTGGAAGCGTGACTCAAGCACAATCTCCCTTCAAAATCCACTTTTCTTCTATTCTCCCGCCAGCTAATCCAGTCACTGCAGACAAACGTATCAACAAGGGGACTAGGAAAGTGTTTTACTGGAACATTTTATTAAGAAGGAACTTTAATTTAATTTAATTGCCTTGTAGCAATGTCAATGGGGGAAATTCTAGAACTTATTAAAATAACAGTGATATCCCCAAATCATCTGAAGAACATACAGAGTCGTGTAACTGACTTGCCCAACCCACCAACATCGCCACATATTTATCCAGCATGGACAAAGCACCCATTTTAGCTCAGGAAGCCCATCGGGATGGAGCCCCCAGTGGGTGCTTCCCACAGCCGGGGTGGAGGGAGTTTTAGGGCTGCTGACCCCGTCACCCACTGCATTCTCGAGCTGAGCCGACACTGCCTTAGTCCTGGAAGTGGTGCCCCCTCCAAGACGTAACTCCCCACCAACAGAAAACTCATGGTTCTCCAGGCAGTTCATGACATTTTGCTATGATGAAATCTCTCCCTTTGCCTTCATTCAATGTACGGCAAGGTGTGCCAGGGACCACAGCAGGTGCTGGGAAGAGAGAAAGCAACAGGATTAAGGCCTCACCCTCGAGGGCCCTCCGTCTAGCAGGGGACACGGAGCCACCACCTGCCCCCAGGGGGACTGGAGGGGAAGCATGTCGCAGAACTGCAGAGAGCAACGCGGGATCGGGGGGTCATCCAGCCTGGGTTGGGATAAGAAAGCTTTTGTCCCTCAGAGCAACGGGCTGACGGCCACAGAGCCTGAGTATGGAAATAGCACAGACCGTCATCGGGGTCACCTAAGTCTCAGGCCTCCTGCACACACCCCCACCTCCCCTTCCCCTTGGCCTCACTGGGCTGATTCTCAAAGCAACAACCCCCAAGAATAATGTGAAGAAATCTGGCCACTTGGCCACGGTGCCTGGAGGAACAGGACGATTCCTGCCTTTGAAAAATTGTCAGGAAAACACTTATGACGTTAGGAGGACTTGAAAACAAATCTTGTGAAGTTAATAGAAGCACAGCAATTAGAAAGGAAAATAATCACATTTCCTTCCTGCTAAATCGGTATTTGCCTCTGGTGAAGTCAATTATGTTAAAGAAAATAAGTTATTATTTTCGAAAAATAAAAAAGAGGTTGATAAGTGCCTTTATTCCAGCAAATAAAACTCCAAGAAGCAAATGCTTGAGTTCCTGCGTTTAGGAAGGTCTCTAAGCAGCCTGCATGGGGTTTCTTAAAGGACATGTTGGGATGAGCCACACAATTCGTGTTCATCTGCACATCACTCCTGGCCTCAAGAGAAACTCATGTTTGTCTCTCAGAAGGAGAATGAAACACAGCCAGCTCCTAATGATCTTTAGACAGCCAAGAAGCTTGGCCGAAGGGCCCCCACACTCCCTCTCGGCTTTCTCCTCCTCCAAATCCTCTGTGCCCATCTGCACCTTGACTTTCTCCTCCTCCAAATCCTCCGTGCCCACCTGTCCGAATCCTCCGTGCCCACCTGCACACCCTGCCAGACCAAGTCGTTGGGGTTTCTAGCTTTTCTTCCCAAATATACAGAAGTGACTTCGCTGACTTTGCTGCTAATAACACAGTATCATTAGTAACAGTAAGCAGCTGTTGAGTGTTTACCATGAGTTAGGCCATCCCGCCCCACTTACCCCCGGGACAGTTGGCAATGGCTGAGACATCCTGGCTTGACATCCTGGCAATGTCAATGGGGGAAATTCTAGAACTTATTAAAATACCAGTGATATCCCCAAATCATCTGAAGAACATACAGAGCTGGAGGGGGATCCTGCTACCGGGATCTACTGGGCAGGCCCTGCTAAGTATCCAGCAAGGTACAGGACAGCTCCCCAGGGTGAAAAATTATCCTGCCCAGAATGTCAACAGTGCAGGGACTGAGAAACTGTGCTGACATGACCCAGGTCATTCAACTCTCCAGCAACTCTGTGCAATAAAAAGTACCGTCATCACCTTGGACAAGCACACCAGCTGGGCACAGGCGGCTACCGCCACGCACCAGTAGGCAGCGGCAGCGGCATGCAAGCCCAGGCATCAGCAGAGCCCCCGCTGCACGCTGGTGGATACCGGGCATCAGCGGAGCCCCCGCTGCATGCTGGCAATCAATCCCAGGCATCAGTGGAGTCCCCGCTGCATGCTGGCAATCAATCCCAGGCATCAGTGGAGTCCCCGCTGCACGCTGGTGATCCTGAGCATCAGCGGAGCCCCACTGCACTGGCAATCCCGGGCAGCCTCCCCTGGAAGTCCCTTCTTTGTGTTGAAGCCACTTAATATTCACAGGGACCAGGCAATGAGCCTCAGGCAGGTCACTTTGCAGGCAGCACAAGCTCTCAATGGGCACAGCTGAGTCTCTCTCGTCCAGATGCAGGCCCAAGCTCCTAACTATGCCTGGCTAACAAGAACTCATACCCAGAGTTCCATCACCCCAGAATCTGCTTTAGGGGTTCTGCCTAAGGAACTGAAGAAGGAAAACTCACAGCTTTATGCGCCTGGGGGAGACAGGCCTCTAATGTCCTCGACCCTGACCTCTTAAACTGGCCCTGGGTGCGCTTAGTCCTCACATCTCCTCCCCACTCTCCTCCTCCTCCTTCCCACTTCCACCTAGGGCTCCCAGGCCCTAAGGACTCAAGACCATTCTCACTGGGCCCTCAGCTCTCGCAAAATCTTGTCCCCACAGCCCGGGGTGGAACAAAGGGATAAGTCTCTTCCAGAAGGGGTCCGGAGGCCAATGTGATGAGGCCAGCAGTGCCCAGGGCCTGACTCGGATCAGCCACAGACCCTGTGAAGCTGAGGCAGGGGAGTGGGAATTGCAGACTGTGACCGGGGACCAGCCAGGCACCCAGCTGGACAGGAGTGGATCTGGGAATGAGGCCAGGATGGCCACGAAGGGCATTTTAAAGGGCTTCCGGGCTGGCTGCAGGCACCCACAGTCTGAGGAAATCTGATCAGAGAACCAGAATGAATGACAGGCCCTGAGAAGACAAAACCTGAATATGTTGGTTGAGCTGTGAAAAAATACAACATCGACAGTTCATTACCCACAAGCCCGAAATACCCACAAAGTTCCCAAACCCAAAGAGATTTCTGTAATTCATTTAACTGCAAAAGTCTAACCTGAGCGGAGAGGAGCTAATTACGGATGGCTTCCCTCGTGCTGTGAATGTTCACACGCTCATGGCAGCAGAATCAATATGCTCGACTCCAGGGTGTTGCCCAGAGCTGCTCGGGGTGTCTGGCACAGGAGCCACAAGCACAGCTCCCACCTGTCTCTCTGCACTGTGACAAACTGGAATTCTGAAACACCGCTGGCCTCGCACAGCTCCCACCTGTCTCTCTGCACTGTGACAAACTGGAATTCTGAAACACCGCTGGCCTCGCACAGCTCCCACCTGTCTCTCTGCACTGTGACAAACTGGAATTCTGAAACACCGCTGGCCTCACACAGCTCCCACCTGTCTCTCTGCACTGTGACAAACTGGAATTCTGAAACACCACTGGCCTCGAGAGTTTCAGATATGGAAGAGTTGGCTGTATCAGACTATAAACCCCATGAGGGCAGCTCCAGATACCAATGTCTAAGAACAGGGCTGGCAAGCAAACAGGAAGGAAGGAAGAAAGAAGGGAAGGAAGGAAAGGAGGGGTAGAAGGAAGGAGGGGAGGAAAGGAAGGAGGAAAGGAAGGAGGGGAGGAAGAAAGGACAGAAGGAATGAGGGAAGAAGGGGAGAAGGGAGGGAAGAAATGAGTTATTTCGAGGCAGAGTCTTCTTTAACTTTTCTGTGGCTTAGGACAGAAGGTTTCCTAACCGAGGCTGAAACATACAGGCTTCATCACCATTCGTCTCTATACATAGGTTACACAGCAGCCCAGGCTAGCTGCTTATGCAAGATGTTCATCTACTCACAACATAATCAATTACTAGAAAACTTGTCTACTAGTAAGTAAAATAAAAATCATAAAACTTTGAGGAAAGTGAAACTCACAATGCCACACTGTCCTTTTCCAATTTAAAACAATCACCAGAAATCATATATTTTCTCTATAAGAAGTTAATATTGACTGTATAATAGTTTAACATGAATAACCCAACACTAAGTAGTACTTTCTCTTCTCAAAGCTCTTCCACACACACGGTCCTGCTCTCTCCCCTGGGCAGAGCTGAGATGCACAGATGTGCTAGGATATGCCCTAACTCCAGGTAAGGGGCCTGGGGCTCAGGGAGGGCAGAGGTGGCAGCAGTTAAGTGCTGTACCCAGGAATACCAGACCCTATTATTCAGGCTGTCAATCCAGTGCTCTAAACTCCACACCATAGTGTCCCAACGCCTAACTTTTAAGTCACTGTTGCTCTCCTTGATTTAACTTTATAGCCTTTCTCATTGCATACATACTCATAGACAAGAGTTATTTCAGAATATAGAGATTCCATTCTATAAAGACAAAAAACACTTAAAAACAAAGACACGGTTCTCATTAGCAAGCTTTAGTACACAGCCTTCTGAGGCCAAAAGAATTAAACAGCACAGGAAAGGGGCCTGGGGTGTGCATGTGTTTTTGGATGGTGGGAACAGGAACAGCCAGACAGATATGAAAAGGACAGGACACACTGAGGCCAGGCACGGTGGCTCACGCCTGTAATCCCAGCACTTTGGGAGGCCAAGGTGGGCAGATCACGAGGTCAGGAGATCGAGACCATCCTGGCTAACACAGTGAAACCCCGTGTTACTAACCCGTGTTAGTAACTAAACCCCGTGTTACTACTAAAAATACAAAAAATTACCAGATGCGGTGGTGCACACCTGTAATCCCAGCTACTTGGGAGGCTGAGGCAGGAAAACTGCTTGAATCCAGGAGGCGGAGGTTGCAGTGGGCCAAGATTGTGCCCCTGCACTCCAGCCTGGGCAACAGAGCAAGACTCCATCCCCCCCCCGCCCCCAAAAAAGAAAAAGACACATTGAGAAAGCAGCACTGCTCTCGGGCTTGGTATACCCTGAAGAATATCCTGAAATCTATAGGACATAAGTAGCAAAATACACCCCAAGGAAAAAGGCGGCGTCTGTCCTTGGCATCACTTCCGTCTTTATAGGGACATGAACATCTGTTCTGCCAAGTGACTTTCAGGGTGAAAGTCCTGAGGATGTACAACCTCTATGCTCAACGCCAATGAAGCTGAAGAGTCCAGACTAACATTCTTCCTGGTAATGGAAAATAAGCATCAATAGGAACACGTGGAGGAGACCACCAAATCCACATTCTCCTCTTCCTGCGAGGCACACAGTCAGATTACATTTCCCACCCCACTTGCTGCAGGTCTGACCAGAGACTCAGGTCACGGTGAGAAAATGTGAGCAGAAGGGATGGGCACCACCCCCAGACCAGGCCAGAAAGAAAATCTATGCACCATCCTCATCTCTTTCTTTCCCCATCTACAGGTTGAATGGGGAAGGGCAGTGGAGGGCAGACTGGCAGGGTCAAAGGAGCCAGAGACTCTGAATGGCTGGGCAGAGCAGAGCCCCTGCTCACCCTCCCCACCGCCCACTTTGACACAAATGAAAAACAAACTTGTATTGTATGAAGCCAGCAAAATGTTGGGGCTGTTTGTTACAGCAGCTAGCTAACAGTCAGAAAGGAAATCATGACTGTTACATAAATACACCTAAGTTTACCTAGTGTAACCAATTAAGTTAAATCACTCCCCTGGGTGTGGTGGCTCACATCTCTAATCCCTGCACTTTGGTCAAGAGTTTGAGACCAGGGCAACATAACAAGACCCTCTCCCAATCTCCTTAAAAAAGTTTTTTTTAATTAGCTAGACCTGTAGTCCCAGCTACTCAGAAGGCCAGGGTTGGAGGATCACTTGAGCCTGGGAGTTCAAGGCTGCAGTGAGCTATGATCGCATCACTGCACTCTGGTCTGGCCAGTAGACCAAGAGCCTGTCTATAAAAATAAATAAATAAAATAAAATTTAAAACTGAAACAAATCACTCAGGATGGCATAAAAATCTTGCATCACACTCCTCAGGAGATGCAGCAACAAATCATAGGTCTAAACAGCAACTGCATCTAGATAAAGACTCAAGGTAACATTTCTGATGAGAGATGTAGAGATCTGCCTTCATCCTGTCCCTTCAGGACCCCCCAGCAATCAATAAGAACTACAGTCCCTGATCTAACCTCAGAGCTAACATTAAAATTCTGACCAGCACTTTGCAACAGGCAGGGGCTACAGAAGCAATGGGGCCCATGCAGCAGGGCTGGGGAGAGCCTGAATTAAGCTAGAGATTCAGTCCCAAGCAACACAGCCTTCTACTTACAAAGCAATCAATAAAGGATGAAAGAAACTAACATTATCAAGCACAGACCATGGGCCCGGTTTGGGCTAGGTTATCTCTTTCTCCTCAGAAGGGCCCAAAGAGGTTGGTGTTATCACCAGTTTTACAAAGGAGAAACTCAGGCTTAAGGTAAATAACCCCCAAGGTGACATGCCTAATAAGACACCAGGCTGATATTCAAAGACGGATCTCTATGACCCCTAACCTGAGCTGTTTTGACAGCACACACTATATGCCAAGAGAAAGCATCTTTTTCTCCTCAAGGCACCCAAATGAAAATTCAACGAACTGACAGACATCTGTCTGGGGTGAAACCATCTGCCTTTTGAAGACAGGGAGTGCCTGCGTGGATACTCAGTTTCCCACGTGCATGTGGGCATGTGGATAACTGCAGAGTGGCAGGCCAAAACTGAGCTTGTAAGTCATCATCAAGAAGCCCGGTGTCATTTATTTGTCACGAGCCAAGCCCCCTCCCTTGCCCCATGAGCTCCTGATATTAAAGCGCTTTTCTGACGGCCCAAGGCCACGGAGGGCCACGCAAGGTGCGAGTGGAGGACAGAAGCCAGCCTCGTGGGCTGTGGAGAAGAACAGTGCCCCCTGGAGTTGTGTGGGACAGCCCTGGGTCACCAAGTGTGTGACACCAGCACCAAAGCCCGGGTTTTGCCATCACTGTCCAACTGGGATTCCAGAGCCAATATGAGGCTGCCCTACTCATGCTACAAAAACATAAATGGTAAGAAACTGGAATTAAGTCCAAGCAGGATGTGTGAATATCCTAATGCTAAATGCAGCTTAAGCCCAGGTAGGTTGAGCTCAGAGACTGAGCCACACTCACAGGAGAATGATCACACTTAAAGAACTGCTCTGAAGTTCCTGTTTGGATCTCAAACTACCTGATTGCATTGTTCTGTCACTAATTTGATTACAAGGAATTTCCAGATCTGAACAGAAACAAATTGGAGTCCCATTAGAAAGCTCCTTACCTCCCTCGAGTCCAGTAGCACCAGGGACCCATGGGCTTGCAGGAAAAAAAAAAAAAAATTCAAAGGCCACTAAAGACAGAGGGAAACTGTAGATGAAAAGTCTTATGTTATCAAAATCATACTGTTATGGGCTACACTGTGTCCCTCCAAATCCATATGTCAGTGTTCTAACCTCAGAAATTCAGCATCCTGGATGTGTGACTGTATTTGGAGGCAGGGAATTTAAAGAGGTGACTAAGTCAAAGTGTGGTCTTTACGGTAGGGTAGGCCCTTATCCAGCATGACTAGTGTCCTTTCTTTCTTTTTTTTTTTTTTTTTCCGAGATGGAGTCTCACTCTGTCACCCAGGCTGGAGTACGGTGGCGCGATCTCGGCTCACTGCAAGCTCCGCCTCCCGGGTTCACGCCATTCTCCTGCCTCAGCCTCCCGAGTAGCTGGGACCACAGGCGCCCGCCACCACGCCCGGCTAGTTTTTTGTATTTTTAGTAGAGACAGGGTTTCACCGTGTTAGCCGGGAGGGTCTCGATCTACTGACCTCGTGATCTCCCCGCCTTGGCCTCCCAAAGTGCTAGGATTACAGGCGTGAGCCACCGCGCCCGGTCTCTTTTTTTTTTTTGAGATGGAGTTTTGCTCTTGTTGCCCAGGCTGAAGTACAATGGCGCAATCTTGGCTCACTGCAACCTCCGCCTCCGAGGTTCCAGTGATTCTCCTGCCTCAGCCTCCCCAGTAGCTGGGATTACAGGCGCCCGCCACCATACCAGGTTAATTTTTTGTATTTTTACTAGAGATGGGGTTTCACCATATTGGCCAGGCTGGTCTCTAACCCCTGACCTCAGGTGACCCGCCCACCTCAGCCTCCCAAAATGCTGGGATTACAGGTGTGAGCCACCGAGGCTGGCCATAGTGGCCTTGTAAGAAGAGGAAATGAGGACACTGACACACACCGAAGGAAGACCCTATGAAGACAGGGTGAAGACAGCTGTCTGTAACCCAAGGAGAGAGGTCTCAGAAGAAACCAACCACCAAAACACCTTGACTCCGGCATTACAGAATTGTGAAGAAACACAGTCCTGTTGGTTAAGCCACCCTGTCTTGTGGTCCTTTGTTATGGTAGCTCCAGTCAACTAACACACAAATTCCACACTGTGATTTCAACGTCAGCTCCAAAGCACTTCCCATCATATCAATAAAAGCAAATTGAGGAACAGTGGCTGATGGCAAATGCAATCCATTTGCATAACAATGTTTCCAAACTGCCTTAAGATACATTAATTAGTTCCTGTCAACTCCCATCAGCCCAACCTCAGTGAAGCAAAGCCCACAGTACCATCCAGAACATCGCTGCTTAAAAACGCAGAAACCAGGCTGGAAGAGGTTCAAACACTCACCCTGGGTCATATGCATGAACAGTGGCCTTGTCAGGGCTAAAACTCAAACTCTGACCCCTCCTCGGGCGCCTCCTCATTTCCTCCCTGAAGGCCTTCCGGATGCACTGAAGGGTTTGAAAAGTGAACATCTTGACAACCGCATCTTGACAAGCGACCACCTGGTGTTAACCGTGGTCTCCACACTGGTGCATGTGCCCGGTCAGCCTTCCACTCCATGATGTCTCTTCAAACTGGATCAAAGTCCTTCCCTGAATACACTGGACAATTTCACAGCTCAGTGGACCCGCTCATACAGCGCTCCCACCAGCACCCCCTGGGTGGGCTGCCTTCTCCTGTACCGCAGCAGCACAGGGAGCTGCACGCTGGCTCCCAAATGAAACCAAGGCAAATGCAAACTCCAACCACAATGACAGACAACTACACACCTACACAAGCAATAAGGACGGTGACAAATGATGGCAAGGATTCCGAGAAATCTACAATCACATATACACTGCTGGTGAGAATGTGAACTGGCACAGTTACTCCAGGAAAGTTTGGCAGTTTCTTAAAAAGCTAAACATCCAACTACCAGACGACTCAGCCTCTGCACTCCTGGGCATTTATCCCAGAAAATGAAGACTTAGGTTCACACTAAAACCTGTATGTGCTTGTTGACAGCAGCTGTATTTGTCACAGCCAAACTCAGATGTCCTTCGACAGGTGAACAGTTAATCTGGGGCATATCCAGACCATGAAATGATACTCAGCAAAGAAAAGAAGCAACACCCGGATGAATATCCAGAGAGAGATACTGAGTGAAAAAAGCCAATCCCGAAAGCTTACCTCCTATGCAATTTCACTAACGGAACACTCTTTAAAGGACAATATTATAAAAACACAGAACAGGCAAAGGGTGGCCAGGATTTGAGGGGAGAAAGGCGTGGAGGGAGGTAGGCGTGGTGCTTGTGGTGCTGGAAATGTTCTGTACCTTGACTATCGATGTCAATATCCCAGTCGTGATGCTGTACTACAGCTTTACAAGACGTAACCTTAGGTGAAACTAGTAATGGCTACTCATGATCTCCCTGAATTATATTTTACACCCGCATTTGGCTATAATTATCTGAAAATACAAAGTTTAATGCAATCATCTGAAAATACAAAGTACAGAGAGGAAGAAAAGAAAGAAGGGAAAAGGGAGGGAGGGAAGGAGGGTGGGAACAGCGTACAAGTGTGCGCTTGCTACAGCGATGGCCCTGGGGCGTCAGCGCCACACCCAGCAAAGGACACCACGTGGCCTATTTCTTCCTCCCCATTTCACTACCTGCATCCACAGAGGTGATAAAGAGACAGAACTATTGACACACACTAAGACAATCCTGATCAGATGTCTGGTATCCTAGGCAAACAATGGCATAGAAATAAATTTAAATTTCTTATGTTTCCAAAGTAAAATCAGGTTTGTAGAAATATAATATGCCCTGATTTGGTTTTGCTGCAATTCCAGTGAATGAAAATGCCTGCATTTCTATTTACTTATGATCAAATCTAATTTTTCTTCCCCAAAGTAGCAGCTTGCTTGCTACTCTAGATAACAAAAGAGATCTCTCATCAACTCCCACGCTCCCAAATTTATTTGGATATCACACTATTCCTAGCAATTATCATTGCTTAGAGCTAATGTGAAGGCACGCAAGTCAGGCTCCTCACACTGAGCAAATGTGACTTCTACCCCAATTAGGAAGCAAAACACACTATCAAGAAACCAACTTTTGAAGAAAGGCATTTTTCCAGCAACCCGTTAACCGCACACAGAAGTCACTTGTCACTATGTTTCTAAACTTTATGCTTTATTAAATAAAAAGTTAACAAAAGCAACGCTTCGTTGAGTACTTGGCATATCTTAAACGCAGGGCTAAATTCTCTGCCAACATCATCTCAGCGAGTCCTCACGACTCGGCAGCAAGCAGGCTTGGTTCCACTTCACAGATGAGAAAACCAAGGCTAAGAAAGTATGAGTAATTTGCTCAAGGGTCCCATTATGAGTAAGAGCAGTGCCAATGCCCCATCCCATTTGAGAGCTGCACTTGGAAGTGGCCAAAGTGAAGAGCACACTTGGGTTCACTACCTTCAATGAACTTAGTAACAGATCTCAAGGGTGCAAGAGAGCCTCACCCTGCAAGCTTCTCTCCCATCATCTGTATTAGTTTTCCACTGCTGCCGTAACAAATTCCCACAACCCAGCCAGCTTAAAACCACACAAATGTATTATCTCAGTTCCACAGGCCACACGCCCAGCAGCTCAGGGTCTCAAAATCAAGGTGTTGGCTGGCTGGGCTCTTAGCAGGAGGCCCTGGGGAGGAAATCTGTTTCCAAGCTCATTCAGGGTGTTGGCAGGATCCAATTCTTTGTAACTGCCGATCATTAGCTAGGGGCCTCCCGTAGCTCCCTGAGGCCTCTCTCTGGTCCTTGCAAGTGAGCCCCTACATCTCAGGGCCAGCAACTGTGCTTCCAAACATAGGATCTTCTGACTGCCTGTTTCACAACTTTGACAGCCAAAGTTCTCTGTGCCCACGTGGATGGTCCTGAATAATCTCCCATCTACGAATTCCAAGTAACCTGAATCACATCTGCCAAGTCCCTTTTGCCATGTAACATATTGAATTCACAGAGTCTGGGGATTAGGGCGTGGACCTTTTTGGGGACCATTATTCTGCCTTCAACACCATTGTTGAGATGTGAGTGAGTGAGCACATGGTCCTCACGTGTGATTCTAGAACATACTGCATCTTTTCACCTAATCTTAGGAACAGGATCCATGGCAACATAATTTTATTGACGTCGGGACATAAAACTGCCTACTGGGCTGTGAGAGAAAAGATCATCTGGCCAGTGTGACAGCTGAGTCAAGGTTTATGCCTGTTAATATGCCAGGCCCGTAAACATGACCCACCAACTCAAAACCAAGGGGGAAACGCGGGCTGGTAAATTTCACAGGCAGCCCCCAGTGGAATGAATTGGGAGGAACCAGCATTTCCTGCCTTTGCAGAAGGAACCCCAGATCAGCTGTTTACTCCTTTCCCAATTTTACAAAATAAATATACAACTGAAGTATCTCATTTACAAACAATGCTTCTAACAGATTCCAAGTACTTGCAAACAATAAGCTGTGATTCATGTTTCCAAATGAGATGGAGTTTTATCATTTTCTTACCCCTCGTGATTCGTTCATGGGCCAAGTGGCCAGAGTGGAAGTGTGGTCCACCCACAGAGCCACCAGAGCGCCTCCAGGGAAACACAGCCCTGTTGTTAAGCTCCGAAAAATGCTGGAGTTGGTAAGGATGGTGGAGGGGTCCTCCAGTAATTTTCCCTTAGGTGGAAACAGCCAATCACCTACTGGCAATAAATCCCTACATCCCAGCACCTACATCCTTCCCAGTCAGCATCCTTCGTGAGAACCACTAAAATCCTCCCACTGCACACTTGCAGACAAGTGGGGAGCCTGGGATGGCCCCATTGCGCTCATGCTCAGCTCCCCTCCCACCCTCCCTGATGGGGGACTCTGGTTAAAGTGCCTCTGGATGCCGATGGAGTGGTGCTGTCTCATTACTGTCTACCCAGCAAGCTGTCATCTGCACCCAGTGAGAGGAAGCACAGCAGCCACTCTCTTCTCTACCTTCAGCCCTTCACATCTTTCCTAGCATTTCCTGGCAAAACCATCCCAGATACTTTTCGCCTTTTAAAATTTTCCAACAGTTTTCTATTTTTTCTTTTTTTAACTTTTTTAAATTTATTTTTTCTTAATAATCAAACATGGAGTTTTCTTAAAACCAAAGTATTAGCAAGAGGTGTGATGTTAGAAGTCACCACCATGAGCGCTGGTGAAGCTTCTGGAAGGTGTGAGACTCAAGCGCACCGCCCTGTTCTGGCCCTCAGCCTCCTCCCCAGCAAGGAGACCCCGTTCTCCCATCTACGAACATTCTTTTCAGTCTTCTCCAGACCATCCAGCTACACTATAGGATCCTAACTGACACCATCCAGGTCTCTCTGGGGGCAGACGAAGGGTAACAAGGTCTCTTAAAATGTGGCGTCCCAAAGAGAAGCCCTCCCCATCTGCAGGCAAGCACAGGACACTGTGGCAGCTGAACCCAGGGCGGCCACACTTCACACCCAGGAGGCACCACTTACTGGTGATGTGACCTCAGGCAAGCAATCCACCTCTTCCTTGCCTCTGTAGAATGGGAGCAGTGATGGCCCCCACTGCACCCCGATGGCCCCCACTACACCCCCAATGGCCACTACTGCACCCTGGCCATGGGCACCTAAGTTGCTTCCTCAGCAGGGCCAGGGCTATGGGATGCCTGCTCCTCTGCCAGCCTCCTGCCTCTCCTGCCTATCCACCTCTTCCTCTCTCTCTGCGTGTGCTGGTGCTAGGTTCCCTGGGAGTCAGTCCTCAGCTCTCTCCTCTACACACTACCCCCGCAGGGACCCCCACTGTCGCCACAACCCAAGCATTCTCAGGTGGAATATCCACCCCGAACCTCTCGCCTCTGATGCAGACTGAAGGCCCGTGCCAAGTGCCCCAGACTGAATCCATTAGGTGGTGCACAGGGTGCAGGTTACACACTGAGTCTGCAGTCAGATGAGCTCTCCTGCACTTTTGTGAATGTGTCTGGGCCTCAGTTTCCTCATCTGCAAAATGGGGAGATGGGGAGGAAGCTCAGTCATAATGGTCCTGAAGCAAGGAGGCCCCCTATGCCTCCCAGCATGTGGAACAAGCTAAGTGCAGGCCCGGTAGGACCCAGGGCTGTCCCAGGACTGTCCCCGTGACCACTGTCCAGCTGGCTCCGTGGTCAGGGCATACTGTAAGTCATTGACAGCAGAGAGAAGCAACTGTTCACAGAAAGGAGAGCGCTCCGGGGACAAGGGCTGCCAGGGCGCTTCCCAAAAGTCAGAGAGCCAGGATTCGAACCACACCAGCAGAGGGTCGGGCAGGTCCAGCACGGGCCAGGCACAGAATGGGCGCGGGGCTGCTGCTGAGACGGTGCCCTTGGAGGACACAGCCTGGGCTGTGGGAGGCGAGACCACCAAAGGTCTTCCCAGTCGGGTCGAGTGGCCTGGATGAGGCAGGCGGTCAAGGATGTCTGTGGATGGTGGGACGGGGAATAGCAAGCCCGAAAACCAACTGGGAAGATCCCGGACCCGGGAGAGCAGGAGAGTAGCCACGGCCCAGTCCCGACACCAGGCGCGCAGATCACGAAGAGGTGGGCGTCCGCAGGCCTCGGCGACCGGCTGCGGGTCCCCGGGGCGCAAGGATGCGGGTCCCACGCGGACGGGCCCGTCTATTCAGCCGCAAGGGAAAGCCTCCCTCTCAGGAATGCGCACTCGGGTCCGAAATGTAAACTTGCAACCCGACTCCTTCCATCCCCCCTCGGAAGCGACAAAGAGCCGCGGAGCAAAAACAGGCCCCCGCTCTCCCGGAAGGGTCTCCAGGCCTGGGGCCACTGGGGCGCTCGGCCGCTCGCCTTCTCTCCAAGGTCCCACACGGTCCCCAGCGAGACCGCCGAGGGGCAAGGGGCGCTGGCCACCCAGGTCGCGCCCCCTCCTCCCCGCCGGGAAAGGGCGGAATTATCCGCTGGGACCGCGCCGACCTGAGCCCGCCCACCCAGAGCCCGGACGCGGGACGCAAGTTCATCCAAGAAGCAGAAGCCGCCGCGAGACAGTGACCCCTGGGCTTCCCTGACGGGCCCAGCCGCGCAGATAGCAGCGGCCGGGGCCGGGGAGTTGGGGGTAGCCCGGGGGGCTCCACGGCAGAGGTCCAGAGGAGCGGGCGTCGGAGGGGACACCCTAGGGAGGGACGCGCCCGCCCCCATTCCCACCCCACCCCCTCGTGTTCCCGACCCGCATCCCCGGGGCTGGAGCTGACGCCGCCGGGGGCGCGGGGCGGCCGGGGTCGCCGGGCATTGCGAGCGGGGCGGCGGCGCGGGCGCGGGCGGAAGCGCCTCTCCCCGGCCCGGCGGCCGCTCGGGGCGGCGGCAACAGGCGCCCGGCACACCCGCCCCGCCGGAGCCTGGGCTTGGGGCGAGAGGCGCGGCGGCGGCGGCGCTGCTCACCCACGCCGTACTTCTCCTCGCGCTTGGTGGGCACCCAGCGCGTCATGGCGCCGCCGGAGCCGCCGCGGGTCGGGCAGGAAACTCCGCGTCTAGGCCGCCATTTTCCATTCCTTTCGAGCCGCGACAGGATGGGGAGGAAAAAGTTTGCGGCGGAGGCGGCGTCATGTGGGACGGGGCGGGCGGAGCGTCGCGGGCCGGATGGGAAAGGCCGGGAGCGCCGGCGGGAGGCGGGACGGCCGCGGGCTCTGCGCCCGCCCTCGGCGCGGACCCTGGGCCCCGACCCCGCGGTCGCCGGGGCTCCCCTTCCTCTGTCCCAGTGCGCCCAGCCCCGCGCTCCGCACCCGGGCACCCCCGCGGGGTTCTCCTGAGTTCCTGGAGCTCCCGGGGCTGGCGCTCACGCCGTGAGAGGGGTGCGCCCTTAGGGGGGCGGGACGGACGGGGGGTTTCTACGGGAGGTAGGAAACGGGCGGCTTGCAAGGCGCGGGCTTAGGCCGGAGCCTGGTGGTGCGAGGTCCCCAGCTCGGATTTCTCCCTGGTGGAGAGTCCCGGAGCAGAACAAACCAGCAGAGGCTCTGGAAAGGGTCCTCCTGAGCACGTGGCTCATTCATTCATTCGACAAACGTTACCTGAGCGCCTGCCCACTCATTGCCCGAGTGTGCTGGGAGCGCCGCACCAACTGCCTGGTAGGTGGGAGAAGGGACACGTCAGGTAACAAACAGCACAGGTAAGTGCCGGCCACTCAAATGGGGTGGAAAGAGGTGGCACAGCGCTGCCGAGGGAGTGCGTTCCAGACAGGTGACCTCTTGCTTGGGTGCTGAATGAGTGGAGTTTTCCAGAGAGACCAAGAGGAAGCAGCCGCAGAAACCTCAGCCCAGCTGGGCTTGCAGAAGCTAATGCTAGAATAGTTGTGGGACTCAGGATCTGCTGAAGTCGGGGGAAGAGAGAAGTAGGGAAAGGAAAGCCCAGGCCACGCGTGGGGCTCAGGAACGGCATCCTCGCCCGAGGTGGGAGTTCTTCTCAGGCCCTGGTGTTTCCCATGACAGTAAAAGGTGGGGGCTTCAGATTTCTCCAAGGGAAAAGTTAAAGCAACACACACCTATTTATTTTTACTGTAATTTCAGAAAAGAGAGGTTAAAACCAAGACATGGACAAAGCCTCCGAATGAAGGCAGCCCTTTAAATGGAATAAATTTGGTTTCATGGCACATTAATGGGGTGTCTTCTCTCCGAAGACACAGAGACAACTACAGTAGGTCTGGGGGCCGTCAGGGATTGGAGGAACGAAGGTAAGAAAAGGAAGAAGGTAAGAAAAAGAGGTCCCTACCTCTGTGAGGTAGGGACAGTGCTGAACAGCAGGGCTGGGAGAGCCCACAGGGAGGTGGCCAGGATGGCCACAGGGCCTGGGGAGGACCAGGTGGGGCACCATCCTGCGGTAGAGAATGCCCGTCACCTGCCCTAGGGGCCACCCAGAATGCAGATTAAATAAGTATTTGGGAATGGCACAGGAGCTTTTCCATTTTCGTGGGTTAGAGGAAAGCTGCTGCGTTCAAGAGGATAACGTGGGACCTGAGCATTCTGGTAAGTCAACCCCACATTCATGGAAAGCCACGGGCTCTGTTTTACTGATAAGGAACTGAAGTCCCACAGAGGAAGTGGCCAGGCTCACTCACACACAGCATGCACTTGAAGCTTTCTGTGGAAATCAGAAACCTCCGGGGCTCAGGCGCTGTAGTGGTGGCCTGGTGACTCTGACCCCTTGAAGGAGAAGCATCTGTGAAGGTGCTGTCCAGGACAAGTAGGGTGCTCTACGGTAAAGGACATGGTGGCCTGACCTGCTCCAGAGCAGGGAGGCCTCCCTTGAGGAAATAAGATAAACCCAGACTTTAAGGATAAGCAGAAACCAGCTAGGTGAACTGGAGTGGGAACAGCACGTGAAAAGGCCCTGGTTTAGGAAGGAGCACCACTCCTTCAGAGCACAGAAAGGCCAGGATGGCCGAAGCATAGGGAACAACAGGAAAGTGACATAAATTGAGGCTGCAGAGGTAGAAGAAGGGCCTTATTGGTCGTGCTAGGAATTTGGAATTCTGCAAAGAAGCCTGGGAAACAGATTTTGGTGACACTCGCCTTCTCTTTAATGTGCAGTTTCAGTTCTGTTGGTGTGATTCTGCATTGGAGATGGCGTGCTGTAACGAATGGCCAGGAGCTTAAGAGTCATGCAGACTTGGGAGGCCTGGCCTTGCCACGCCCAGCTGCATGGCCATCCTCCTCCTGTTTCTGGCCGTTCTGTTTCTAAACCTTGGGGTTCTGATATTCCTACATGTAAACTAGGGGCTGTAATAGGAATCTCACAGGTGAGTCTTAGGATTATAAGAGGAGACATGACTGCATGTGTAAGACATCATAATGATGTGCTTCCTCATCTGACCCTACCTCCAGGTTCTTTGATAACCTCATGGTTCCCATTTTCTAGAACAGTTGCCACTTGCACTCAGATAAAGGTGACTCACTGAATGCATAAATAAGTGTAGTGCCGGATTTGCATACTTTTGGTAGACTGTCATATAATAAATTTATAAATCAGAATTTTAAAACTCCAGGTGGGGCCGGGCACAGTGGCCCATGCTTGTAATCCCAGCCAGCATTTTGGGAGGCTGAGGCAGGCAGATCACTTGAGGTCAGGAGCTCGAGGTCAGCCTGGCCAACCAGGGTTTTAGTAGAAACCCTGTCTGTACTAAAAATACAAAAATTAGCTGGGCGTGGGTGCGCATACCTGTAGTCCCAGCTACTCAGGAGGCTGAGGCAGGAGAATTGTTTGAACCCAGGAGGTGGAGATTGCAGTGAAGCAAGATCGCACCGCTGCACTCCTGCCTGGGTGACAGAGTGAGACTCCATCTCAAAAACAAACAAAACAAAACTCCAGGTGGACCACGGGCCAGGTGGTTGTAGCTTCAGTCCCTTGATTGCAACATGTGCCCAAGTTTGGCTGAGATGTACCTGTAGCCACGGTCCTTGAAGCCCTGAGAAGATTTGTCAGCATCCCCACGGTGCTCCAGCAGTGCTCTCATCTTGTGGCTCTAAATCGAGTCCATGGCCCTCTCTCACTGTCCTATGGTTGCATAAGCTCAGAACTGGCTTCGTCTCCAATTCCAGGAGCCCTGGAGGTTGTGGCCTGTTGACATTTTTACCTCCTGAGTCAATGTGGCTGGGCCACAGGTCTCAGTTGCCCTCCCAGGCATCTTGCAGGACTTGGATCTGTGCCAAGCTTGTGGGTGTGAACAAGCCCAAGAATGCTGAGGCTCTCAGTTGCTCAGTGCTGCCCATCACTGGGATTTCAGAGTAGTGACCCCCCTCCTCCAAGATACAACAGAATCTTGCTTTGGGGCCATGAAGAACACAATCAATATTACAGTTTTAAATCTTGAAAAGTACAGTTTTAATTTTTTTAATTCCAAAAAATTTCACACATGTGCACTGCAAATTCAGGAGGTAAATTCAGCAAAATCTTGCCTGGTGGAGGTACCAGAAGGCACAGTGAGTCAATGGGGCATGTTTCTCAGTCGGTGGGGAGAGATGAGAATGGAACAGGGATGTGGAGATTTTATGCAGGAAAAGGGGCCTGACCACAGATTTTTTGCCCTTTGAAAGGAGAGGAACAAGGCCTATGCCCACTGCCTCTTGGATTCAGTGGGAGATCTGGGCATCATACTGGATGACCAGGCATGTAGTCACAATGCACAATGCCACCCAGCCCAAAAGTGTATATTCAAGACTTTAGACCCAACTTCGTGCTTACAGGAAATAGAGGAGGTTGAGGAACAAGTGACACCATAAGAAATACAGTGAAACAGGCCAGGCACCGTGGCTCATGCCTGTAACTCTGAGCACTTTGGGAGGCCGAGATGGGCAGATCACCTGAGGTCAGGAGTTCAAGACTAGTCTGGCCAACGTGGTGAAACCCCATCTCTACTAAAAAAAAATATCTGGGCATGGTGGCAGGCACCTGTAATCCCAGCTACTCAAGAGGCTGAGGCATGAGAAGCACTGGAACCCGGGAGGCCGAGGTTGCAGTGAACAGAGATCGTGCCATTGCACTCCAGCCTGGGGGAACAAGAGTGAAACTCCATCTCAAAAAAAAAAAAAAAAGACACTGAAACAAAGCCAGAAGGTAGAATATTCTTTCAGGTAGTAGTCTGGTCTCTTCAATAGTCAATATTATAGAGCAAGAAGGGGCCAGTGGAGAAGAGCTGTTCTAGATTTTAAAAGATGTAAGAAATACAACATTTGGCCGGGCGCGGTGGCTCACGCCTGTCATCCCAGCACTTAGGTAGGCCGAGGTGGGCGGATCATGAGGTCAGGAGATCGAGACCATCCTGGCTAACATGGTGAAACCCCGTCTCTACTAAAAATAGAAAAAATTAGCCGGGCATGGTGGCATGCACCTGTAGTCCCAGCTACTCAGGAGGTTGAGGCAGGAGAATGGCGTGAACCCGGGAGGCGGAGCTTGCAGTGAGCCGAGATCGCGCCACTGCACTCCAGCCTGGGTGACAGAGCAAGACTCCATCTCAAAAAAAGAAAAGAAAAGAAATACAACATTTAAATGCACTGTGTTATCCTTAATTGGAAACTGCTTTAATTATCCAACACTAAAAAAATGTCAAGGGCAAGAGGTGGTTTGAACTATGGACTGGTGTTAGATGATGTATTTTTTTTATTTTGTTAAGTATAATAATAGTTGTTATGGTTAGGTGGGAAAAGATCCTTAAATTTTAGAGCTGCATGCTGGAGTATTTAGAAGTGAACCGTCATTGTATTTGTTATTTAAAATACTACAGGAATAAACAAGATGAAGCAAAATTGCTCAGTCTAGATATGGGTCTATGAGTGTTTCATCTTTCTACTTTTTTCTCCATGTTTGAAATCCTTGGTAAAATAAAGTCAAAGTGGAGGAAGGAGGAGCTTGAGATTGAAAAATCAGTTTGAGAAGCAGCCACCTTGACTGGCTTCACTCTAATAGCCTGGACGCTGCCTCCACACTCCAGGTGCACTGCTCAGCATTCTCCAAGAAGATCATTAAGGCAGACCCTACGTGTTAAATTTCAATCAGTTTCATTGAGCAAATATGCTGTTAAATAGAGACTGCTGTGTGCTGCGTCAGTGTGCCTTATGGGCAAATGTGATGGTGACTATAAATGCAGACCAAGCAGTCCTTCCCACACTGTGTACACAAAGAAAGGAGCTCTGGAACTGGGAGCCAGGACATCTGCAGGAGGAGAATTCTGAAGTGAAAGGAGGCCTGGATATTGGTTGCAAGGCCTTGTCCCTGGAGCCTGGATGCTCTCATACCTTCTACATCTGGGCCTCTGGGTCCAGGACAGTGCCAGGGAGAGTTCATAGAAACAAATGTGTTGAAGACCTTAGCGGTTGTCTGACTCTGAGACAGTTACCTGGCCACTCTTAAGTTTCCTCATTTTTTTTTTAATTTTACTTTAAGTTGCGGGATACATGTGCAGAACGTGCAGGTTTGTTACATAGGTATGCATGTGCCATGGTGGTTTGCTGCACCTGTCAACCTTTCATCTAGGTTTTAAGCCCCTCATGCATTAGATATTTGTCCTAATGCTCTCCTTCCCCTTGGCCCCCTGTCAGGTCCTGGTGTGTGTGTTGTCTGGCCCCCACCGTGTCCATGTGTTCCTATTGTTCATCTCCCATTTATGAGTGAGAATATGTGGTGTTTGGCTTTCTCTTCCTGTGTTAGTTTGCTGAGGATGATGGTTTCCAGCTTCATCCATGTCCCTGCAGAGGACATGATCTCATCCTTTTCATGGCTGCATAGTATTCCGTGTTGTGTATATACCACATTTTCTTTATCCAGTCTTTCATTGGTGGACATTTGGGTTGGTTTCATGTCTTTGCTATTGTAAATAGTGCTGCAATAAACATTATGTGTGCATGTGTCTTTATAGTAAAATGATTTCTATTCCTTTGGGTATATACCCAGCAATGGGATTACTGGGTCACATGATATTTTTTGGTTCTAGGTCCTTGAGGAATCGCCACACTGTCTTCCACAATGGTTGAACTAATTTACGTTCCCACCATCAGTGTAAAAGTGTTCCTATTTCTCCACAGCCTCACCAGCATCTACTGTTTCTTGACTTTTTAATCACTGCCATTCTGACTGGCAAGATTTCCTCATTTTTAAGATAGTGTGACTTCTAGGGTGTTGTGAAGATTTAATGAAATAATGGTAGCAGAGCTTAGCCCAGGTAAGGACTCTGGATGAAACAATGGTTTTCCTACGCTGGACATCAGGTGGTGCAGGACTGTGATCCCTGAAAGGAGTAAAACAACTGAGGTGCACCCTGTGGTTGCCCAGCTTCCTTCCTGGAGGCAGCTTTGGGCTGCGCACAGGAGGGAGAACTCAACTGAACCCTGAGTCTCACTGGGTGGAAAAAGATAATGGAGTTCAGAGAAGCGAAGTCACTAGGATTCGCAGGTCAGAGTACCCAGGATGAGGGAGCTGCTCACCCAAAGAGAGAACACCAGAGTTCTGCAGAAGGGCCACCCTAAGTCTCTGTCTGAATGCTGATCTCTGCATCTGTGGAGTGAAGCTCCGTGAGGCTGGCAGCAGAAAGGACACCAGAGAGTACCAGGCCTGGAATAATTCAGAAAACTCACACAGTACTCAATGTTCCCTCCAGCCAGTGTGGAAATACCTCACAATATAGAGGGTATCAGGCAAAGTCCTCCAAAAGATCACAGCTTTAAACCAAAGGCTACTCTGGTAAGTAATAAAACTTAAAAGCCAACTCAAGAGAATGAAACTGAGCTCAAGTTACTTGCTGCATGCTGGAATGAAGTACAGCAGTGTTTAATCACAACAATGTAAAATCACAATGTCTAGCATCCAGTCAAAAATTACTAGCCATGCAAAGATGCCAGAAAATATGGCCCCCAACCAGGGGAAAAAGTCAGTAGAAACAAATGCAGAAATGACAAGGATGATGGAATTAGCAGACAGAGGCCTGAAAACAGTGTTATAAATACACTCTATGTGACCAGAGAGATAGAGGAAACTATGAACATAATAAGGAAAGAACCAGAGGCCAGGGAAGCCAGAGCCAGTGCTTTCATGGGAGCTGCGATTGTCATGTGGGACTGGTGTAGATGATCTCTGAGGTCCCTAATTCTAGCCAGCAAATTCTGGTATTCTCAGTTTCTTCCTTTTAAACTTAGGCAGAAGTGATCCTTCCTATCTCTGGTTGGGAGCACTCACTGTTGCTACTGTTCTGAGCTCTGCGAATTATAGTGGCTGCCTACTGTAACTGTGTCCCCACTCACTCCTCTTTTGGTAACACCATCCTGATTGTTCTTTGGGGATCCACTATTATGGGCTGAATGATGTCCCCCCAAAATGCATATGTTAAAGTCCTAATCCCCAGTACCTGAGAGTGTGACTGTATTTTGGAGATAGAGCCTTGAAAGAGGTCATTAAGGTAAAATGGGTGAGCACTAATCCAATTTGATTGATGTCATCACAAGCAGAGGAAATTTAGGGCTGGGCCAGGTGCTCATACCTGTAATCCCAGCACGTCGGGAGGCCAAGGTGGGAGGATCACTTGAGGCCAGGAGTTTGAGACCAGCCTGAGCAACATAGTGAGATCCTGTCTCTACAAATGAAAAAGAGGAAATTTGTACTCACATAGAGACACTAGGGCTGCACACACATACAGACCATGTGAGGAGAAGGTGGCCATCTACAAGCCAAGGAGAAGAGGCCTCAGAGGAAACTCGATCTGCCCACAACTTGATCTCAGACCTCCAGCCTCCAGAACTGTGAGAAAATGATTTCTGTCGTTTAAGCCTCCCAGTCTGTGATATTCTATTCTAGAAGCTCCAGGAAACTAGTACATCCACCCTCCCCTACTCCCAGTCCAAGAAGTTCAGGAGGGACAGACCCTCCCCTTCCCACTGCCTGCTAGGGGTTGTCTCATGACCCAGGTCCTGGCAATCAGTGAATGCCATTGTTCTTGGCCCAGCACTTAATTCAGGGACCCATCTATTGACTCAGTTTAGAGTTTCTGATGGACCTGAAGGAACAAGACACTCTCTTCCGTGGACTTTTCAGTTACATGAAACACGCATGACTTTTTTTGTTGTTGTTTTTTGTTTTTTGTGTTTTTTTTTGAGACAGAATCTCTGTCGCCCAGGCTGGAGTGCAGTGGCACGATCTCGGCTCATTGCAACCTGCACCTCCTGGGTTCAAGCGATTCTCCTGCCTCAGCCTCCCGAGTAGCTGGGACTACAGGCGCCCGCCACTATGCCTGGCTAATTTTTGTATTTTTAGTAGAGACAGGGTTTCACCATATTGGCCAGGCTGGTCTTGAATTCCTGACCTCATGATTCGCCCACCTCAACCTCCCAAAGTGCTGGGATTACAGGTGTGAGTCACCACGCCTGGCCTTTTTTCTTAAAACTATTTGAACTGAGTTTATGCACTAACGGTAGAAAAAAGCCATGACTATAAAATTGCAGGGCTTGGGTCAAACAGATGTCAGGAGGCTCCAAGTTCAGCCACCTCCTAATCATAACACCTTAAATGAATGAGTCTCAGCCTCAGTCTCCAATTCTGAACTAATCCTTGCCTTGTAGGATGGTTGGAAAGATTCAACAAAAAAGAATGCACTGGCACATCGTAGGTGCTCAGTACACATGGCTGGCGTTTCTCCTTGCTGACTCTGCAGTCCCCTGCACAGGAGCTGTGAGGCTGCCCTCTGTCGTACATCCTCACCCAGAGCCATCCCAAAGGCTAAGGACAGGATGGGGGCTGCAGAGCTGGGGGCTGGCCATACTCCAGGGTCTGGCTGTCACCATCTGAAGGTTCAAACCACAGCTGCTGCAGCTTCCTCTTCAGAGCCTCGGAGCCTGATTCCTTTACCCAGGAGGGTCCTTGTGAACATGCCAAGCTTCCCAGTTACTGCCAGAGTCTGGATGAGTTCCTACCGTGTGCCAGACCTCCCATCTTCCCATGGTTGGATGAGTGCCTACTGCGTGCCAGATCTTAACATTCATCCCACGGTTCTGCTGATACATCAGAAGGCACACTGGGGGCAGGCTCCAGAGGTGTGATTCAAGGAAGTCCAACACACAAACCCACACCTTTCCCCTCCTCGGACATGACTGCAGGCTTAAGGTGTCCAGAAGAAAGAGAAACTCCTACTAGCTGGAGGAACTGGGGAAAGTGGACCAAGAGGTGACCTCTGGGGGCAAGGGCGGGCGTGATGGAAACACGTCATTCCAGGCAGAAGGAACGGTCCTTGTTGGCAGAGTGCTCAGTGCCTGGGACTGGAGGATGGGGGTAGGTGGACAGTGAGTGGCAGGATATGGGGCCAGAGGGTTGGGGTCTGAGATCACTGAGCCCAGGGAGTAGCACAATCTGAAACTATGCCTTAGGGAGCTCACCCTGGTGGCAGTAGGGAAGATAGACTGCGGAGGGAAAAAACTGGAATCCGGGAAATGGGTTAAGGTGTTTGTGGAATGAATGTCTAAAGAAAGGAAGGAAGGACTGAATAAATGGGGGTCTTGAGCAACTCGGCCTCCCTTCTGGGTGCTGCAGGGGCTGTGTATGGCACGGAGAGATACAAGCCCAAGTGCCCTGCCCTGGGCACCAGCTGACCTGGCCCATGTAAGGGAGCAGCTGATTGACAGTGGAGAATACGTAGCAATCCCAATTAACCTTTTTTTGAACCTGGACAAGCCATCTGAAAGTAAGCATCACAGGGCACCCACTCCCAGACCTTTTCCCAGAAGAGAACACGCCAAGGACCTTCAAATATATTCGCAAACCCGTTACTGGGCTCTGTCTTTCTGGTTCCATGGCTGGGCCCTGAATCAGGCGCTGCAGAGCCACCCAGGGGACCCAAGGTCAGCGGTGGAGTCATGAGAACATCTGAGGCAGGACCACAGCCAGATGCAGGCAGGTAAACACACTGCTCCCTGCTTGGCTGTCATCCAGGAACCAGGACCGGACCACAGGAAATGAGGAAGTCACTTTTGGGCCAAGCCAGATGCACAACCAGGCCTAGCAGGAGGCTGTGGAGCACACAGGGCCCAGCTCAGGTGGGAACTGAGTGTACAGTGCACTGAGTGCTGGGCATCGCAGGCCTTGGGGACACAATGATGGCCAAGAGATGTTTCTGCCTCCCCCCGGGAGCTCCTGGTCCAGAGGGAACAAGAGACTAGGAAAAGCTACAGTGGAAAGGTGTGCATGCAAGGTAGAGTAGATACAGCTGGGGCCATGAGTCTGAAAACGAGCCACTGTTCCACCATCTGAAGGACTTTGGGCACATCCAATATCGCTTGCTTAATCTTTTTCTTAAAATGAAAAAAGAAATAAGTTGTTTTTAGGAAGGAGAACCAGTATTACTTGCCACAAATTCAAGATAACAAAAAATAAAGGCCTGACTACCCGAAGAAAGAAGTGCTCATTAATGTGCACACTTCAAATCCTCTCCCGTCCCACACCGTGGACACTATGCCCTCTGCAGGGCTTTTGCCCCAAAGAGGGCGAGGCAGGGCTGAGAAGCAGGGAGGGGACATGGGAGGAGTTTGCAGGGGAGGGGTTTGTAGGGGCCCAGCCCTGCAGTGGTAATGGGGCTGCAGAAATAATGAATGAATGAATGAATGAATGAGCAAAGAAGAAACAGCACCTGGGCAGGGCGCGGTGGCTCACACCTGTAATCCCAGCACTTTGGGAGGCCAAGGTGGGCGGATCACGAGGTCAGGAGATGGAGACCATCCTGGCTAATACGGTGAAACCCCGTCTCTACTAAAAACACAAAAAATTAGCCGGGCGTGGTGGCAGGCGCCTGTAGTCCCAGCTACTCGGGAGGCTGAGGCAGGAGAATGGCATGAGCCCAGGAGGCAGAGCTTGCAGTGAGCCAAGATGGTGCCACTGCACTCCAGCCTGGGGGACAGAGCGAGACTCCGTCTAAAACAGAAAAAAAGAAAAAGCACCTGTGGGGAGGAAGAAATGAGCTCCACCAGCAACGAACAGCACAGACGCAGACTGGCAGTGGGAAGCTGTGCATGTGTGCATGCATGGGTGTGTGTACACATGTGTGCATGCACATGTGTATGTTCACAACAGGTACCTGCAGTCTCTAGTGGGGACCATTCACAGGGTCAGTGTGGAAGCATCCACCCTGAAAGGTCTGGGGACCAGGCTAAGACATCTGGATTCTGTCTTAGAAGCAGGCAGAGCCAGGAGAGTTTTAAGCAGAAAGTGGCACGCTTGACAAAGCCATGCGTTAGAAAGTGCATTCTGCTGGATTGGAGGGGCAAGACCATACATAGAGGGGTTCTAATCAGATAAGGAGGACGTGGCCAAGGCAGCAGGGCTGGGGGCTGCCTGCCTCCAGCCATTCGGCCATGACAAGGACCAGGAGAGGGCCAGGAACATGCTGGGCCCCGGCGCGGTCTCGGAACTGTGGATACAGGGAGATAAACCTTGAACAAAATGGTGCCTGTGCCCTCCTGGCTCCTGGCTGCCCCTCTGACCTGGCTGCAGGTAACAGGCAAGGCCCTCCGGGTGAGTTAGACTCCCTCTGGGGCAGACTTTGGAAGGAATTCTTTCAGCCTCTGCCACACTCCACTTGAACTCACTGAGTTATGAGGAACCCGCACCCCACCCCCAGGTGGACCCATGAATGTTTTCCAAGGTTGACCTGTGACACATACCAGGTTGTGATAATGTTATAAAAATTAAAATTTCAAACTATTTAAATTATCTAATAATTGCACTATGTGTAGAATTCCTATTCTGGATGAATCCAGATTTAAAAAGGGATCTTCATTTTCTGAAGTTCATTCTTTTTTTTTTTTAAGCAGTGGAATAAAACAGGTTTATGAAACAGGTGCTTTTGGTGTATTTTAGGCATGCTTGATTTTCTTTCCACAAGTAAAAATAGTAATGAAGAAATTCTGCGAGAACAGCACCACCTGAATGGAACTTCCTAAGGCTATCAAATCTATAGCTCCGGGCTCTCCTGCTGCTTGGAAAAGAGCCCGTTGCAGAGCAGATGCGCTGCAGGGAAAAGGGGTCTCCTCCATCTTGTTCTCTGAGCTGAGCACCCCATGGGAAGGTGAGCGGACAAGGCTGCCAAGCCTGCAGGGTTGGCTTTGGGTTGGGAGAGCAGGTGGGGAGACCAGGCCTCTTTATTCCCTGCTGCAGCGGCCACGCCGACAGCTAGGAACTAACATTTATTGAACACTTGCTTCTAATGCATGAGATGTGAGATAGCGATTTGGGCTGCATATTTCTCTTGGGCTCCACTGGGGCAGGGCTACCCCCTCAGTATTTCCTTTCCTGAGGGGCTTCCCCAGCAGGAAGCAGGGGGATGCTTGATGTCCACGGCCCTTTGGGCGTTTGTATGAACCTAAACACTACAGGTGGAAGCCCGTGGAGCCTGCCTAGGTAACTTTCCCTGCCAGGGCGGCATCCCCAGCTGCAGCGAGCTCTGGCTGCCCCCCATTGGCAGATCTTGTCCTGGCTGGATGGGAGCTCGTCTCCACCCACCCCAGGCTGAGGCCATTGACTGATGGGCACGGAGGCACTAAACGCCAGCTTCTTGCCTGCAAGTGGGACAGGTCTGTGGGGGTTTTCCTGCTCCAGGGGTCTCCAGGATCAGGGGAGGCTGCTCTGTCTCCAGGGACACCACTTCTTGCCCTAGTGTCCTCACCTCCTGCTTCCTCCCTGCCCTTTTCTTGAGCACACGCCCTCAATGCACCTGTCAAGGTTCGCCATCTCATGTGGAGACACTAAGCTATGACGTTTGGAAAGACAGAGGCCAGTGTCTGGTAGCAGGTACAAAGGGAAGGTGTGTGCTGAATCAGGGAGGAGAAGAGAGGTCCCCTAGACTGACAGGAGAACTGGGCAAAGGGAATCCCATCCCTGAGTTTTGCTGCTCAGCACAAGCCCTGGCTGTGGGATTTGTAAGGGGGGTGAGGACTTGAGGATGGGAGTGGGGATGGTGACGGCAAAGGTCAGGGGCCTCCCTGCAACTTCTGGTTCCCTGAACAGCTCTTGGAGCCTGGTCGTGTTCCAGAAGTTCAGGATATGACAGTGGAGGGATGCCTGCTCTGAGGGCGTTTGTCCTCCAGTGGGGGACAGGAAATAAACCAGTGAACAAATAGATCAGCCAGATCCCGGCAGCTGGTAAGTGCCAGAGAGAAAATGAAACTGCATAAAGGGGAAAATCCGGGTGTGTGTGTGTGTGTGTGTAAGTGTGCTGTGTGCATGTTGTGTATGTATGTGTGTGGTGTGTGTATATATGGTGTATGTGTGTTATGGTGTCTTGTGTGCTGAGTGGTATGTTGTGGGGTGTGTGTGCTGTGTGTTGCAGCATATCTGTGGTGTGTGCATGTGGGTGAGTGGTATGTGGTATATGATGTGTGTGTATGGTGTGTGTGTTGTGTGTGTTGTATATGGTGTGTGTGTGAATGTTGTGTGTGGTGTGTATGGTGTGTGTGGTGTATGTGTGTGGTTTTGGTGTGGTGTGTGTGTGTGCATGCTTTAGCTGGGGGCTTTCAGGGAAGCCTCTGGGAGGTGATGACATACTGAGCTGAGCCCTGAATCATGACAAAGAGGAGGATTGCAAAACCTGGGTGGTGTGTGTAATGTGTGTGGTGCGTGTAGTGTGTGTGGTGTGTGTCGTGTGTGTAGAGTGTTGTGAGACCATTTAGAACTGAGGGAACAGCAAGTGCAAAGGCGGGAATGAGTCTGGCAGATCATAGGATCAGAAAGGCCTCAAGAGCACTGAGCATGGCGGGGCCGGCAGCAGGCGTGTGGAACGGTATTGGGGAACCTGCCCCGATAGTCACGTAGGTTCTTTTCTGTTTTCCCTAAGTATCGGCCGGTTTGAGAAATAAAGGGACAGAGTACAAAAGAGAGAAATTTTAAAGCTGGGCATCCGGGGGAGACATCACATGTCGGTAGGTTCCGTGATGCCCCACAAGCCGCAAAACCAGCAAGTTTTTATTAGGGACTTTCAAAAGGGGACGGAGTGTACGAATAGGTGTGGGTCACAGAGGTCTCGTACTTCACAACGTAATAGAATATCACAAGGCAAGTGGAGGCAGGGCGAGATCGCAGGACCACAGGACTGGGGTGAAATTAAAATTGCTAAGGAAGTTTCGGGCACCATTGTCATTGATAACATCTTATCAGGGGACAGGGTTTTGAGAGCAGCCGGTCTGACCAAAATTTATTAGGCGGGAATTTCTTCTTCCTAATAAGCCTGGGAGTGCTATGGGAGACGGGTCTATTTCACCCCTACAGTCTACAGACCATAAAAGACGGCCACACCTGGGGGGCCATCTATAGACCTATACCCCCAGGCATGTATTCTCTTTCCCAGGGATGTTCCTTGCTGAGAAAAAGAATTCAGCGATATTTCTCCCATTTGCTTTTGAAAGAAGAGAAATATGGCTGTGTTCCACCCGGCTCACCGGTGGTCAGAGTTCAAGGTTATCCCTCTTATTCCCTGAACAACTGCTGTTATCCTGTTCTTTTTTCAAGGTGCCCAGATTTCATATTTGTTCAAACATACATGCTCTACAATTTGTGCAGTTAACTCAATTATCACATGGTCCTGAGGCGACATACATCCTCCTCAGCTTACAAGATGACAGGATTAAGACATTAAAGTAAAGACAGGCATACGAAATCACAAGGGTATTGATTGGGGAAGTGATAAGTGTCCATGAAATCTTTACAATTCATGTTTAGAGATTGCAGTAAAGACAGGCATAAGAAATTATAAAAGTATGAATTTGGGGAACTAATAAATGTCCATGAAATCTTCGCAATCCACGTTCTTCTGCCATGGCTTCAGCTGGTCCCTCCGTTTGGGGTCCCTGACTTCCCGCAACAGAACGGCAGGCAAGGGGCGGGTGAGGTAGCTCAGTGTTCAGTTGTTTCTTGGTTACTGCCTGTGTGGGAGGATCCTCAGCCCAACTAGACACCCTTACTCTCCAAGGCAGAACCCACACCTTAACATTACATATTATCATTGATATATGTACATAAATATACATTTATAATATGTGCCATAGAGTATCTATTTATTATTGCACATTAGCATGTATTGAGGGCCTCTGCTGTGTAGGCTTGTACTGCAGGCCGGGGCTCTGGAAAGGCGGGAGGCCTGGGTTCCACCCACAGTCCGGAAGCTCCCAGAGCCCAGCATCCTGACCTTTTTCAGGTATGCCTTAAAGGTATAGTTCCATTTTCCAGTGACAAGATTAGAGATTCTCATTATTTTTCAAGTTCACTGTTAGACTCACTGCAGCTGGGGAAGGGCCGCACCAGCAGGGAAATGTACATAGGCAGACACCACCAGTACTACCCATTTGGATGAGGTTAGGTTAGCACAAATGCAGAAAGTGCTGTTGACTTCAAAAAAGCAGACCTACATCTTACATTTCTGCTGGTTTCCTTGTCCTTGAGAAATGCAAGGGGCTGTTTTTGACCTCCCTGGTGGGTCTGGGGAGTCAAAGTTCAAGTCTAACATATTTGGAGGGCCCTGACGTCTGTTTACTAAATGACTGGCACTAGCAGCTCTTAAACAAGGTGCCAATGGAAGTATCCAGCTCAAGGGCATGGCAGGAGAGCTCAGGCAGAGCCAAGACGTCTCAGAGTGCAAAGGTATGCTCAAACCTGCTTAGACTCATTCATCAATTTGAGCCAGGGAGCCCTTGGCTAGCTCAAGTCCAACCCAGCATGGATGACCTTAAGTTACCAAGCTGAGCTATACTTTTCTAAGGAAACTGAAGAATCTCAGACTGTCTCTCTGTTAGTCTCAAGCAGAAAATGGAGAAGTACATTTTTGTTCTATTGAAGAAACGTGACTTAATTCTGTTCTGAGAGAAGGAGGTGTGTGGGTGAATTTCTCTGTTCTGCAGACTGGAACAGCCACACAGAGCCCTGTGAAACTGAGCAAGGAGATCATTGTGTGTTCATTCTGATATGGGATACAAGTTTCTAAGAGGTTTTGTTTCCTCCTTTGTTTTATAGAAATAGTTATGTTATAAACTCTAGAAAAGAACATAAGACAAATTAAGTTTTGGCTTTCAAAAACAAAGTTGTCCTCATGGAGTAAATCTTTGCTTCTGTTTTTCTTTTAAATCTTTTTTATTGTAAAATAAATGACAAATCCAGCAAACTTCACAAATCAAATGTATGGCTTAGTGAATTATTATAAGGCAAACACCTTCAAGCTAAGAAATAAGAAATAGAACTCTGATAGCCAGTCCAGAAGCCCCTTCATCCATGAACCTGTCCTCCTCACAGCCCTGTCTCCAGCCCCATAACCAACCACTATGCTGATTTTTATAGGAATGACTTTCTTGTGCTTTTTAAAAATATTTTTTATCACCCAAATAGACTCTACATACATGCTTTATCACCCAGAAAGACTCTGTACATATTATAGTCTTACATTTAAAATATTTTTGATTTGTCTTTTAAGTATCTTTTAATCTCTAGGTTCTTCCTTCATCTCTTTAATTTCCTTAGAGAGCCCTCACTTTGTTATAGTTCTATGGGGAACAATAAATGTAACGTACACCACCAGTCCTTGTGCTGGTGACTCTGACCATTTAGGGGTCTGAGGCTCAATCTCTATTAGACTCCTCAGGAAGAGCTTGTGGGAACACTCTTTTCTTGTTTTGTTTTAATTTTTTTTTTTTTTTTTTGAGACAGAGTCTCGTTCTGTTGCCCAGGCTGGAGTGCAGTGGCAAGCTCACAGCTCACTGCAGGCTTGGACTCCTGGGCTCAGGCAATCCTCCCATCTTAGCTTCCTGAGTAGCTGGGACTACAGGCATGCACCACCATGCTTGGCTAATTAAATTTTTTTTTAGGCTGGGTGCCAATGACTCACACCTGTAATACTGGCACTTTGGGAGGCTGAGACAGGCAGATCACTTGAGGTCAGATGATCACTTGAGGCCAACATGGTGAAACCCCATCTCTACTAAAAATACAAAAAAAAAAAAAAATTAGCCAGGCCTGGTGGCACATGCCTGTAGTCCCAGCCACTGAGGAGGCTGAGACAGGAGAATCACTTGAATCTGGGAGGCGGAGGCTGCAGTGAGCCGAGATCGCATCACTGCACTCCAGCCTGGGCAACAGTGGGAGACTCCATCTCAATAAAAAAGAAAATTCTTTTAAACAGTCTCCCTATGTTGCCCAGGCTGGTCTCAAACTCTTGGCCTCGGGTGATCCTTTTGCCTTGGTCTCCCAAAGTGTTGGGGTTGCAGGCATGAGCCACTGCGCCCAGCAAGAACACTATTGAGTTCTTGCATGTTCAGAGTAATTTATGTTCATATTTGAGAGCCAATGTTGCTGGATATAAGATCCTAAGATCCTTGCCTTACTATTCCTCCCCTTCAATTTCTTAAATATGTGCTCCATTTTCTTCTGCCATGAAAGGCTGCAATTAAAAATTGTGAAGATTATCTAATTTTTTGTTGTTGTTGTTACTGTTGTTTTTGAGACAGAGTCTCGCTCTATCGGGCAGGCTGGAGTACAATGGCATGATCTCGGCTCACTGCAACCTCCGCCTCCCAGGTTCAAGTGATACTCCTGTCTCAACCTCTGTATTTTTTTTTGTTTTTTTTTATTATTATACTTTAAGTTTTACAGTACATGTGCACAATGTGCAGGTTAGTTACATATGTATACATGTGCCATGCTGGTGCGCTGCACCCACTAACTCGTCATCTAGCATTAGGTATATCTCCTAATGCTATACCTCCCCACTCCCCCGACCCCACAACAGTCCCCAGAGTGTGATGTTCCCCTTCCTGTGTCCATGTGATCTCATTGTTCAATTCCCACCTATGAGTGAGAATATGCGGTGTTTGGTTTTTTGTTCTTGTGATAGTTTACTGAGAATGATGGTTTCCAGCTTCATCCATGTCCCTACAAAGGACATGAACTCACCATTTTTTATGGCTGCATAGTATTCCATGGTGTATATGTGCCACATTTTCTTAATCCAGTCTATCATTGTTGGACATTTGGGTTGGTTCCAAGTCTTTGCAATTGTGAATAATGCCACAATAAACATATGTGTGCATGTGTCTTTATAGCTGCATGATTTATAGTCCTTTGGGTATATACCCAGTAATGGGATGGCTGGGTCAAATGGTATTTCTAGTTCTAGATCCCTGAGGAATCGCCACACTGACTTCCACAATGCTTGAACTAGTTTACAGTCCCACCAACAGTGTGAAAGTGTTCCTATTTCTCCACATCCTCTCCAGCACCTGTTGTTTCCTGACTTTTTAATGATTGCCATTCTAACTGGTGTGAGATGGTATCTCATTGTGGTTTTGATTTGCATTTCTCTGATGGCCAGTGATGGTGAGCATTTTTTCATGTATTTTTTGGCTGCATAAATGTCTTCTTTGGAGAAGTGTCTGTTCATGTGCTTCACCCACTTTTCGATGGGGTTGTTTGTTTTTTTCTTGTAAATTTGTTTGAGTTCGTTGTAGATTGTGGATATTAGCCCTTTGTCAGATGAGTAGGTTGCGAAAATTTTCTCCCATTTTGTAGGTTGCCTGTTCACTCTGATGGTAGTTTCTTTTGCTGTGCAGAAGCTCTTTAGTTTAATTAGATCCCATTTGTCAATTTTGGCTTTTGTTGCCATTGCTTTTGGTGTTTTAGACATGAAGTCCTTGCCCATGCCTATGTCCTGAATGGCAAAGCCTAGGTTTTCTACTAGGGTTTTTATGGTTTTAGGTCTAACGTTTAAATCTTTAATCCATCTTGAATTGATTTTTGTATAAGGTGTAAGGAAGGGATCCAGTTTCAGCTTTGTACATATGGCTAGCCAGTTTTCCCAGCACCATTTATTAAATAGGGAATCCTTTCCCCATTGCTTGTTTTTCTCAGGTTTGTCAAAGATCAGATAACTGTAGATATGTGACGTTATTCCTGCGGGCTCTGTTCTGTTCCATTGATCTATATCTCTGTTTTGGTACCAGTACCATGCTGTTTTGGTTACTGTAGCCTTGTAGTATAGTTTGAAGTCAGGTGGTGTGATGCCTCCAGCTTTGTTCTTTTGACTTAGGATTGACTTGGCGATGCGGGCTCTTTTTTGGTTCCATATGAACTTTAAAGTAGTTTTTTCCAATTCTGTGAAGAAAGTCATTGGTAGCTTGTTGGGGATGGCATTGAATCTGTAAATTACCTTGGGCAGTATGGCCATTTTCACGATATTGATTCTTCCTACCCATGAGCATGGAATGTTCTTCCATTTGTTTGTATCCTCTTTTATTTCCTTGAGCAGTGGTTTGTAGTTCTCCTTGAAGAGGTCCTTCACATCCCTTGTAAGTTGGATTCCTAGGTATTTTATTCTCTTTGAAGCAATTGTGAATGGGAGTTCACTCATGATTTGGCTCTCTGTTTGTCTGTTGTTGGTGTATAAGAATGCTTGTGATTTTTGTACATTGATTTTGTATCCTGAGACTTTGCTGAAGTTGCTTATCAGCTTAAGGAGATTTTGGGCTGAGACAATGGGGTTTTCTAGATATACAATCATGTCGTCTGCAAAGAGGGACAATTTGACTTCCTCTTTTCCTAATTGAATACCCTTTATTTCCTTCTCCTGCCTAATTGCCCTGGCCAGAACTTTCAACAGCATGTTGAATAGGAGTGGTGAGAGAGGGCATCCCTGTCTTGTGCCAGTTTTCAGAGGGAATGCTTCCAGCGTTTGCCCATTCAGTATGATATTTGCTGTGGGTTTGTCATAGATAGCTCTTATTATTTTGAAATATGTCCCATCAATACCTAATTTATTGAGAGTTTTTAGCATGAAGGGTTGTTGAATTTTGTCAAAGGCCTTTTCTGCATCTATTGAGATAATCATGTGATTTTTGTCTTTGGTTCTGTTTATATGCTGGATTACATTTATTGATTTGCGTATATTGAACCAGCCTTGCATCCCAGGGATGAAGCTCACTTGATCATGGTGGATAAGCTTTTTGATGTGCTGCTGGATTTGGTTTGCCAGTATTTTATTGAGGATTTTTGCATCAATGTTCATCAAGGATATTGGTCTAAAATTCTCTTTTTTGGTTGTGTCTCTGCCCGGCTTTGGTATCAGGATGATGCTGGCCTCATAAAATGAGTTAGGGAGGATTCCCTCTTTTTCTATAGATTGGAATAGTTTCAGAAGGAATGGTACCAGTTCCTCCTCGTGCCTCTGGTGGAATTCGGCTGTGAATCCATCTGGTCCTGGACTCTTTTTGGTTGGTAAGCTATTGATTATTGCCACAATTTCAGATCCTGTTATTGGTCTATTCAGAGATTCAACTTCTTCCTGGTTTAGTCTTGGGAGAGTGTATGTGTCGAGGAATTTATCCATTTCTTCTAGATTTTCTAGTTTATTTGCATAGAGGTGTTTGTAGTATTCTCTGATGGTAGTTTGTATTTCTGTGGGATTGGTGGTGATATCCCCTTTATCATTTTTTATTGCGTCTATTTGGTTCTTCTCTCTTTTTTTCTTTATTAGTCTTGCTAGCGGTCTATCAATTTTGTTGATCCTTTCAAAAAACCAGCTCCTGGATTCATTAATGTTTTGAAGGGTTTTTTGTGTCTCTATTTCCTTCAGTTCTGCTCTGATTTTAGTTATTTCTTGCTTTCTGCTAGCTTTTGAATGTGTTTGCTCTTGCTTTTCTAGTTCTTTTAATTGTGATGTTAGGGTGTCAATTTTGGATCTTTCCTGCTTTCTCTTGTGGGCATTTAGTGCTATAAATTTCCCTCTACACACTGCTTTGAATGTGTCCCAGAGATTCTGGTATGTTATGTCTTTGTTCTCGTTGGTTTCAAAGAACATCTTTATTTCTGCCTTCATTTCGTTAGGTACCCAGTAGTCATTCAGGAGCAGGTTGTTCAGTTTCCATGTAATTGAGCGGTTTTGAGTGAGATTCTTAATCCTGAGTTCTAGTTTGATTGCACTGTGGTCTGAGAGATAGTTTGTTATAATTTCTGTTCTTTTACATTTGCTGAGGAGAGCTTTACTTCCAAGTATGTGGTCAATTTTGGAATAGGTGTGGTGTGGTGCTGAAAAAAATGTATATTCTGTTGATTTGGGGTGGAGAGTTCTGTAGATGTCTATTAGGTCCACTTGGTCCAGAGCTGAGTTCAATTCCTGGGTATCCTTGTTGACTTTCTGTCTCGATCTGTCTAATGTTGACAGTGGGGTGTTAAAGTCTCCCATTATTAATATGTGGGAGTCTAAGTCTCTTTGTAGGTCACTCAGGACTTGCTTTATGAATCTGGGTGCTCCTGTATTGGGTGCATATATATTTAGGATAGTTAGCTCTTCTTGTTGAATTGATCCCTTGACCATTATGTAATGGCCTTCTTTGTCTCTTTTGATCTTTGTTGGTTTAAAGTCTGTTTTATCAGAGACTAGGATTGCAACCCCTGCCTTTTTTTGTTTTCCATTTGCTTGGTAGATCTTCCTCCATCCTTTTATTTTGAGCCTATGTGTGTCTCTGCACGTGAGATGGGTTTCCTGAATACAGCACACTGATAGGTCTTAACTCTTTATCCAATTTGCCAGTCTGTGTCTTTTAATTGGAGAATTTAGTCCATTTACATTTAAAGTTAATACTGTTATGTGTGAATTTGATCCTGTCATTATGATGTTAGCTGGTTATTTTGCTTGTTAGTTGATGCAGTTTCTTCCTAGTCTTGATGGTCTTTACATTTTGGCATGATTTTGCAGTGGCTGGTACTGGTTGTTCCTTTCCATGTTTAGCGCTTCCTTCAGGAGCTCTTTTAGGGCAGGCCTGGTGGTGACAAAATCTCTCAGCATTTGCTTGTCTGTAAAGTATTTTATTTCTCCTTCACTTATGAAGCTTAGTTTGGCTGAATATGAAATTCTGGGTTGAAAATTCTTTTCTTTAAGAATGTTGAATATTGGCCCCCACTCTCTTCTGGCTTGTAGGGTTTCTGCCCAGAGATCCGCTATTAGTCTGATGGGCTTCCCTTTGAGGGTAACCGATCTTTCTCTCTGGCTGCCCTTAACATTTTTTCCTTCATTTCAACTTTGGTGAATCTGACAATTATGTGTCTTGGAGTTGCTCTTCTCGAGGCGTATCTTTGTGGCGTTCTCTGTATTTCCTGAATCTGAATGTTGGCCTGCCTTGCTAGACTGGGGAAGTTCTCCTGGATAATATCCTGCAGAGTGTTTTCCAACTTGGTTCCATTCTCCCCGTCACTTTCAGGTACACCAATCAGACGTAGATTTGGTCTTTTCACATAGTCCCATATTTCTTGGAGGCTTTGCTCGTTTCTTTTTATTCTTTTTTCTCTAAACTTCCCTTCTCACTTCATTTCATTCATTTCATCTTCCATCGCTGATACCCTTTCTTCCAGTTGATCGCATCAGCTCCTGAGGCTTCTGCATTCTTCACGTAGTTCTCGAGCCTTGGTTTTCAGCTCCATCAGCTCCTTTAAGCACTTCTCTGTATTGGTTATTCTAGTTATACATTCTTCTAAATTTTTTTCAAAGTTTTCAACTTCTTTGCCTTTGGTTTGAATGTCCTCCCGTAGCTCGGAGCAATTTGATCGTCTGAAGCCTTCTTCTCTCAGCTCGTCAAAGTCATTCTCCGTCCAGCTTTGTTCCATTGCTGGTGAGGAACTGCGTTCCTTTGGAGGAGGAGAGGTGCTCTGCTTTTTAGAGTTTCCAGTTTTTCTGTTCTGTTTTTTCTCCATCTTTGTGGTTTTATCTAGTTTTGGTCTTTGATGATGGTGATGTACAGATGGTTTTTTGGTGTGGATGTCCTTTCTGTTTGTTAGTTTTCCTTCTAACAGACAGGACCCTCAGCTGCAGGTCTGTTGGAGTACCCGCCGTGTGAGGTGTCAGTCTGCCCCTGCTGGGGGGTGCCTCCCAGTTAGGCTGCTTCGGGGTCAGGGGTCAGGGACCCACTTGAGGAGGCAGTCTGCCCGTCCTCAGATCTCCAGCTGTGTGCTGGGAGAACCACTGCTCTCTTCAAAGCTGTCAGACAGGGACACTTAAGTCTGCAGAGGTTACTGCTGTCTTTTTGTTTGTCTGTGCCCTGCCCCCAGAGGTGGAGCCTACAGAGGCAGGCAGGCCTCCTTGAGCTGTGGTGGGCTCCACCCAGTTCGAGCTTCCCGGCTGCTTTGTCTACCTAAGCAAGCCTGGGCAACTGGCAGGCGCCCCTCCCCCAGCCTCGCTGCCGCCTTGCAGTTTGATCTCAGACTGCTGTGCTAGCAATCAGCGAGACTCCGTGGGCGTAAGACCCTCGGAGCCAGGTGAGGGATATAATCTCGTGGTGCACAGTTTTTTAAGCCCGTCGGAAAAGCGCAGTATTTGGGTGGGAGTGACCCAATTTTCCAGGTGCCTTCCGTCACCCCTTTCTTTGCCTAGGAAAGGGAACTCCCTGACCCCTTGCGCTTCCCGAGTGAGGCAATGCCTCGCCCTGCTTCGGCTCGCGCAGGTGCGCGCACCCACTGACCTGCGCCCACTGTCTGGCACTCCCTAGTGAGATGAACCGGTACCTCAGATGGAAATGCAGAAATCACCCATCTTCTGCCTCACTCTCGCTGGGAGCTGTAGACCGAAGCTGTTCCTATTTGGCCATCTTAGCTACTCCCTCCAACCTCTTTGTATTTTTAGTAGAGATGGGGTTTCACCATGTTGGCCAGGCTGGTCTTGAACTCCTGACCTCAGGTCATCTGCCCACCTTGGCCTCCCAAAGTGCTGGGATTATAGGCAAGAGCCACTGCACCCAGCCCCAATTTTCTTTCCCTTACATATCCCATGTTCTTTTTTTTCTAGACACACAAAATCTTATGTTTTTATTTTTTTAACTCAGCAATTCTACTAGACTTTGCCTTTGCGTTGGTCATTTTGACTTGGTAGTCTCAGATGTGCAGTATGCTTTTTCAATATGTAGTTTCCCATCTTTATTTTTAATTTCAGGGAATTTTTCTTGAATTATATTTTTAATATTTGTTTTCTTCCTTTGCTTTGATTATTATCTTAAGGGACTCCTGCTATCTACATGTTTAATCTTCTTTGCCTATCTTTAATACTTGTTTCTTTTTCTCAAATCTTTTTATATTTGTTCATTTGTTTTAAATGTAAAATTATCTTTTTTTAATCTACTCTTTCTTTTCAGGCATTATCTTTTGTTCATTCACTCTTGTGTTCCTTCTAATTTATTCTTCAATTTTGCTATAAACTTCTCTTTGACTTCGAATTCTTTCAGGAGTTCTGTTCTCTCATTTTCAACTTTTCCCAAATGTTGTTTGACTCATATGTTGTGTCATTGTAACTCATTTTGAATGAGTAGGTTGATTTGGTTAATTTGGTTCTGTTCTGTGGTCACATCTTCCTGGCATGCTTTGATGGTCTGTAGGAGTGTTTACTGTGGCCTTCATTCTCCTTTTCTTATAGTCATTTTGTACGGCATTTGATCTCGATACTCATCTGTGGTTATTTTTAAGTGAAATTAGTTCTCCCAAACCTCCCATTTAGGAAAACCGTTTTAACTCCACAGAACTTCTGCCTCTCTTGCTTTCGTGCATTGTTTTGTGTTTTGTTTTGTTTTGTTTTTAACTTTTATTTTAGGTTTGGTGGTACATGTGCAGGTTTGTTACATATATAGGTAAACCCATGTCATGGGTGTTTGTTGTACAGGTTATTTCATCATGCAGTTTTTGTGTATTAAACAGCTTGCTTACGGAGCTTTTCCGGATCCATTCCCCTTCCCTGTGGTCTGGATCATCTCTTTGTCTCGATTATCTCTGCCTTTGTCAGTTTTTATTTCATCGTCTGAAGTGTCTCCTCTGTGCTAAAAGAGAGCTCGGAAGGACGTTTGGGGGTTCTCAGGACTTGGGTTGCTCCGGCCCCTTCTGACCCTCCTTCCATAGGCCCCCTGCAGTCACCAGTTGCTGGAGCTGACTAAAGCACTCCTGATTTCAACAGCTGCTCTCACAATTCCCCTTGACCTTTGCTTTTTGATAATTAGATAATCTAAAAAAATTAGATAATCTTCACAATTTTTAACTGCAGTGTTTCATGCCAGAAGAAAATGGAGCACATATTTAAGAAATTGATGGGGGGGAATAGTAAGGCAAGGATCTTATATCCAGCAACACTGGCTCTCAAATATGGCTTTTACTTATGGTACAGTCCATCCATAATTGCATTCCAGTTAGAGGTAGCAGATGCCCGAAATTTTGTCACCATCATTTGCTGCTACAGTGGGTAGAGGGGCAAATAATATATTCTATTAGCCGGGCCTGGTAATGTGCGCCTGTAATCCCAGCTACTTGGGAGTCTGAGATAGGAGAATTGCTTGAACCTGGGAGGCGGAGGTTGCAGGAGGGAGCTGAGATTGTGTCACTCCACTCCAGCCTGGGCAACAGAGCAAGACGTCATCTAAAAAAAAAAAAAAAATTCTAGATGCTCAAGCATAAGCCAAGAACTTGGCAACTAAGCTTTCCCTAAAAATTAATGGTTTATGGTATGGTTGAATGAACACTTTACATAAATAGCAGTTTGACTGTCTCTGTAATTATATTATCAGCTGAAAAGAGTGGTAAGTGTTTGTTTTAGTATCACATCTTAATTTGGGAAATTTTGGCTTGATTGTAATTTAGGGATAATTAATAATTTTTTGGTTTTCATTAATAATAAATATTTAATGCTAAGATATTGCATAAAAAGATAAAATCTTAAATCTTTGATATCTCTGTTAATTTCTATATTAAAATAGAAAAGAATTGAAAAATTATTTTAAATAATACTCTGCTTTTTTAGGGACTGATTTAAGTTTAAAATTTAATCTTTAAAATGAACTGAAAAATTCATATTTTGTGACAGGTGGGAAAATCAAGTTATGAATCATTTATATGCCACAGTGAATGCACAAATTATGAAAAGAGAACAATCTTTTCATAGAATATGATTTTAATTCTTGGGGTTGAATTCTTTGGTGGAGTGCCAAGTGATCGTGAGCTGGGGGCCTCAGCAGAGGTCATTAGGAGATGACTCCTCCTGGGAATTAAAAAAAGAATCAATTATCAGACAGTTCTCCATTTTTAGAGCAATTTAGCTCATTGTAAATGTGTGGCCCAAGAGATCTGAGAATTCCCAGTTGTAGCATGGGCTGTGGGCCCACGTGAACTCACTTGCCTCTGCAGACACCCCGCTTGTGACCTGACAGCTCGAGCCTTGTGCTCTGGTTTCTCTCTTCCCCTTGCTTGAAAGCCTTCTTTGGCATCTTGAAGCTTGCCTAGGCGCACATGGCACAATTTGGAAGTGGAGTGGAGAGTAAATTCCCCAAGGACTAAACGTCACCCAGTGGGGAAGAGAATCTATGGATAAAAGCTCTACTGGGCATGCTTCGTGTGGTGTCTCAGATGGGTCTGCGTGGGGACCACAGGCACACCCTGCTCATTAATGAACCTTCATAGACTTATTTCTTTCTTCCTTGGCTCTACTCTCCTCACTTTCTTCTTGTGCTTCCTGAGATCACCTTCCCCCAAAGCTGCCTTCACTCAAGTCTTTGTTGCAATATGGCTTTTGGCAGGAGTCCCCAACCCCCAGGCCGTGGACTGGTTATGGGTCTGTAGCCTGTTAGGAACTGGGCCACACAGCAGGAGGAGAGCGACGGGTGAGCCAGCACTCCCGCCCGAGCTCCCCAGTCTCATCAGCCGCAGCATGAGATTCTCATTGGAGCAGGAACCCTGTTGTGAATTGCACATGCGTGGGATCTAGGTTGTGTGCTCCTTATGAGAATCTAATGATAAATGTAACACACTTGAATCATCTCGAAGCCATCTGCCCCCCATTCCGTGGGAAAATTGTCTTCCACAGAAGTGGTCCCTGGTGCCCAAAAGGCTGGGGACCGCTGGCTTTTGGAAATGTAACACCAACAAATTTGAGTATTATCGCCAAAAGTCCTAAACCTAATCCAGCATGTCCAGTCTGAGGAAGGGAGATGGGCTAGAGAAGGTGCAGACAGAGAGCCAGGATGGGTCCACTCCAATCTACGCTTCTAAGGAGTGGGTTCAACCCCGCCTTACTGTAGACATGGGAGCGTTGGCTGGTAGAGCGCCCAGGCCTTCTCTTTATGGCAGCTGGAACAGCAACGTCCGCTTCACTCTGCGCTCCCCAGTGCCCTCCAATTGACCACGTGACCTCCCTTGCAGATTCCCCTCCAGGGAAAGTATGCACAGATCCATAGTCATGGATATTCATGGAGGCTACTTCCTATTTTATTTTTTTTCAGACAGAGTCTAACTCTGTCATCCAGGCTGGAGTGTAGTGGCACGATCTTGGCTCACTGCAACCTCCGCCTCCCAGATTCAAGGGATTCTCCTGCCTCAGCCTCCCAAGTAGCTGGGATTGCAGGCATGTTCTACCATACCTGGCTACTTTTTTTTATTTTTAGTAGAGTTGGGGTTTCACCATGTTGGCCAGGCTGGTCTTGAACTCCTGACCTCAGGTGATCTGCCCGCCTCGACCTCCCAAAGTGCTGGGATTACAGGCATGAGTCACTGCACCCAGCCCCTATTTTATTTCTTGACTTAAATGAACATGTATATTGTTTGATGCATTCATCCACCTCTTGGAAATTTGGTTAACGTTAATTTATTCCTCATGTCAACCCTAGATTCAGTTTCTGTATCTGCGAAGTTGATGTCTAATACCCAGCACATGAGAAGCTCAGTTAGGAAATATCTAGCTTGTACCCCTGTGAGGGCCTGTTGACATATATATTGGCCCCCTAGGTGGTAGATAAGTCTCACCTTTTTCTTATAGCTTCAGGAACTTGAAGATGTCCATTGGCTTTTGATCCTCAGTACAGCCCTAAAGCTAACGAGGTGAATGGAGAGTTCTCTTGTTACTCCCCCTAGAGGGAAGCTCCTGCCACCAGTAGGTCCCTGCTCAGGTGCAACCGCACTGAGGGGTCTATGGATGGCTCCTCATCAGTTCATGCTATTCATATATCTTGGCAGCTCTTCTTTAATTCAGTTATTATTTTTAAATATCTGAGTTTTTTAGCCTTTTGCTTTCAAATTCCTTTACCAGTCCTTTCCTTCTTTTGTCTCTACTTGTGGCACCTTTGAACAAATGTAGGTATGTCGGAAAATTTGTTTTCCTCACTGAAACTCAAGTGAGAGCCTTCCATGTTTGGCATCTGTCTTAGCCCATACTTACGCTGGTAATAAAGACATAGTCAAGACTGGGTAATTTACAAAGGAAAAGAGGTTGAACGGACTCACAGTTCCATGCGGCTGGGGAGGCCTTACAACCATGGCAGAAGGCAAAAGGCACATCCTACATGACGGCAGACGAGAGAAAATGAGAGCCAAGTGAAAGGGGAAACCGCTTATAAAACCGTCAGGTCTCGTGAGACTTATTCACAACCATAAGAACAATATGGGGCAAACCACCCCCATAATTCAATGATCTCTTACAGGGTCCCTCCCACAACACGTGGGAGTTATGGTAGCTACAATTCACGATGAGATCTGGGTGGGGACACAGCCAAACCATATCAGCATCATAAGGGCAGTTTCTCCTTTTGATTCCTGTGCCCACCTCCACAATGGCCTCTGAGAGCTAATCTACCTCCCTTCTAATGCTACACCCAGGCTTGGACACCGACTTCTTGTCTATGGTTCCTGTGGCCCACATCATGAGAGCAGGCATTTTGTTAAAAAAAGAAAAGAAAAGAAAAGAAAAGCCTAGTGGCAATAACTGTAAAACAGGCCCTGTCTCATTCATTCATTCAGGATTCATTCAATTGGCATTTGTTGAATGACTGCTATGTGCCAGAAACCACCCTGCCCCTGCCCTCAAAGATGTCACAACCAGCTGGGGAAGGTGGACCAGTCAATAGTCTATTGGGAACCCAGAGCATGCACCGGGTGTGGTGACTGCAGAGAGGGGGCCTGGAGCAAAGTCCCGGGTTGTGGAAAACTTGCCAGAGGTGGTGAAGTCATGCTTTGGGGGGTAAGTGGAAGGGCACTGATGGGGAAAGTGAGGCAGGAGAGGAAACACCTTACAAGAAGAGAGAACATGATGTGAGGAAAGCTAAGAAGACACAAATCAGTCTGTGTCTAGTACAGCTTCAGTGTGGGGTGGGAAGGAAAGGTGGAGAGTGATGGGATGGATCTGGAAAGGTGGGAAGGGTGCAGGCAGGTCTCACTTGGCAAGAAGCAACGAGGGCTTCACAGGGGCAGCAAAGAAGTTTCTTTTTTTTTTTTTAAGACAGCGTCCCACCCTGTCACTCAGGCTGGAGTACAGTGGCATGTTCTCGGCTCACTGCAACCTCCACCTCCTGGTTTCAAGCAATTCTCATGCCTCAGCCTCCTGAGTAGCGCACACCACCACGCCTGGCTAATTTTTTTATTTTTGGTAGACATGGGGTTTCGCCACGTTGGCCAGGCTGATCCCGAACTCCTGACATTAAGTGATCCACCCACCTTGGGCTCCCAAAATGCTGGGATTACAGGTGTAAGCCACTGCGCCCAGCCTAAGAGCCTTCTAAACAAGATTCTTGTTGTTGGCACAGTAAATCACCTGAACGTTAAGCCATTCAGGGGTGGCCCTACCCTCAGGAGAGATTTCCCACGTAAAGCAGTGAGCTTGTGGCTGCATTGAAATGCTCATCTTTAAGTCACAAAATCCTCATGTAAAGTGCAATGATGGGGAGAAGGTGGTTATTAATATTTAGCGTAACATGAATCATGCTATCTTCATCAGGCTTTAAGCCAACACATATGATAAAATGCATTAGTTTTAAAGTCAGAATTTTAGGGAGAAGGTCTGTAGGCTATAGCTGTAGGTTACGTGGGGTCTGAGAGCATCAGCTGACACCAAAGGGCAAAACCTACCTCTAGCAGAGAAAGCCCTGCATATTCCCCTTTCGTTAGCCCAGTCCTTTCCTTATTAGACTGTGCTTTTTACAAACACATAGAGTTACCCATTTGAACAACAATAGCACCAAGTTTTGACTTTGCACAGCTCTGGGCCACCCTGACTTCTGATTATTATCTGATAGAGGTTCACAAACCCTTATGGTGTTGGTACATTTTTTAAAACTCTACATTAGGACCTATACTTCTGACTTCAAATTGGTTGTCTTATGAAAATATAGTCCTGACACATAATAATAGCAAAGTGACTGATCAAAATTCAAATTCTGGGTGAAGGAACACCTAGGCAGCTGACCAGTGTGGCACGACTGCCAAGCGATTGCTCATTGCATGGCGTTTAGTGGCCAGCGATGAGAGTCAAGGGTCAAGGTGGAAATAAACATTTCTTTGAAGATTGAGTCTGAGGATTGTAAATTGGGACCATTTTTCTCTGTCATTGCTGGTGTCACTGGTGTAAAATGTTCTCATGGAAATGATGAGGTTGATGTAGAGGAGGAACTAGAAGGATTAGAAGTAGCAGGGACTGCCCCTTAACTGGACTTCTGGACATGACTTTCATTTTCTCATTTGTCTTTGAGGATAGAAGAATCGTCATCTCATTGTCTTTGTGGGTGGTTTACTTCTCAGAAGACTCTTGGGGATACCCATTTCTGAAAGATACTTCAAGGCCCATTGTTTGGGTCAATTCAACCATTCGTTCATTCTTAATTCACTCAAATGCTTCTCGGTGACTACTGCAGTCACTGCTCCGAGCCATGGGCAAGAAAGCAAAGGAAACAGCATTAAGGTTCTGCAGAGAATTCAAATAAGGGGAGATAAGAGAGAGAGTAGGTTGGAAAGAGGACATTTAAAATAAGATGGCAGGCGTAAATTTTGAGGAGAGGTCCTGGGGAGAGCCAAGACCCACCAAGAGGAATAAAGTCGGTGTATTTAAGGGATAAACACAGCTGATCGCCGGAGAGATGTGAACAAGGGCAGAGGGGGGGCAGATCAAAGCTGAGAGGTAGACAGGCATAGGGGATCTAGAGGGTTGGGTTGTATTCTAAATGTAGTGGCAAGTCTTGGGTTTTAGGCTGAGGGTAACATATTTGATGTTTTTTTTAAAAAAGCCTCCGATTTCTTTATCGAGAGTACACTGAAGAGGACCAGGAATCAAGGTAGGAATCTGTTAGGCTAGAGATTTCCGGAGAGTAGGATGGCTTGGCTCACAGTGGTAGCCAGGGACATAACACGACTCAGTAATGAGCTGCAAGTGGGGAGGGAGGCAAAGAGGGGATTCCACGAGGCCTCTGAGATGCTTGGTTTAAGAGGCTGGTGGTTGGTAGTGGAGGTCACCAGGATGAAGGAAGGCACAGGCTGTGGGTAAGGGAGGGAAATAAAAAATTCTGTTTGACCCTGTTCAGCCTGAGATCATTGTTAGGCCATGTCAATGGGCAGTTGGATCAAGGAGTCTGGAGTTCCAGGAGGAGGTGGGGGCAGGAGAGAGGGACGACAGAGTACAATCAATGGCATTTGGAGCCTGGAGACAGGATGAGATTATCTGGGAGAACTGTGTGGAGAGGAAAGGAAGGAGGTCCCAAGCGGAGTCCACGTGTGCCATCAATTAGAGCCAGAAAAAGGGGCCGGGGGAGCCAGCTCAGGGAGCTGAGGAGGCACACTCAAAAGACCAGGAGGGAGCCCCGGAAAGGGTGGGGTCCTAGAAGCCAGGGGAGAAGTGTTTCAGCAGGGAGGAGTGGTCCACCGTGGGGAAGGGGGCTGAGAAGGTAAGACAAGCACACAGCAGGGACCACTGACTCGGCCACATGGAGCTCCAGTGTGGCCTTGATAAGAATGACTTCGCTGGGGTTGTGGGGCTCGGAGCTTGTTTGGAGCAGGCCAGAGATGGAGACAGAGCATAGGAATGAATTGCAAGTGCAGGGCCTGCATGCTGATGCAGAAGAACTTGATGAAGTAGGAAAGAGAAGGGAAGTCCAGACCTTGAGATAAGCAGAGGGGTGGGGTGCAGAGTCTCAGGGGCCCTCACTGAATTGGAAGGAAACCCCAGAGTGGGGGCCCTAGAAGCCAAGAGCAGGGGTCTTCCCCAGGGGAGCAGGAGGGGGTGTTGGTTTGGGCTCAGACAAGCCTCTGTTCTTGGCAACAGTGTTCCTGTTTGGCCACAGCACTGGGCACCCGCCCTGCGGCAGAGAGCCTCAGATCCTCCATCGGAATTGGGCTAGATTCTGCTTCAACTTCTCGCCAGAGAGACATTAATGTGGAATTGTGGCCAGGTCCCCAGGATCACCCTGCACACCTCTGACCAGGCCCTCCACCCCAGCGATGGCCTCAAGGGAGGTGTATTTACAGGTAGCCAGAGTCAAAAAGAAATCCCTTACATTCATGGGGCCCTGAGTTCCTTGCGATGCTGTGGGATTTGTTTTTCTAAGCCTCCCTCATTCTCTCTGTATCCATTTGCCTTCCAATGGCTTTGGCTTTTTTGTTGTCTTCTAAAGAGCTCTGCATTTTTCTTGGGCCCACTTCCCCATCTCTGATTCTTGCTTGTTTCTTTCCCTCTGCCTGGCATGACTCATGCCTCCCCCTGGCTGGGTCTGGTTTCTTCTTGGTTTTGTGAGCAGATCCTTTAAGCCATGAAGCTAAACGACTCAGTGGCGTCCCCAGGGACTGAGACTGAAAGAGTTAAAAGAGTTAAGATTTTTTTTTTTTTTTTTTTTTTGGAGCATTGTGCTGTCTTTAAGCATTTATGAAGCGCTTTCCCCAGGCTGTGGTTGCAAAGAGGCTGAGGACTAGGAGTCAGGCTTTGGAGCAGACAGGTGAGGATTCCACTCTGCCCTTCTTAGTAGTGGGACGTTTGGCAAGTGGCATAACCTTTCTCACGTGGGTCCCCTGTGTATGGTTGCACAGGCTGCACACTGCACAACCCTAGGAGGCTCTATCCATGTAGAAATCCACATGAATAGAATGCCCTGTGGATGTGTTGTGCATAACACCGACAGCTCACATGCAGCAGGCTTGATTCTCTGAGTCTGTTTCCTTCTCTGTAAAACTGAGTTGATCTCACACCATGAGAATTGTTGGCGAGATTGTTATCCATATAAACTTCCTGATCTTGGCATAGGGTATCGGTCAAGCGTGTGGCAATGCTGTGTGGCTGGATGCTGAGAGGCGTACGAGTGGCCTTTGTCCTTGGTCAGGTTTATTGTCTTGTTTGAGAAGCAAGACGAACCCCCTAAAAATAAACCCTGGGAGGTGTGTGGCCCTTGGCCAGACCCCATGAGGGCCCCACGTACCCACTCACTTTTAGCACTCCAGTGCTCACCAGCCAGCCCCCCAGGGCCTGCATGAGCTTTTGATGGCCTGAGGGATTCTGCTTGCCACCTGCATGGCAGGTCAGAAGTGCCAGGGAATTAAAGGCCTTTGGGGGCAGGTTCATCTGGCAACTGGTGAGAGCTGGCACATAAACACCCCAGCTCCCTGGTCCTCCAGTGGATAACTCAGAGGTGGGTATTCTACACTGGCCCCTGGAGTTCCCAGCAGGATGACGCTCCATCTCATGGGGGAGCTGGCTGATAACGTGCTCTTCCTCGTCTCATTTCTTCACTCTCCTACAGCATACCTGGAGCCTCCTGGGTAGCTTCTTGCATTTCAATTCCAGTCTTTTTGTTTTTTTGAGACAGAGTCTCACTCTGTTGCCCAGGCGAGTGCAGTGGCGCGATCTCAGCTCACTGTGACCTCTGCCTTGATCTCAGCTCACTGCAACCTCTGCCTCTTCAAGCGATTCTTGTGCCTCAGCCTTCTGAGTAGCTGAGATTACAGGCATGTGCTACCACACCCAGCTAATTTTTGTATTTTTGGTAGAGAAGGGGCTTCATCACGTTGACCAGGCTGGTCTCAAACTCCTGACCTCAGGTGATCCGCCCCCCTTGGCCTCCCAACGTGCTGGGATTACATTCATGAGCCACCACGCCCGACCTAATTCCAGTCTTAGGATTGGCTTCTGGGTACACCCAAGCCAGACAGCAAAGCTGGGCTGTGCTCCTGCAGAGCCCCGGGTGCATTCCCACCATGGGGCTTCCTGCAGTCTTACTGCAGACTGATTGACCTGTTTGCCTACCTCCTGAAACTGAGCGCATAGCCCATGTCTTCTTTGACATGAAAGCCGCCCCAGTGCCAAGCACAGTGCCTGGCCTGAAGTGGGACCCACAGAAAATCTGCTGAGTGCTAAATGCAGTGTGGGCTTCACCCACATGGCCTATCCCCAGGGTTAAAATAATCAAAGTGAGTATATTTTCCCCAGTATCTACTTTACAATGCACTTGATCTTTTTCATTGCAAGTTTAATGAGTGGTCATTAAAAATTAAGTCTGTGAATTTCAGGTGGATTTCATCACAGATCCTGGAGAAGAGGCAGGTGGAGGATTCCTCCCAGGGCACTGTCTTCTCCCTTTCTAAAAGGGCACAGATGAATGAGCTACCAGATCAGGACACTCTCTCTGTGTGGCCCAAATTTTTCTGGAGTGTGCGGGAATGGACCTGGGGTAGGAGTCAATCTTCCGTGGCGGCAGCAGCTGTTCAGTGTCCCTTAGGCATCCTGCGTGCAGTGTGCTCAGCCTCACTGCCAGAAGCTGTCGTCTTGGGACAGGGACCAGAGAAGCCAACCTACTTTGATCCCACTTCCTCCCCTGCCCCCTTTACCAAGGTATCATGAGTGCTTGATACCTAGATGATATTTTAGTTCTGGCTTCTGACCATGTGCCTCCTGGTGATGACTACAATCGCTGGCCCATGTCTGGTGACCATTAGCATGTTTTCACGGTGACTTGGCTCAGGGTTGAGGCTCTTTATCTTGGTTTATGATGGCGGCCATGCAGCCTTTCCACATTTGTCCTTATCTTGACATCACACAGGTCCTTGAGCAGGTCACCTGACCTCTCCATGTGTTAATGTCCTTAATAGGAAAGTGGAGATCATGGGATATACTCTGTAGAGTCATTGGAGGATTAAATGAGATAGTCCGTTAAAAAGTGCTTAGTACAGTGCTTGACATTGAACAAGTGTTCAATCAACATGAGTTACAATTGTTACTCTGTCATCCAGGCTGGGGTGCAGTGGTGCCAATACGCCAATATGGCTCACTGCAGCCTCAACCTCATGGACTCAAATGATACTCCTGCCTCAGCCTCCTGAGTAGTTGGGACTACAGGTGTGCACCACCATGCCAACTATGTTTTTCATTTTTTGTAGAGATGAGCTCTTGCTATGTTGCTCAGGCTGGTCTCAAACTCCTGGCCTCAAGTGATCCTGCTGTCTTGTCCTCCCACAGTGCTGGGATTACAGGTGTGAGCCACTGTGCCCAGCTCTGGACCTTTTTTAAAGTCTCATTCCCCCAGGAGGTTCCCTATGAATCCTGCCAGACCTTTTGTGAAACCTTGGTTCTCAGATTCTCATTTACATTGAACTCCAAACCCTTCACCCACTTTCCACTGATTAGCCCCCTCCACACCCTCTTTGGAGCACTTGCCCCACTTCATATCCCAATCTGAGGCCAGATAGTTGACCATGGGGGTGGGAGGGATGTGGCATAGGGTTAGGGAACTATGAATATGTGCTAGGACTCGGGTTAAGAGTCAATGACATCCTTGATACCAGGTCCAAAGCATAAGCACTGAGAACAGCAAACAGCTGCCAGATATTCTGGAGGAGGAGGAAGGCCCAGGGATGATGCCTGGCCTCAGCAGCTCTTCAGCCTCTTCCTTCCTCCTGCCCTCCAAAGCTGCCTCTGCTTCTGCATCCCAAACCCCAGCCCTGTAATTACCACTCGCCATCCTGTCTCCAGTCCATCCTTCACTGTGATGCATCCTCAAGCCTCTTAGACAGACACTTTTATCCCCACAGCTGACATCTCTGACACCCCTGGTCATATGCTACCACAATATTTATAGGCTCCTGGGTTGCAGATCCCAATCAGGGGAGGAAGGCTATGGAGGAGAATTAGATGCCGACAATGCAAAGTTGAGCTGGACAGGACGCAGCTCTCGTTGATGTCCCTGTAAATCATGCGATTGCTTCAGGATGCACAACGTTTTCATATTTATCTCCATTTTTCAAGGGGAAAGTGTTTAATCTATAAAGCCAATTCTTTATAAATGACCTGTCAGTTGTCAAGGCATCAGGTGATGTCTTCATGGATCTGTGATTCTATCAAAGAGCCGGGGAAGGCTGGATGCCTCATGGTAACATCCTACTTAGAGTCCTCATTGGTAAGCAAAGATGTGTGGAGCCCTAGCCATAAACCAGGAGCCATGCTGGAGTGTGCGGCTATACAGACCAGTCAGTGTCAGGCCATGCTCCCTCAAGAGGCCTGCCATTTGCAGAAGAAGGAAACACCTCAGTAAGTAGTTACCTGGTGTCCATGGTCAGTGTGCCCAGAGGGCTGTGGTCAGATACCGAAGTGGGATGTAGCTCACTCCTTATGGGGACTCAAGAAAGCCTTTATAAAGGACAGGGTTTTTGTTTGTTTGTTTGTTTGTTTTTTTGACAGAGTCTCGCTCTGTCGCCCAGGCTGGAGTGCAGTGGCATGATCTCAGCTCACTGCAAGCTCCGCCTCCCGGGTTCACACCATTCTCCTGCCTCAGCCTCCCGAGTAGCTGGGACTACAGGTGCCCGCCACCACGCCCAGCTAATTTTTTGTATTTTTAGTAGAGACGGGGTTTCAGCATATTAGCCAGGATGGTCTCGATCTCCTGACCTCATGATCCACCTGCCTTGGCCTCCCAAAGTGCTGGGATTACAGGTGTGAGCCACCTCGCCCGGCAAGGATAGGGTTTTTAAAAATAGTTTTTAAAAAGTGGTGATAAAATACACATAACAAAATATACCATTTTAAGTGCACATTCCAGTACCATTAAGTATATTCACATCTCCAGAACTTTTTCATCTTGCAAAACTGCAATTCTATACCCGCTAAACCACATTCTCCCTCCCCCCAGCCCCTGGCAGCCATCATTCTGCATTCTGCCTTTATGAATTTGACTCCTCTAGGGATTTCCTGTCAGTGGACTCACACAGGGTTTGTCCTGTTGGGACTGGCTTATTTCACTTAGCATCGTGTCTTCAGGGTTCACCTGTGTTGTAGCAACCCTCAGCATTTCCATCCTTTCTATTATTCTACAGCTGAATAATATTCCGTCGCATGGATAGACCACATCGTACATACTCCTTTATCAGTTGATGGACACTTGAGTTGTTTCCACCTCTTATAAATATGCTGCTATGAACATGGGTGTGGAAGATGGGTTTTTAAATGATGAGTCTTGAAGAGGTAGGATTTCGCTGGCAGGGCAGGGGAAAGCAGGGACCAGGGAACACACACAGCACGCGCAAAGGCCCTGGGTCATCCCAACTTGGTGGGCGTGGGCATGGCATGGGATTCTATGTCGCTGGGGCTCAGGCGCGTGGTTCAGAGTGAAGGGAGATGAGGCTGGACCACAGATTAAGCTGGGACCACAACAGGTCTGTGTGCCATAGAGAGGGCCCCAAGCCACAAGATGTCATTATGTGAAGGTGGTAATTAGATGCCTTATTTCCCAGGAGTGGACCACATTAAAATTTTCCTGATCTCAATAGAGTATACAAAAGGAAATGGTTTGCTCACCAGTCAGAGGGACCCAGTCAAGCATAGTATCTGTTGGGCTTCTTATAAAGCTGCTCTGAACCCAAAGCAGGATTCAGTGCCAAATTCTACTATGTCATTGGCAAACTTTGCCAAAACTGCTTAGGGTAACATGCCCTTTGCAATGCTAAGAATTCCTGAGAATTGGGACTGAGTCTGGTTCTAATAGCTTTGTGGTCTTAGATGAGTTACTTACCCCTCCTGAATCTCAGTGTTTTTATTTGTCATGTGAACGATATGAATCACTTTTAAGAATGCTTAAAGCTTCCCAAAAGTCCATACACTTATAAATTCTATCAATGCTGGTCATAGATATGCTGCTATTCTCCCCCTTTACTCTGTGGGAATATAATTCTACAAATCGCCGGCCTTAAACAAATTGCTTAACTTCTCTCTGTGCCTTTGTCTGAATCATTATCTGTAAAAAAGCCTTGTTAGAAATAATGCCTTCCCATTTTTTTCCCTGCAGGTCACTGTATGTATCCAAATGGAACTTATGAAAGAAAGCATTCCGGGCAAGGTGTTACTGTTCCTTTAGCATTTCATCACATCAGATCATTTTCTCCACCTCTCCAATATCAACACTCAGTGCTTCTCTTCCTGAGCTCTTTCCTCCAAAGTTCCTGATCTTCCTCAGGGCCTAGCATCTCTCTTGACTTTTTTTGCAGAATAATGTCTTCTTGGTCATCCAGGTGTTGGGCTGGACCAAGGTCAGATCAGAAACAGGTGCACGAGACACCCTTTACCTCTGCAGCCTGCCTTCAGGTACCCTGGCCCAGTCACAGCAGGTGGAACGTACATACCCTTCCTGCCTTGGCTCATCCCTTTCTCTTCTTGGGGAGCTCCTTCCCACCTGTGGCCACCAGAGTTCTTCCATCCTTCAATGTTCCTGTCAGATGTCCCACCCGCACGCCAGCTGATTGAAATCGCCTCTTCTCACCCAGATAGAACATTTCTCCGCACTCTGATTGAGATCTGCTTACGATTTAACATCCTGCTCCACCCACAAATATTAGTGGACAGATTATACATGTATGTATCTGTGTTCTATAGGTGGGGCATCTGTGGTTTTCATCAGATTCCCAAAGTATCTGCAACAAGAAGGGAATGTTAAGGGCTACTGAATTATAAAATTAAATGTAAAAACTGAAATCAGGGCCTAGGCAGGTGGATCATGAGGTCAGGAGGTAGAGACCATCCTGGCTGACACGGTGAAACGCTGTCTCTACTAAAAATACAAAAAATTAGCCGAGAGTGGTGGCACACACTTTTAGTCCCAGCTACTCGGGAGGCTGAGGCAGGAGAATGGTGTGAACCTGGGAGGCGGAGGTTGCAGTGAGCTGAGATCGCACCATTGCACTCCAGCCTGGTGACAGAGACTCCGTCTCAAAAAAAAAAAAAAAAAAAAAGAAAAGAAAAGAAATCAGGAAAAACAAAGAAAAGACAGCATTTATCTCATCTCCATGGTGAGGAGCTCTAAGCATAATAGGAAAGGATAGAAACATGAAAGAAAATATAAGAGAGTTGGCTTTCTAAAAAAAATTGTATATTAAAAAAATAGCCAAGTTAAACCAAAAATTGATAGAATAAGGTAAATTTTCTTTTTGATATTGAGTTAGTTTTCCACTACTGTTATTACAAACTACTACACAATTAGTGGCTTAAACAACACAAATGTATCATCTGACAGTTTTGTAAGACAAAGTCCAAAATGTGTCTCAGTAGGCCAAAATCAAGGTGTTGGCAAGATTGCAAATCTTCCGTAAGTTCCAGAGAGAATCTGCCTTCTTCCCTTTTCCGGTTTTCTGTTTCTAGACGCTCCTTGCACTTCTTGACTCTTGGGCCCTCCCTCCATTTCCAAAGCTGGCAGCACTCAGCGGGGTCTTTGTCACACCACATCATTCTGCCCGTGACTCTTCTGCCTCCCTCTTCCACACATAGGGACCCTTTAGTTTCCAAGGGCAGCCATACTAATAAAGTACCACAAAATGGCCAGATGCGGTGGCTCATGCCTGTAATCCCAGCACTTTGGGAGGCCGAGGCAGGTGGATCACTTGAGGTCAGGAGTTCGAGACCAGCCTGGCCAACATGGTGAAACCCCATCTCTACCTAAAATACAAAAATTAGCCGGGTGTGGTGATGTGCGCCTGTAATCCCAGCTACTCAGGAGGCTGAGGCAGGAGAATCACTTGAACCCAGGAGGCAGAGGTTGCAGTGAGCCAAGATCACACCACTGCACTCCAGACTGGGTGACAAGAGCAAGACTCTGTCTCAAAAAAAAAAAAAAAAAAAAGTACCACAAACTAAGTGGCTTAAAACAAGTTTATTCTCTCGTAGCTCTAGAGCCTGGAATCCTGAAATCTAGGTTTCAGCAGAGGTGGTCCTACCAGAGGCTTGAGTGGCCTTCTCCTAGCTTCTGGTGGCCTCCAGCAATCCTTGGCAGCCCTTGGCTTGTAGCAGCATAAATGCAATCTCTGCCTCTGTTGTTGCATGACGTTCTCCTTATATGTGTCTGTGTTTCCTGTTTCCTCTTCTGATAAAGACAGCAGTCATTGGATTAGGGGCCACCCTAATGCACGTTACCCCATCTTAATTTAACTAATTAGATTTGCAGCAACCCTATTTCCACATAGGGTCACATTCTGAGGCTCCAGTGGGCATGCATTTTGGGGGAGCACTATTTAACCCAGTGCATTTGTGATTACCTTGGTCCCCCCTAGAGAATTCAGGATAATCTCCCTATTTTTTAAGTCAGCTGATTAGCAACTGTATTAGTCCATTTTGTTTTGCTATAAATACATACCTGAGGCTGGGCCATTTATAAAGAAAAGAGGTTTATCTGGCTCACAGTTCTGTAGCCTGTACAAGAAGCATGGTGCTTGCATCTGCTTCTGATGAGGGCCTCAGGAAGCTTCCAGTCATGGTGGAAGGTGAAGGAGCAGGCGTGTCACATGCTGAGGAAAGGAGCAAGAGTGGGAGGGAGGGGTGCCATGATGCTCTTTTAAACAACCAGCTCTTGTGTGAACTAATAGAGCAAGAACTCACTCATTACTGCAAGGATAGCACCAAGCCATTCATGAGGGATCTGTCCCCATGACCCAAACACCTTCCACTACGCCCATCTTCAACATATGGGGATCACATTTTTTTAAAAATTTTCTACTGTCCGCATTTTTGTTTTTTATACTTTAAGTTCTAGCGTACATGTGCACAACGTGCAGGTTTGTTACATAGGTATACATGTGCCATGTTGGTGTGCTGCACCCATTAACTTGTTATTTACATTAGGTATATCTCCTAATGCTATCCCTCCCCCCTCCCCCCACCCCTTGACAGGCCCAAGTGTGTGATGTTCCCCACCCTGTGTCTGAGTGTTCTCATTGTTCAATTGCCATCTATGAGTGAGAACATGCGATGTTTGGTTTTCTGTCCTTGCGATAGTTTGCTGAGAATGATGGTTTCCAGCTTCATCCATGTCCCTACAAAGGACATGAACTCATCATTTTTTATGGCTGCATAGTATTCCATGGTGTATATGTGCCACATTTTCTTAATCCAGTCTATCATGGATGGACATTTGGGTTGGTTCCAAGTCTTTGCTATTGTGAATAGTGCCGCAATAAACATACGTGTGCATGTGTCTTTGTAGCAGCATGATTTATAATCCTTTGGGTATATACCCAGTAATAGGATGGCTGGGTCAAATGGTATTTCTAGTTCTAGATCCTTGAGGAATCACCACACTGTCTTCCACAATGGTTGAACTAGTTTACAGTCCCACCAACAGTGTAAAAGTGTTCCTATTTCTCCACATCCTCTCCAGCACCTGTTGTTTCCTGACTTTTTAATGATTGCCATTCTAACTGGTGTGAGATGGTATCTCATTGTGGTTTTGATTTGCATTTCTCTGATGGCCAGTGATGATGAGCATTTTTTCATGTGTCTGTTGGCTGCATAAATGTCTTCTTTTGAGAAGTGTCTGTTCATATCCTTCACCCACTTTTTGATGGGGTTGTTTGATTTTTTTCTTGTAAATTTGTTTAAGTTCTTTGTAGAGTCTGGATATTAGCCCTTTGTCAGATGGGTAGATTGCAACATTTTTCTCCCATTCTGTAGGTTGCCTGTTCACTCTGATGGTAGTTTCTTTTGCTGTGCAGAAGCTCTTTAGTTTAATTAGATCCCATTTGTCCATTTTGGCTTTTGTTGCCGTTGCTTTTGGTGTTTTAGACATGAAGTCCTTGCCCATGCCTATGTCCTGAATGGTATTGCCTAGGTTTTCTTCTAGGGTTTTTATGGTTTTAGGTCTGACATGTAAGTCTTTAATCCATCTTGAATTAATTTTTGTATAAGGTGTAAGGAAGGGATCCAGTTTCAGCTTTCTACATATGGCTAGCCAGTTTTCCCAGCACCATTTATTAAATAGGGATTCCTTTCCCCATTGCTTGTTTTTGTCAGATTTGTCAAAGATCTGATGGTTGTAGATGTGTGGTATTACTTCTTTTTTTTTTTTTTTTGAGACAGAGTCTCGCTCTGTCACCCAGGCTGGAGTGCAGTGGCATGATCTCGGCTCACTGCAAGCTCCGCCTCCCAGGTTCACGCCATTCTCCTGCCTTAGCCTCCTGAGTAGCTGGGACTACAGGCACCTGCCACCAGCCTGGCTAATTTTTTGTATTTTTAGTAGAGACGGGGTTTCACCATGCTAGCCAGGACAGTCTCAATCTCCTGACCTCGTGATCCGCCCACCTCAGCCTCCCAAAGTGCTGGGATTACAGGCATGAGCCACCGCGCCTGGCCATGGCATTATTTCTGAGGGCTCTGTTCTGTTCTATATCTCTGTTTTGATACCAGTACCATGCTGTTTTGGTTACCGTAGCCTTGTACTATAGTTTGAAGTCAGGTAGCGTGATGCCTCCAGCTTTGTTCTTTTGGCTTAAGATTGTCTTGGCAATGTGGGCTCTTTTTTGGTTCCATATGAACCTTAAAGTAGTTTTTTCCAATTCTGTAAAGAAGGTCATTGGCAGCTTGATGGAGATGGCATTGCATCTCTAAATTACCTTGGGCAATATGGACATTTTCACGATATTGATTCTTCCTATCCATGAGCATGGAATGTTCTTCCATTTGTTTGTGTCATCCTTTATTTCATTGAGCAGTGGTTTATAATTCTCCTTGAAGAGGTCCTTCACATCCCTTTTAAGTTGGATTCCTAGGTATTTTATTCTCTTTGAAGCATTTGTGAATGGGAGTTCACTCATGATTTGGCTCTCTGTCTGTTATTGGTGTATAGGAATGCTTGTGATTTTTGCACATTGATTTTGTATCCTGAGACTTTGCTGAAGTTGCTTATCAGCTTAAGGAGATTTTGGGCTGAGTCGATGGGGTTTTCTAAATATACAATCATGTCGTCTGCAAAGAGGGACAATTTGACTTCCTCTTTTCCTAATTGAATACCCTTTATTTCTTTCTCCTGCCTGATTGCCCTGGCCAGAACTTCCAACACTATGTTGAATAGGAGTGAGGGCATCCCTGTCTTGTGCCAGTTTTCAAAGGGAATGCTTCCAGTTTTTGCCCATTCAGTATGATATTGGCTGTGGGTTTGTCAAAAATAGCTCTTATTATTTTGAGATATGTCCCATCAATACCTAATTTATTGAGAGTTTTTAGCATGAAGGGCTACTGAATTTTGTTGAAGGCCTTTTCTGCATCTATTGAGATAATCATGTGGTTTTTGTCTTTGGTTCTATTTATATGATGGATTATGTTTATTGATTTGCATATGTTGAACCAGCCTTGCAGGGGATCACATTTTAACGCAATTTGCAAGGGACACACATCCAAACTATCTGAGCAACCATCATGTAATTTACAACTTCAATTCCCCCTTGCCACATAATATATTCACCGTATGTGGGATTTAGATGTGGACATCATTGGGTGGAGAGGGGACATTTTTCTGTCTAACACAGACATAAAAAAGGCTCCAGAGCTCAGAGTGATCCAATTTAGGTCACCCCACTGCTGCGCTGCGCACTGCCCACGGAAGAATTTGAGGGAGACCCTAGGAGGACCATGTGCCCCTGGTAAGACGACACTCCCAGCTATCACCACAACCTGCCCACCTTATCTCTACAAAATGCCTAGGAGATCAGTTCAAGAAGGAGTCTGTAATTAGAACTGGATTTCTGTGCCCTGCAGCATCATGAAGACCTCAGTGTCCACATAAATGACTTCTGACACTAAGGCCTCTCAGCTGCTTCATCTTTTCATGTCCAGTCATCTCCATCTTTTCCTGCTACTCACCCCATCCACATCCTCCCATATTCTCAGTTTTCATTATAGAATCATGTGAAGAGTTGATTTTAGTTTTGTTTTTTGAGACAGGGTCTCACTGTGTGGTCCATGCTGGAGTGCAGTGGCTATTCACAGGCATGGTCATAGCACATAGCAGCCTTGAACTGTGGGGCTCAAGTGATCCTCCTGCCTCAGCCTCGTGAGTAGCTGGGACTACAGGTGTGCACCATCATGCTTAGCTTTGAGAGATTCAAAATGTACTGATACCCAGAGATAGATTCTGACTTAAAGAATCTGGGGCGGTCCCAGGCCTTCAGTACTGTCAAAACCATCTTGGGCTGTTTCTAATGCCCGGCCAAGGCTCTGAGTCACTGTCTGGCCCCATTTCTGGGATTCTCCTAAGTCTTTATTTTAGTCTCAGACTGGCATCATCTAGTTTCCAGCTTACTTCCTGCAACACTTCCAGTGCCCCCCCAGAACTAACACTGCACTGAATCTTCTATGCATTCATTGTTCATCCAGAAAGTCCTTTAATCCCTGCCTGAAATCCATGAGCCACTGTCCCTATCTTGCACATGCTCCTGTTGCAGGGTTTTGAGCACAGAAATGACATGATCTGATTTTAAAAGTTAAAGATTATTCTGGCTTCTGCATGGAAAACAGACTGTGAAGCAGGACTGAAGCAGGGAGACCAGTAATCCAGGTAAACTGGAGGTACCTGCAGTAGCCCAGGAAAAAGGGGACAGTGGGAGGAGAACCGCAAAGTGGAAGAGGTCAGTGTAGGGATGCAATTTCAGGACTTGCTAATACAGCTTAGTTTAGAGAGAAAGAGCAGAGTCAAGATGAATTCATGCTTTTTGCCTGAGCATCTGGGTGTGCTGCGCCCTTTACTGAGGTGTGAATAGCATGCTGAGCAGGTGGAGGTAGAGAAACCTTGGGTTCAGTATTGGATATCTCAAATCAGAGAGGACTAGTAGAATCCAAAGGAAGATGTCAAAGGGGCACTTGTGCCAATGAGTCTGGAAGCCCAGAGGAGAGGTTGAAACTGGAAATATGGAGTTGGGTGTGCTCAGTAAATATATGATGTCTTAGAACCAGATGAGGTCATCCAGGGAGACACGCAGATGAAGAAGTATGTCCTGGGGTATTTGTTTAATGGTCAAGAGGAAGGGGAGGGTTGAGTAAGAGAGACTGAGAAGGAGCAGCAAGTGAGTAAAGGGGAAACCAGGGAATTCTGGCATCCCCAATGCTAAAGAGTTTCATGAAGAAGACAGTGACCAGCTGATCCAGTGTAGCAGATGTTGGGTCACAGCCGTTCCAAGATTTGCCTGTTGAGTGTGGCACCATGGAGATCACTGGTGACCTCAGAAAGTGCAGGACTCTGGTGGGATAAAAGTCCACCACCAGAGAGGGCACAGAGAGAAAAGAAGCGGGATTGATCGGCAGGATAATGGCCCCCCAAAAATGTTCACATCCAAATCCCCAGGGCCGGTCTGTTAGCTTACATGGCAAAAAGGGTCATTGCACATGGGATGAAGTTCAGGATCTTGTGATGGGGATGTTTCCTGGATTATCCAGGTGAGCCCAAGGTAATTACAAGAACCTTTACAAGAAAGGCAGGAAAGTCAGAGTTGGAGAGAGACTAGAAGGTGATCCACTGTTGGCTTTGAGATGTGGCCACGAACCAGGGGCTATGTAGAGGTGATGGCAATGTGGGCAGCCTGCGGAGGTGCAAGCAACTGGAAGACAGCTTCTTCCTGGAGCCTCCAGGAGGTGTGCAGCCCTGCCCCTGCCTTGATTTTACCCCAGTAAAACCCATTTTGGACCTCTGACCTCCGGAACTGTAAGGTAATGAATGTTGTTTATGCTGTTTGAAGTGACTAGGTGTGTGGCGATTTGCTGTGGCAGCACTAGGGAAGGAATCTGGGAGATAAATCGGCATGTTTGTGTGGTGCGGGGGACCATCTAGATCTAGCAGAGAGAAAAACACTGAAGATGCAGGAGAGAAAGGGGAGAATTGGAGGAGCTGCCTCCTGGAGTAGGCAAGAGAGGTGGGGACTTGGGACCCAGGTGGAGGGGTTGCCCTGGCACAAGGGGGTAGGCCGAACAATGTTTGGGTCCAGAGGAAGGTAGGTTGTGGGGTTAATTGGTCAAAGGTGATAAAGAAGTCCCCTTCTGACTGCTTTGGTGCCCTCCGTGAAATAAATGGGGAAGGTTATTAGTGGAGATGAAGAGGAAGAGGGAAGGAGAGAAGGCCAAGTTATAAAAGGCTCAGTTCAAAAGTGGAGTTAAGGCCAGGCGTGGCGGCTTATGCCTGTAATCCCAGCACTTTGGGAGACTGAGGCAGGCATATCACCCGAGGTCAGGAGTTTGAGACCAGCCTGGCCAACATGGTGAAACCCCATCTCTACTAAAAATACAAAAATTAGCTGGGTGTGGTGGCAGGTGTCTGTAAGCCCAGATGTTCGGGGAAGGCTGAGGCATGAGAACCGCTTGAACCCAGGAGGTGGAGGTTGCAGTGAGCCAAGATTGTGCCACTGTACTCCAGCCTGGGCGACAGAGCGAGACTCTGTCTCAAACAAACAAACAAACAAACATAAAAAACCAAAAATGGAGTTAAGTAATTCTACTTCCTGTAACTTTTCCAAAAGGAATAATCAGGGAGATCCCCAAAGTTGTATCTGTGAGAATGTGTCTCACCATATTGTTTAAAATCGTGAAAAATTGGGAACAGGCAAAACGGCAGACAAGAGCGTTGTCATTGAAGAAATTATGTTCTATCCATGATTAATTACCCCGCAGCCAATATAAACCATGCTTTAGAAGACCATTTAATTAAATATGAAAATGTATGATCTTGTTAAGGGAACGTGGCTACAAAACAAATATGTACAGAATGAAACCAATTTTGCAGAAATAGTGTGTGTAAATATATGCATTTAAAAAGACTAAGGAAACATGCCCACATTTAAATAATAATTATCTTTGGGTGAGGAAATTACAGATACTTTAATTTACTCTTCTTACTTGTCTGCATTTTTATATTAAATAGAAATTCTTTTTATATTATAAGGCTTCTATGTGTGTGGAAAAACGAAAATAGTCAGAAAAGAATGTATTTGGAAAGTAACATTGATCAATTAGCTACTCAGTGCTCCATATGTAGATTATTTAATGAGCAAAACAACCCTGTGAAGGAGGCATGACATTTACACGTGACTAATGAGGAAATTAAGACTTAAAAACCTAAGTTCCTCCTTTAACGTAACCTGTAATAAGAATCAAATCCAGTTTCTCTTCCTCCATCGTGTCACATGTTTCAATGTGCCCAGTGTTCTGCCAACAAACTCGAGGGCCACAGACATGAGGGACACCACACCCCGTCCCTCCTTAATGTTAAGGGCTCAGGTGAACACTGGCCACATCCCACTGCTGTTGCCATGAACAGGACACTCACACTGGTAAAAATGCTGCAAAGGAAAACACACACACACACACACACACACACACACTCACACTCACATACATACACAAATGAAATTAAAGATGGTCAGAGATGAAGCCACACCTGGTCTTGTTTGCTCCACTGTAGGGGAAAGGATTCTGCCCCAATGATGATTGGAGTCTCTTGTGGATTGAATTGCGGCCCCCAAAAAGATATGTTCAAGTACCCATCAATATGACCCATTGATATGACCTTGTTTTAGAAACAGGGCCTTTGCAGATGTCATTAAGATGAGGTCATACTGTGTTAGGATGGGCCCTACCTAACTCAGTGGTCTCCAACTTTTTGGCACCAGGGACCAGTTTCTTGGAAGATAATTTTTCCATGGAATGGGGTTGGGGGATGGTTTGGGGATGATTCAAGCACATTGCATTTATTATGCACTTTATTTCTATTATTATTACATTGTAATATATAATGAAATAATTAAACAACTCATCATAACGTAGAATCAGTGGGAGCCCTGAGCTTGTTTTCCTGCAACTAGATGGCCCCATCTGGGGGTGATGGGAGGCAGTGACAGGTCATCAGGCATTAGATCCTCACAAGGAGCTGGCAGCCTAGATCCCTGGCATGTGCAGTTCACAATAAGGTTTGCGCACCTGTGAGAATCCATTCCTGCTGCTGATGTAACAGAAGGTGGAGCTCAGGCGGTAATTCGAGTGATAGAGAGCAGCTGTAAATACAGATGAAGCTTTGCTTTCTTGCCTGCCACTCACTTCCTGCTGCAGGGCCCGGTTTCTAGCAGGCCATGGACCGATCCATGGCCCGGGGGTTGGGGACCCCTGCCCTAACCCAATGACCCAATGACTGGTGTCCTAAAAAGAAGAAGGAAACTTGGAGACAGAGACTCAGAGAGACACAGAGAGGAGAAGGCCACGTGAAGGCAAAGGCAGAGTAGAAGGGATGCAGCCACAAGCCAAGGAATGCCAAGGACTGCCAGCAACCACCAGAAGCTAGAAGGACGGTATAGAATAGATTCTCCCTCTGAGTCCCCAAGAAGGAACCAACCTGCTGGCCTCTTGCTTTCAGACTTCTGGCCTCCAGAACCATGAGAGAATCAATTTTTTGTTGTTTGAAGCTATCCAGTTTTTAGCACTTTGTCAGGGAAGCCCTAGGAAACTAATAAAGGGTCATAAGGAAAAGGCGTGGACTTGTGTTTGAAAGGGTTAACATGAGCCTATGAGCTCAGGATTGCTTCTGAGTAGGGACCCTTCATGCACACTCAGGTCACCTTGCCTGTCCCACTGCCTGGAGGAGTCTCTGGACAGTGTGAAGGCAGCGGCTTGGTCCCAAGATTGGAATTTGGAACTTGGGATGCTGGCATTAGGCTTCTCATGAGATTGCTGTGCCTGACTTCACAGTAACCAAGGAGCGCTGCGCTTAGTAGGGATGCAGGGAATGGGCAGAGAGTCAACATCCTGCACTTAGTGTGTTGCACTTATTAGTGAGTTAGGAACACCTTTGATTAAGGTGATGGTTTGGGGAACAGTTTGTAAGCTAATGAATCTGATAGGAAAGTCCAGCTAAATGGCTGCTGGTACATATATATGTAAGTTTTTTAAAGTGATGGTCTTGAGCTGCACATCCAATACAGAAGCCACTAACCACATGTAGCCAACTAAATCTTTTAAAATTTAGCTTTCAGCCAGGTGTGGTGACACATGCCTGTAATCCTAGCTACTTGGGAGGCTGAGGTGGGAGGATTACTTGAGTCCAGAAATTCAAGACAGGCTGGCCAGCATAGTGAGACCCTGTCTGAAAAAAAATTTTTGATTTTCAATTTGCAGATTAGAATATTCACTCTTCTTGGTGTACATTTCCATTGACTTTGCCACATGCATGAAGTCAAGTACCCAGCACTATATTGGAGATGCAGAAAAGTTCCATCTCACAAAAATATCCTCTCATTTCTTTGTAGTCAGCCTTCTTCCAACTCCCAACCCCTGGCAACCACTCATCTACTCTTTATCCTTATAGTTTTGACTTTTAAAATGCAAATTAATTAAAATGAATAAAATAAAAAATTTGATTCATCAGTTGCACTAGTCATAAGCTCAAGAAGCTCAACTTTCTTTCTTTTTTTTTTTTTTTTTTTTTTTTGAGACGGAGTCTCGCTCTGTCACCCAGGCTGGAGTGCAGTGTCACGATCTCGGCTCACTGCAAGCTCCGCCTCCTGGGTTCACGCCATTCCCCTGCCTCAGCCTCCCGAGTAGCGGGGACTACAGGCGCCACCACCACGCCGGGCTAATTTTTTGTATTTTTAGTAGAGACGGGGTTTCACCGTGTTACCCAGGATGGTCTCGGTACGCTGACCTCGTGATCCGCCCGCCTCAGCCTCCCAAAGTGCTGGGATGACAGGCGTGAGCCACCGCGCCCGGCCAATAAGCTCAACTTTCAGAAGCTCAATAGCCACATTTAGCTAATGGCTACCATTTTAAACAATGCAGATATAAAGTATTTTCATCATTCCAGAAAGTTCTGTCGCACAGTGCTAGTGAAAGAACATTTATTTAGCGGTTCTTAAATGTTTAGGGGGTCATATTCCCCCTACACATCTCTTCCTAGAAAAAAGACAGAAGAGACATGCAAAAACGTCTGATGCAAAGTTTCAGGGCGTCCATTGATCCATTTAAGCCCCTCTCTAGAGGTTAAGGCTCCCAAGTTTCATGTAAACTTGAAAGTCTAAAAGCATTTTTCTCAAGCCCAGTTTTCTGCTTTCTATGTTCAGGTTAAACAACAAGCCCAAGCATCATCTGGTAAGCTTGCTGTTTCTCTTTAAGAAGCCGTGCAGACAGGCAATTATTCACGGAGATTGCTCCGTGCACAGCATCTCGCCTGCTGTGCTGCCTGTTCTTGATTGCAGAAATGAGCTTTTGGAAATCATCAATTATTAGTAAATATGAATCGGGAGTGTTTGGAAGACTTAATGGAAGTTTAGCTTCTCCCGCATTAAATCTTTTTTGTTAAAATGTAACAGTAAAGGAGTTTCAGAATAAGTTTAGCATGTTAAAAAGGTAGCTTCTGCCTTAAAACAGTGCTCTGGGTAAGTCTAGTCCAGATCAATTCCATTCTGGAAGCTACTTCCTTCCATCCCACAACTTAAGTGCAATTACTGTGTCTGCTTTACTGACGCTGTCCTGTTCACTATCCCTGTTCGATCCCTGACTCCTGATCAGCTCCCGGAGAGACTTGGGGAAAGCCTTTCCTTGTTGTTGCATATTCACTGTTTATAAAACACCCCATGCAAAATGGGAAAGGCCTAGCTTAACCATTGTTAATGGACCCTCATGTCTAGATCCTGGATCACTCTGCAGCAGTATTTCATCAAGGAAAACATGTTGTTTACTTGCCTACACAGAACTTTCTGAGAGTAGACTCAATAATAACACCCGAAGAGGTAATCTGGTCCACATTTTGACGTCTCGTCTGATCATAAGACTTATTCCTTTGTAATCCAGATGTCTTCTGAGGTCTCCAGGTCCCGTGGCATCTAGCGAACAGCAACTCAGATACCCATTCCACGCCCTGTGGAAATCAAAACCCCTCCCTTTGAGTCTGACTTCCTCATGAGTAGGTAAGCCATGCCATTTGCAGGACTCAAAGGAAGGGGTTTTGAATTCTGTAGTGCCTGGAGTGGGTCCTGCCTCAAAGGTCTACACGCTGTGCCTCTTGTCGTTGTTCCTTATTTCTACCATGTGGAGAGGCCAACTGTGACCCTGGGCCCTTTTCCTTGATTCATCATCTACCTTCCAACTACCGTGATTACAAGCTGGTTCCATGGAGCAGAGCTTTTCTGCAAGATTACAGGTCATGGGGAATAATCACAGGCATGGTGTGCAGCAAGCATTCTAAAATCATATATTCTGTGTTGTTGATCTTCAGAGCCCTCTTGGCCCCTCTGCTGGTTCACGAGGGGCAGTACCCTGCCTTCTGTCATCTTCCAAGCTCCTCTTCTCCCTCCTTTTCCTGCCCCCTTTCTCTCTTCTCTTCCTCTGAGGGATAAGTAGATATTGCCATCATTTTCTAATGCAGAACAGCTTAGCTCTGTATTCCTGTGCCTTTGTTCTTGCTAGCACCTGCATCCTTGGGACCTCATTCCTATCCCATATTAATCAGGACCTTTGATTGCAAATGACAGAAACCAACTCATATTAGCTTAAGGAAAAAAAAAAGGAATACAGTATTCTACCTACTCATAAAACTGAAGGATATATAGGGTTGGCAAGGGAGGGCTGGCTGGAGGGTTGACTTGAAGGCCTGAGAGTTCTTTTTGTGCATTTATTCTTCCAGCCTATCACAGGTTCTTGGGTTCATAGGCTCACAACTGTCTCCAGATTATGGGGCTGTGGCTTCAGGAAGCCATGGACTCCCATCCTGGCTAACCTGCCTCCAGAAAGAGAGCACTTTCAGGTACAGCACTCTGGGGAAAGAGCTCTTCTTGGCACCTTGAATTACATGCCCCCTTCTGGACCAGTCATGGTAGACAGAGGAACAGGGTGTTATGACTTGTCCAACCTGAGCCATGCACCCTTCCCTGTAATTAGTGAAGCAGTTTTCATATCCCAATAAAAGGGAAAAGAAGGCTAGAGGAGGCTGGGCACGGTGGCTCATGCCTGTAATCCCAGCACTTTGGGAGGCTGAGGCGGGCGGATCACGAGGTCAGGAGATCAAGACCATCCTGGCTAACATGGTGAAACTCCGTCTCTACTAAAAATACAAAAAAAATTAGCGGGGCATGGTGGCGGGCGCCTGTAGTCCCAGCTACTCGGGAGGCTGAGGCAGGAGAATGGCGTGAACCCAGGAGGTGGAGCTTGCAGTGAGCCGAGATCGTGCCACTGCATTCCAGCCTGGACAACAGAGCGAGACTCCATCTCAAAATAAAAATAAAAATAAAAATAAAAATAAAAATAAAATAAAATAGAAGGCTGGAGGAATAAAAATCACCACCGGTGCATATGGTGAGTTCTGGATAGGAGCCTGGGGCTTAGACAGCTCATGACATGTTGCAGGCCCCATTATTCACCTTCAACAGAGGCAAGGCCAGAACCAGATCTTTGCTTGGGAAATTTACACCTTTTTATCTCCCCCTTTCTGGCCCTAGGAATCGTGCATAGAAGATAGACAGTAAGAATGTTTCGAAGTCTAGAAATTATGTAAACTCTTGCAAGAGGCACTTTTAGCACAACAAATAGAGCTGGAAGGCACTTCAAAGAGATAATTTCACTTATCTTACTTCCTGCTCAGACTATTCCTAAAACAGCCTGGATGGACGAGTCGTTGTCCCTTGAATTATTTCCAAAAAGGTGAATCTATAGCCTGTCTCTGCAATCAGCATTTAATAACCTTAATCATCTGGAAATTCTTCCTTATTTTCCAATCTAAATCCTTCTCAATGCAATTGAAAATCATTTTCTCTCTGTGCTCAGGAAAGGGAGACCAGATGGTCAGTATCCTATGTAAAATAACTTCTAATAAACTTGCCACAATTAGTGAACCATCACACAGTCTTTTTCTTCTCTGGGTGAAATAGTCTTAATTCCATCAAACTTTTCTCTTAGGTCTTGTTTTCTAATGTCTAAATTGTCTGAGCTTCTTTTCTCTGGAAAAGACTCAAGTTCTTGCAATTATTTGCTGTATGTGATGGTATTAAATACTAGTTAGGCAGGAAAGAATCAGCAAAGAAATCCCCAATGCTAAATTAACCCAGCTCCAGACTGGGGGACTCCCAAAGAGATAGTCTTTGTTCTATGAAGGTTGGGATCCCCAGAGCCTAGCCCTACCCAATTGGACATTTTTTAAAACGAAAAGTGTCAATTCATTGCTTATTCATTTCTGTTTTATTTTCAAGATTTTTTTTTTGTCAGTTCTAAATCATTTGTTGGAAGTGAATTGTTTTTACTGGGCCTAAAACAGGAGCACATTTCATTGAGTTGTTCTAGGTTATTAGCAGGGGCAACTCTCAAGAAACCATTTAATGTTCTGTTAGTTAGAGTTAGGAAGCCATCACTTATGACAGGGGAGGCGGTGGGGGAGCCTTTTCTCAAATGTAAATCCAAACCTGGCCAGAAAAATAACCCTCCTGATTGTTCATCAGGAGGCGCAAGTGTTCCAACCCACAAACATTAGAGTCAAAGGAAGATGTGCCCAGGAGCAATGAGGCACAAGAAACACTTCCTGGCTTCCTGGCAACATCCCAGACCCCGGAGTGGCAGCAGACGGAGGAGCCGTGTTCGCTCATTGGATGCAGGAATCTCCTGGCAGCCCCTGTGAAAGTTCTGTGGGGGAAATTCACAACTTGAAATAAGTGAAAGAAAGAAAGAATGAACTGAAGGTGGTTCTGATGGGTAGGCAATTCTTTCTAAGATTTGAAATTTGTTTTCATTCTTGGCTATGTTCTTTGGGGGTGCACAGGCAGATTCTACTTCTCCCTCAAGGTGACGGCTCACTCCTGACAGTTGTGTGGGTTGTTCACTATGCAGCTCCAGCAGGTGCCTTCCACATCATTCTCAATGAAAAAGAGGCCTCCTGCAGTTGTTCAGTGCACAACCTGCATGGCTGTACATGGTGACCCCATCCATCTCAAACCCTATAGACCTTCCTGTCCACCAATTTTATCCATCTGCAAAAGGGGTCAGTACCATCTAGCACATGAACAACAGACATATGCAGCAGAGCTGCTTTTCTGAGCGTAATATACAAAGTACAAATTTTGACACAGTTCTTTTAAATTTCTGTTGATATTTGTAGACATCTACTGCGTCATAAACTTTGTTTTCAATTATGCACACTCAGAAATGATTCCATTTTTGATATATTTAGGGAAAGGTCAGTCACACTTTCAGAAGTGTAATGATTCCCCATAACATATCTGATTCTGAAATTTTGTATTTATACAGTACAAATAATGTAATGGCAGGCAAATCATGCTACATATTACCATCCTTTACACTGCAAAGTTATTACAGCTCTCCAAATAGTGTGCTTTTCAGTATCATAAATAAAGAGCCTTGGGTACAGGCTATTTGTAAAAATAGACTTAACTTGGAGACCCATTACCTGCTTATCTTTCTAATACACATCATATTTCTTCTCAGTTCAGTTTCTTCAATAATATTTGTATGGAGGTGGAATTTCTAAAAATGCTCTTTCACCCAAAGGGTCCAGTTTACCTGGAATAAGTACTGTGAGCAGAAAAAACACTGCCTCGGTATCGGAGGTGGGATAGACTGGTGTTCAAAAGAGCAGCAAAAACACTATGTTGGTATTGGATGTGGGATAGACTGGTGTTTGAAGGAGCAGAAAAAACACTGCCTCGGAATTGGGTGTGGGATAGACTGGTGTTCAAAAGCTTAGCTGGAAAAGAATCCACTCAGTGGACCTCCGTGGACTTTGGCTGAGTCTAAGCAAAAACTGCTCCTGTTTTTCTAAGGGAGTGTGGTCCTGGGAGGCGTGATCCAGGGAGGTGACCTGACTGGGGTGCCACCCTTCTGCTGTAATGTTCTTTGCATAAGCTGCTCTTAAGGGAAGAGGTGGGGAGGATGACCAAGGTGTCGAGGGACGCAGTGAGAATACAGGCCACCAGGGTGGGTGGGACAGATTCACTTGGTGCCCAGTGACAAGTGGGCACATTCTGTTTTATTTATTTATTTTTTCTTTTTTCTTTGTTTTTTTTTTTTGAGATTGAGTCCAGCTCTTATTCCCCAGACTGGAGTGCAGTGGCATGGTCTCAGCTCACTGCAACCTTCGCCTCCCGGGTTCAAGTGATTCTCCTGCCTCAGCCTCCCGAGTAGCTGGGATTACAGGCGCCCGCCACCTTGCCTAGCTAATTTTTTGTATTTTTAATAGAGAGGGGGTTTCACCATGTTGGCCAGGCTGGTCTCGAACTCCTGGCCTCAGATGATCCACCCGCCTTGGCCTCCTAAAGTGCTGGGATTACAGGCATGAGCCACCGCGCCCGGCCATCACATTCTGTTCTAAAAGGGGCCCCTCAGTCCCAGCAGTCCAGGAATCTCCTCCTCTTTAGGCCTACAATCCCCTATCTCTCTCACCCAGAGGTTCCAGGGCATGTCCACCTGTGGCCCCTGTGGGCTGCCGGAGAGGCACAGGCCTCCAGGACAGTTAGTGCTGCCATTCCCTCAAGACTTCATTTGTTCCTTTATTTGTTCATTTGTCCATGCATTCATCTAATTTCTTGACTATGAACAGTGTACCCTGAATCCTTTATGAAATAAGTCAGACAGGCAACACCAGTGGCCCCAACTGCTGCCCTAGGTGCTTGTTGGGGGAGGTATGTTCGGCACAAACCCTGCCCACAAGGAGCTGGCAGGCCAGCAGAATGGTGAGACCCATTAGGACAGAGAAGCCATGCCACAGGGGAGAAAGAAGTCTCCATAAACAGAAAAAGTAGAAGAAACCAGAAGGATCTAAAATAAGGTGACTCGATTTCCAGTTGGAGGGAAGGGGTGGTTTCTTCCAGCTCTAAACTTTATTGCAAGATCTTCTGAGACTAAAGCTCTGATCGCCTCACTGTTCTGGTGGGACACCATCAGTGGCTCCCTGTTACCTGCAGAATAAAGTACAGATGCCTTGATGTTGCATTCAAGGACTCTCAAAAGTGGCCCCATGCTGCCTTTCCAGGAAGACCTCACAGCCTCTCCCTCCTTCAATTTATACTTCAACTTGATGGTCTCACCATCTCTTTTCTGAACATTGATTTTTCCCTTCCTGTCCTCTTCCCAGAAACCAGCCTGAAGATGAGACCCCTTGCCCCACTGTGTAATGTCAGCAAAAGGGGTGATGTGGTGGAGGGTCCACACGCACCCCTCAGGAGAGTCAGAGGGTTAAAGATGAAGATGGAGAACAAAGAAATTCAGAGAACAAAGCCCCCAGTTCCATTTGGAGCATGGGAGGAGGTGACAGTGTATCTGAGTTTACTGGCCGGGTGGGACCTAGTGAGAGAGATGCTGGGACCAGGTTGAGAACATTACCTGGCCCCTTGTCAAAGCAAGTTAGTTGCTGGGTTTCAGAAATATCAACAAATCAAAGAAAATGTGCACTGAGAGTTTTGGGGTAGATGCATTCCAGTGCTTTTCTAACTAGATGGTATTTTAATAAATTTTTTATCCTATCTTTGTGAACTCAAATGATTGATGTTTCAATAAGCAATTTAAAGAGAGATCTTGTACCCATGATGCCAATGTTTTACATGCTGTTAAATAAAACCTATTAAAACCTTAAAGATTTTTCTTTAAAAATGAAACATTGCAGGAAGTCTATGAATATATGCTGGTTTCCTTGGGCATCCAATCCAGCAGGTGCATTAGGGGGCACATGAACCGTAAGAACCGCATAGCATTGGGTGTTTCTGGCTATCAGAGGACCTCCAGTAGGATCTTGAAAAATCCTTTCTACACACACACCCACATACACAATTATCACTGGTTACTCTAATTCCTGAAATGAATTCACACCTAGGCACACCGAAAAATTCCTAAGCGAGAGCCACCATGCTGGACTCAGAATGGTCCCTCGGCTGTGACCACAGGGGCTTTGCTATTGGGCCAAGCATGTAGGACTTTCTGCCCAATTGCCTTTCATTTCCCACCTCTGAGTGGGGCCTGGTGACCCTCTTCATCCTCTCCCATTGGACACTCTATCCCATGGGTGAGACAGGCCAACCAGAGTCGAATCCCAGTGGCAGGCATGGCTTCATTTCAAGTTGCATTTTAATGAGATGGAAAATAGTACCTATTTCTAAGAGAACTCTATATAAATTAGTTATTGATTTCCAAACACTTTGGAAGTGAAATGTGGGCTGCAGTGCCACACCAGGGCCTGAATAATTAACAGGCAAAACATAGGTACGAGCTGTTGCTGGTGCCACCCCTGACTCAGATGATGGGGAAACTCAGTCCCCACACTCAAGCACATGGGCATGTTGGAAAAGGGGTTAGCCGGGCGTGATGGCTCACACCTGTAATCCCAGCAATTTGGGAGGCCGAGGCGGGCGGATTGCTTGAGCTCAGGAGTTCAAAACCAGCATGGGCAACATGGCGAAACCTCATCTCTAGAAAAAATAGAAAAATTAGCTGGATGTGGTGATGTACACCTGTGGTCCCAGCTACTCGGGAGGCTGAGGCGGGAGGACCGATTAAGCCCAGGAGGTTGAGGCTGCAGTGAGCCATGATCACTTCACTGCACTCCAGCCTGGGCAACATAGTGAGACCTGTCTCAAAAAAAAAGAAAGGGAGTGGCTGTAGTGAGGCGTGGGGCCTCCAGCCAGTCTATGTGAGCTGGTTGGACTCCTCTGTGGTGCAAATCCACCCCTGCCGCGCCCCCCAGGAATGAGAAGGCCTCCAGGACACAGATGTCACCAGGAGGCCATCCTTGGAAAAATAAAAAATGGCAATTCTAAGCTGGCTGTGGGAGTAGAGGCAACTATAGATCCTCTTCTCTTTGGGAAGAAAAAGCATTATGATTTCTTTCTACATAATATGAAAGTAATAAATGCTCACTGTAGAAAATCTGGTAAATACAGAGAAGCAGAAAGAAGAAACAAGCATCCTAAACTCATCACCCAGAAACAATCAGCCTCCTTGCTATTTTCTTCTTGCATTATATTAGAATCCTGTGAGTTTTAAAATATGCATTTGCCATCAAAGTCTTCATATAATGTTGCACAGCATAGACTATTTGGTTTTTTGTTAATATTATAAGCAATTTCTCATGTTATTATAAGCTCTGTATAAACATAATTTTAAATAGCAACTTAGCACATTGCAATTCTACTATTTCCTCAACCACTTCTCAATTGTCGGACATTTAAGCTACAGACCATTTGATTTTGGCAATAATAAGAAGCAGTGAATGAATGAAATCTTCAGATGATGTGCTTAGAAATTGACATGTACTCCTACAGCTGGAGAGATCCCCTCTCTTCTCAGCCTCCAGGGGGTGCATTCACTGGGTCCACAGGGGTTTCCATGTGGCTCGGCTTCTGAAATCAAATATGGGCCCAGTAATGTCACAGGGGAGAGCTCACAAGCATTCACAAATTTGCCATTTTCTGTTCATTCATTCATTCATTCATTCATTCATTCTTTCACTCAGTAGACAATTATTGAACACAGCTATGCTCCAAGCAACACACAAGCACTAAGGATACGCCATGAATTCGAGAGAGAATGAAGAAAAGGCCTCTGCCTTCATGGAGTACAGCATCTAGTTGTCATTGAATGCGTAATTAGGAGAGAGGCGAGGCTGTGGAAGTGAATGATGAGGAGTGGGGAGTCAGGACGGGGATGGGGTGGACTAGAGGGCTCTTAACTAGTCCATGAGATTAGCAGAAGCCTACAGGGGAGCAGGAGTGGGATCTACCCAGGCAGAGCAGGGGCAGGTGCAGGGTCTGACTTGGGAGCGATGCCTGTGCCTCCTTAGGCCACCAGAAAGTCAGAGAGGCCGAGCACACCGAGGGGACTGGTCACACAAGGTCATGGGGGCTTTGAGTCAGCGATGGGGTGGGGATGTCCCTCCAGCAACAGGGCAGTGTGTGTGTGGGGAGGGTTGGTAGGGGGCAGGTGGGCAGGACACTCCCTCCCGTCCCTGTTCCAGGATCAGGTGGATGAGAACTGCGGAAAATGGGCCTGAGTGAGTGGCTGATGCATGATGCTGTCACTTCAAGGTATAATTAAAGAGATGTATGCTAATTTTTAACTTGGTTAAGGGATATTAACTCAGACAAATGAACCTCTCCTTTCCCAATAATTAGATATCCAAACAAACACACACTTTTCTCCCCAATTAAATGAATGGAAAATTTAAAACACACAGCCCAGTTCCAATATGCCCTATTTGTTACAAGTTTCCACTTCACTGCATTCTTTAACTTCACAAAAGCAAACTACCCTATAAAGGAGCATAATAAAATCATAACAGTAAAAATATCGTTTTGATTTTTGGAGAGCATAAAATGCTTATTTACAGTTGGAAAAAAAAGACACTTATGTTCAGCTAAAATGTCACGTTGTTTCTAAGAGAAGGTAGTTTAAAGGACTTAAGGGATGGTGGCATCCAGGTGGCATGTTTCAAAATTATATTTAATTTAAAGCAGTAATGCCTATTCCTTAGGTATATAAAGGATGGATCATATCAAGGAAAGTTAATTTTGTAAAAATTAAATTGCAAAATTAGTAAAAGAAGGGAGTGCAACTGACGAATTATACACTCTTTAGTGTGGGCCAATGATTCCCAGTGTGGCACATGTACTATGAGCAATGATTTGAGGCGATGTGAAGACAAATACCTTTTATTTTAATGTTAGCGGCTGCAGCATGTGTGTGCAGGTAGCTGGTTGGCCTTGACAAGGCAGACAGACTGTGAACAAGGTGGGCAATGCCCAGGCACCCCACACATTCCTGCAACTGTACCCCTGTAGTCCCTCTCCTCATATAGTTTTGGGGCTTGATAGAAATTCCCAACACTGGACTCACAGTGCTTGGCACCTGCCACCCCTCTGCTGTCCAGAACATGGTTCAGGGTGGGTAGGATCATAAGATGTCATAAAATACAGGACCAGTAGATGTACTTACATTTAAAAAGTGGGAAATTTAGGCCAGGCATGCTGGCGCACGGCTGTAATCCCAGTACTTTGGGAGGCCGAGGTGGGTGGATCATTTGAGGTCAGGAGTTCAAGACCAGCCTGGCCAACATGGTGAAACCTCGTCTGTACTAAAAATACAAAAATTAGCTAGGCATGGTGGTAGGCACCTGTAATCCCAGTTACTTGGGAGGCTGAGGCAGGAGAATTGCTTGAGCCCGGGAAGCAGAGGTTGAAGTGAGCTGATATCACACCATCACACTCCACCCTGGGCAACAGAGCAAGACTCTGTCTCAAAAATAAATAATAAATAAATATATAAATTTAAAAAGTGAGAAATTTAAACATTAGATATGTTTGCCATCAGTGCATGTGACATTGTTGCTGAGAGCCATAAGGATGATGGCATGTGTGTGTGTAAGTGGTGTCTTCTTGGAGAGGCACGTGGGATTTCCACTCAAAGTTGACACCATGGTAATGGGCAGAACCTTACCCATAAGCACAGCAAAGACCAAGTCCTGTTTTCCTCATTCTTTGCTCTCAAACTCCAGTGTTGGATACTGTTTGAATTAAGAAGCCAGAGGCACTGCCCAGGTGAATGTCCCATGTCTTCTTGTAGGCAAGTTCTAGCCAATGCAGAATTCCACATAGTCATGTGTGTGCTCCAGTAGGTCGTGGGGAATTGGAACACTGGGCAGGTGCAGGTCAGTGGGGCAGCAGAGAGCAGGGGCCCACCCTGGAGTCCACGTGGAATGAAACGGAGAGTTCAGCAGAAGCAGGAGTGTAGTGCCCCGAATGTCAGAGAAGGCTGCTCAGTCCTTCAAGTGGCTCCAGTTCTCTGAGATCCCAACAGCCACTACTCCATGGTGGGGTCACCTGAAAGGCCAGTGATTAGGTCATCCAGGGGGAGGGCAGGTGACTCGATGTGATGACTCAGAGTCAGACCACACGAGGAGGTCCCAACAGTGGAAGAGAGTCAGAGCTTCCTTCCCTGATGCCCAAGTCCGTGGGGAACTGCACATGTTATCACCAGTAGCCATGGTGACAAAACCCAACAGAAGCACAAAGCATCCTTGATGTAGAACTTTCTTTTTCTTTTGGTTTTTTATTTTTTCTAGAGATGGGGTCTCGCTCTGCCAGCCAGGCTGGAGTGCAATGGCGGGATCATGACTCATTGCAGCCTCTGACTCCTGGGCTCAAGCTATTCTCCTGCTTCAGCCTCCCAAGTAGCTGGAACTATAGGCACATGCCACCATGCCCAGCTCCTGATGTAGACTTTCATATTCTCTTTCACATAACCTTTCACAAAAATAACCTTTCAAGATAGAAGGTGGTATTATTCCCATTTCACAGATGAGGTAACTGAGGCTCAGAGAGGTTAAACGATATGTCTGAGGTCATCCAGAAGATAAAAGTGGAACATGGGGCTTCACCCTCACAAAGTTGGACTCCAGGCTTGTTCTCTGCTCCCCAGAAAGATTTGTCCAGTGAACAGAGTGATGGGAAGGGCCGGGAGACCTTGGTGCGTGAGCCATCAGGCAGCAGCTCTTGCACTTTCTTCACTTTTAGGTATACTTTGTTGGTGACCAGACACTGTCTCTCTTCTCTAGATAGGGCTGGATTGAGACAATGACAACACAACAACAACAGCAACAACCACTCCTCCTATCAAATCACACTTTGCAGGAGGCTAAGTAGCAAGGTGGACTTGGACCTCCGACACCCGGCTAGGATTCCTGTGTCTGCTTTTTACAAGGCTCCTTATCCAAGCGTCGGCTCCTGGCTTGCTTTATGGATGCACTAGAGTAACACTCTCCACCCCACAGTGCTGTGAGGGTCAAAGTTCTGACGTGCAAATACCTGGCACATAGGAGCTGCTCAGTAAAATGCTTCCTTATGTGATCTTTTTTTTTTTTTTTTTCAGATATGAGGATCTTGCTTTTTCCCAGGCTGGCCTGGAACTCCTGGGCTAGGAGTGATCCTCTTGTCTCAGGCCTCCGGAGTAGCTGGGACTGCAGGCATGCGTGATGGCGCCTGGCTACTTATCTGATGCTGAGGTCCACAAAGCCTCATCTGTCTCCCTTAAAATATTCCTTGAGGACTGGGCTGGACTTTGCTATCCTCTGTTTAACTGGCCATAGGCTGGAGTGACCCTGTCCTTTGAGATTAAATGGACATGAGCCCCCTATTTCCTGCCTAGGCTGTTTTTGCCACTCCCAAGGGGCTTCAGGGTTCTGAGTGAGCCACCGCATGGCCATCCTCTCCCCTCAGCTCCCAGCCCTCCCTGCCTCAGGGGTTGTACTCGGCCCCTTTTCTGGGTCTCTGTCCAGACCACTCACACAAGGCCAATCTACTCTAAGTCTGGCTGGGGATAAGGGGGTTGATGTCACGGGAAGCAGGAGCCATCTTTGTCCTTCAGAGCCCGAGGCCAAGGCGCCCTGGACCCGCCCCATTAGCCTCCTTGTCTCTCCTGTCTCTCCCTCCCCTGCCACTCGCCCTCAGGCTGTTCTCCTTTCCACATTTCCTGTGCAGCAGGGGTTCAGCGATTTCTTTGTTTTGCTGCCTGTTTCTAATCGGAGATCACGAACTGGTGGGCTCCAGGAAAGAGACGTGTGGCTCACAGGTGTGCCTTCTTTGGCCCATAGCATTTGAACATTTTTGAAATAGAGGCCAATTTTAACATTTGGTTCACTGCACATGAAAATCTGGAATTCTAGTTTCTTTTAAAAACTTGGACAATCTGGCAACACGGACTCCTTCCTGCAGGGGTCCGTGCAGAATTGTTCTGCCCCTTTGAAGTGGCCCACTCTGTCCACTTGTGACCTCTCTTCCACACTTGTGATCTCCTTATATGGTCTGACTCTGTGGTCCAGTTGGCAAGAGTGGGCCCCTTCAAAGCTGCAGAATGATTCCTGCAGGAAGGGGTCCGTGTCTGCCTGCCACCTCACAGCAGCCAGCTGGAGATCCCCCCTCTTCTGGCTGGCCCCCTGGCATTTGGGCCTCACCTTGCCCAACTCAAGAGGCTAATGAAAGTATTCTCCTAAGCAAAGTTTCTGATGACAGCTGTTAGTATCGATCAGTGGCCGATCAATCAATTGACTGATCTCTCTACCCACCTATTCTATCTTTCTAGCTCATCTGTCTTTGTAAAAGATACATTTGTGTTTATAGTGCTTGACACATTACCTGGCACAGAGTAGGTATTCAGTTAAGTATCTGTTAGACCAACTAACAAATATGTTACAGATGACGAAACTGAGGCCCCATTCCCTGCTTGTCATAAGGCTTCTAAGTGGGAGAGTCAGGCCCACATCCCAACCTCCTAGGGACTCTGTGGCTCTTTTTCACCTCCAGGTCAAGGTTGGGAGTGGAGCTTGCCCTGCCCACAGTAGCGCCCTCCGTACGTCCTCATGCTCTCCAACACATTGCAGTGCTGGTTTTGCCCATGTAACTCCTGGGAAGTTGGCAGCTTCCTGGTGCCCACTGGGCAGGCATCTCACTGTCCTCAAAGACCCTTCAAGTGGGGCACTTTGGGGAGACCTCAGTCTCCTCGGAAGGGTCCACATCCCCCTTGGTGCTTATCAGAAGGGTTCTGTTTCCTGACTGGTGCATCCTGGTCTTTTCCTGATCCTTGTTTCCATTGATTTATTCTAGAGTTTGGCCACAACAACAACTACCCCAACGTTGATGGGACATTCACTACAGGCCACAGGCTTCATAAGCACCCTCCCAGTTGACCTTGACTGCAGCCCTCTGAGGTGGGTGCTAGGGAGAGGTTAGGCAGGTGGTTTAATTCCACGGTGAGTCAGAGACAGAGCCAGGATGTCATCTTAACCTCGCCCTTAGCCTCTAGAAGAGGGCAAAGTATGGTCTAGATGCTAAATCGGGTCTGTTTCTTGTGCAGCCAGTAAGATAAGAATGGCTTTTACCTTTTTATATAGTGGGGAAAAGGCAGAAGAAGAATATTGCACAATACATTACAATTATATGACTTTCACATTTCAGTGTCCGTAAGGAAAGTTTTCTTAGAATACAGCCATGACTACTTGTTTATGTATTGTCTTTGGATAATTTTGAGCAAAATCAGCTGGGTGGAGTAGGTGCACAAAACTGAGACTGTATGGCCCACCAAGACTGAACTATTAACCATTTAACTCTTTGTAGGAAAAGCTTGCCGACCCCTGCTCTAGACAGGCTGGGGCCCCAGCATCCAGGCTGTGGGGGTATAGAACCAGAGGCTCTCCAGAGACTTTCTGGAAAGGAGCTGTTGGCCTGAAATCCAGGAGCAGGCTAAGCCTGGGGAGGCTGGGCTGGGATCTGCATGGTTCCTGGGAAAGAGGGGGATTGGCTGTGGAGATGAGAATGTGGAAAGTATTATAGCACAAGCAGGTGCTGTGTGTTTCACCACTTGTCCTTGGCCAGCAGTCTCTCAATCGACCCAAAAACACTTATTGAGCACCAACTGTGTACAAGGCCTTGACCTAGACCACACTGCGGCAAAAAGATCAATGAGTCAAGACAGTTGCCAACTTGCTCTGAGGCACAGGGTCAGGGCGTATCTCAGATGGGCAGGTTGTTCTGATGGTACAGCCAGCTCAGCACTAATTTGCATGCTTTGTGCTGGCACGGAATGCAAACCCTTATTTTAGTACATTATTAGTGGGAGAGGGAGTGAGAAAGAGAAGTAAATCAGAGGTTAAAGGGAAACCACACCCTATTTTCCTCACCTGCAAACACGTGAACACACAAACACACACACATCAGGAGTCATGTGGACGTGGAATTATAGTCATGTGTTGCTTAACAATGGGGATATATCCTGAGAAATGCATCATTAGGCAAAATGTTGACATTGTATGAACATCGTCAAGTGTGCTTATACAGACAGGTATAGCCTACTCCGCACATCGGCCATACGGTACAGCCTAGTGCTCCTAGGCTATGTGAAACCCGAAAATGTGAGACAGGTCTCAGTGAGTTTAGAAAGTTTATTTTGCCAAGGTTGAGGATGTGCCTGTGACGCAGCCTCAGGACATCCTGGCGACATGTGCCCACGGTGGTCAGGGCACGGCTTGGTTTTATACATTTCGGGAGACATGAGACATCAATCAATATATGTAAGAAGTACACGGGTGTGTCTGGAAAGGTGGGACAACTTGAGGCAAAGGCAGGAAGACTCCAAGCGGGGAGGGAGCTTCCAGGTCACAGACAGGTGATACACAAATAGTTACCTTCTTTTGAGTTTCTGATTAGCCTTTCCAAAGGAGACAAATCAGATATGCATCTACCTCAGTGAGCAGAGCAGTGACTTGGAGTAGAATGGTAGGCAGGTTTGCCCTGAGCAGTTCCTGGCTGGGGTTTTCCTGAGTGATTTTGGGGGCCTGAGATATTTTCCTTTCACAGCTACAAACCTGGACGGCAAGTTACTGTACTGAATACTGTGGGCAACTGTAACACAATGGCAAGTATTTGCAATAGGAATTTTTCAGCCGTGTGAGAATCTCACGGGAGCACTGTCATGTACAAAGCCTGTTGTTGACTGAAACATCATTATGCAGTGCAATACTGTCATTGAATCCAGGAGTGGGAAGGACGTTAAATTATGTAGTATGGCGCTTAACAAACTTTAATGTGTGCACGAACCACCTGGAGAATCTTGTTATGCTGTGGCTTCTGAATGATAGGTGTGGGGTGGGCCTGAGATTGTGCATTTCCAGCAGGTCTCCAGGTGATCCTGACGCCACTGGTCCAAGGACCACAGTTGGAGTAAGCAGGCCCTAGCGCTGTGCTTCCCTAAGTGTGGTTTTGAAGCCAGCAGCAGCTGCAGCTTGTGGGGACTCATTAGAAATGCAAATACTCGGGCCCCATCGCAGACCCATGGAGCAGACTGTGGGGGTGTAGCCCTGCAATTTGGTATCAACAAACCCTGCAGGTGATTCGGAGGCATCTAGAGTTTCGGAACTGCTGCCCTAGTCTCTTCTATGTCCTTCCCTTGCCCCCGTCTCTTCCCCTCTGTTCAGAAGCCAGCTGGGCTTCCTGCCATTACTTGAGAGAATCATTAACCATTCTTTGATACCTAAATCCCTGAGGCCTCTCACCTGGAACAGGTGAGAGGGGGTTGTCTTCAGGAGAAGCAGCTCAATTATAAGCCAATGCCTGCAATCTGGAACTTCTGCCAGGGTAATTTTCCACTCAGGGGCTTGTTTTTGAAAGTACTGTTTGCTTTCTCTGTCCACAGTGTCTTAATATGCAGGTCCTGTCGCTCCCTCGGGAGGGAATCACGTGGGCCATGCTGGTGCACCCGTCTCAGTGGCACTGGCAGGCCTGCCTGGCCCGGGGAGCTGCACCCACCAGGGCCCTCCAGAGGCATCTCATAAGCCAGAATCTTATATTTAAGTCATGCCATTCCAAACCTGCCCTTCCCAATTTTGTGATTCTCTATTTAAATATTTTTGTGTGATGCAACAATAAGAGAGAGAAACAATTTTATCTTTAATGAAAGCACAAATTACATGTTTTGGAAAGTAGAAAATTGTTGCAGAGATAAAATGTTAGTTTCCTACGAATGTAGTAGCTAAAGCCTCTTACTATGGAGTGAGAAAGTGAACCTAAAACCTACTGAAGAGTGTATATTTGTACTGCTGATTCCTATTATAAGAATATAACATTTTTATTTTCATGAAAGGTTTTAATTTATAAATTTGACCTTGCATTAGCAAATGGAGCTTTGGGATTACGGAAGCCCGTATGTTGACTTCTGCCTCTTAAATAAATGAAGCTTTAAAAATGTCGACAGTAATACTAAAATAGAATGTAGTTAGATTTCACAGTGACTATAATTGTGATTACGATTAGATGACTGTAACGATACGAAAGACACATTATCTTTATAATTTATGATCCTCCTGGACCAAACTCAACATCTTAAAAATGCAACATTTCAGTACCATCTGGGAGATTTGCCCAACAAAATTATGGATAAACAAAGTCCTTTATTGACTCTCTGAGATCCAAGTGGAATCAATTATACATTATTGTTGTCTTTGTCGGCACTGCAAAGTGTAATACAGCTAAAGACCCACATTCCATAAATCATCTAAGTGTAATTTCCCCAGGGGCTAAGTTTTGTATGGAAACAAAGCATTGTTTGTATTTTCTGCTCAGATTTTTTTGATCATATTCATAGTGGGAGTCGATCCATTTTCCTCTGGCTCCCCAGTGAGCTTCGTGGGGCTTGCTGAGTTTGGTGTAAAGTGTTGCACTGGAGGTTTCACACCGGTGGGTGTCTGGAGAAGGGAGGTGGATTCGGCTGATTACAGTTAAAGCTACAGCTTTTCAATTCCATTATTTTCACTTTAGTACACCCTCAACATCAAAATGCTGAGAAGTTGGTACTTTGCAAGCTATGCTGCACAGTTATTTGGGATTATGACCTAAACCCAGCAGTGACAGATGCACTGAGCTGTACGTCCCTAAAGGAAAAATGACTCTATTTCAGAAATATGGGGAAAATACCCCCAGTAGGACCCAGGCCATAGGAGCCTAGAATATGCATTGTATCGTCCTGTGCATGTCTATCAGTGTTTATGAGGGAAGATACTCTGCATCTACAGTGTGCCTGCGTTTAAAACACAATCACAGGCCAGGCGTGGTGGCTCACACCTGTAATCCCAAGCACTCTGGGAGGCTGAGGCAGGCGGATCACCTGAGGTCAGGAGTTCGAGACCAACCTGGCCAACATGGTGAAACCCCATCTCTACTAACAATACAAAAATTAGCCGGGTGTGGTGGTGCACACCTGTAGTCCCAGCTACTCGGGAGGCTGAGACAGGAGAATCGTTTGAACCCGGGAAGCGGAGGTTGCAGTGAGCCGAGATCGCACCTCTGCATTTCAGCCTGGGTGACAAGAGTGAAACTCCTTCTCAAAAAAAATAAAAACAGAAATAAAACACAATCACAGCACTTATCTCAAAGGAAGAGGCAGCACCAAGGGGGAGACAGATGTTCCTGTTGAGCACAATCAGAGAAGAACGTGACTGCGACCAGGTGCAAGAACTCTGGTGAGTTCCTCCTCATCTTGCACTCTCTCAGAAGCTGTGCCTGTGGTTCGTTTGGCCTCAGGAAGAGGTGAGGAGCTGGTTGATCTGGGATGGCCATTTAATAGCCCTTGAAGCTACTCTTGTGTTGGTCTAGATTCGGTTGGGAGCTAGCTTCTTGGGTGGTCTTCTGCCTACCATCTTTTGACATCTTCTGCCTCCAGTCTTTAATATGTTCATTCTGCCAACTTCCTGAGCCTCCAGTAAGAGCCCATGCTGGGCTCACCACAGGGCTGTCACTGTCTACAGCTGGCCAGGCCTTAGAAACAGTGGACAAGTTCATGGTAAGAGACCCCATGAGGATGCGGAGATTCTCCACTGATGGGACCCAGAGGCTTGAGGGGTGAGAAGACAGGAGTTAGACAAGTGGGGGAAGGAGTGGATGAGGCTTATGCCAGGCCTGGATTTGGGAGTTCAGAAGGAAACTGTGGAAGATTGAGGGTCTGAGGGTGAAAAGAAGAACTCTGGAACCAAAGCCTGGGATGTTGGCAGGAAGAGATCAGGTAGGGCCTTAGAAATCCTTATGGGATTCCACCTTTATCCTGAGATGCTGGGGAACCTCTATGGGTTTATTTCAAATGCAGCAGCAATGAAGTCAGGTTTGCAATCTAGAATTCTCCCTCTAGCTGCAGTGCAGAGAATGGGTGGGGTGGGGGAGCAATTAGGAAGTAGCCATCACCATCACTGTCCAAGAGAGAGGCTGATGACTTCAACAGGCAGTTCCAATAGAAAGGAAGATTCCAGACACGTGAGTGCATGTTTGTGATATTTGACTTAAATGAGATTCTCAAGTGTAGGTATGCGCTTTGAAGGGATGTGGGGCCAATGCTGGAATCTGTGTTTTCCCAACACGGGCAGTCCTTCACCTTTCCTTCCTGAACGTGTCCTCCTTTCCTGCAGTGATTTTGGATGGTGCTGACTGGCCATGCCAGCCTTGGTGCTACAAGGCACATCCCTATCTTCTCAAGGTTACCATCTCAGCCATCAGCATCTCCTTGCTCCTTTTGCAAGGGCAGACACCAGGACCCCTGCCCTCTATGGGCTGATGGGAGTAAGAGGAAAGGTTTCTGCATCCCCAGAGTATGGCTCCAACAGGGTGTCGGTCTTTCCCTTCAGGACCTCAGACACTTCTGTCTGCCCTGGACCTGTATGGTCAACCAGGTGAGTGAGACTCTCTCCATGGGCACCCCAGAGCCTGCTGGTGGCCCAGAATGGTACCTCGTCCCTTGGGAGGCTGCCTCCAGTCTGGTTCTTCCAGTCTGAAGTCACTGTGCTTAGACAAGGGAACAGCTTTTTCTCTGGGGGAAGGACACTGCATCCATGTGGTGTTGCCTCATCACGTGAGAGAAAACGGCAAGGAGGAAGGACTCACTGCCCACAATCCAGGAGAAAGCCACTGTTGGGAGTGAGTGCCTGGAGAAGAGGCTGTTCCTGAGTCCTGAATGAATTCCACAGCTCAGAGGTGTGTGTGTGTGTGTGTGTGTGTGTGTGTGAGAGAGATATGTCAATATTTTAAGACCAAGAATATCCAGAATTGTTTTTTGGCTCATAGAAAGCATCCAGTAAGTGTTTGTTATTATTTTTATTATATGCTTCTTATCAATAGTAATATTGTTAGGCCCATAATAGATGCCCAACACATATTTGCTAAACATTTGAGCATTAGGCAAAGGAGACTTGTGCTCATTGATATAAATTTGTGACTTAATAATTTACTTTGGAGCAAGAAAGCATTTTACTTAGGGATTTTTCTCTTGGTGAAGTGCTATATTCTAGTAAAGATTTTAATATTCTTCCAGCTTGTCAAATAAGATAGTTATAGGGAATCATGGATGCTTGATTCTCTGCCCTATGATAGGTGAGGCTGACACCTGAAGGAAAATGAGCTCTCGCTCTCTTTTTTTCTCTCCCCCACCCTCTTCTACCATGTGGAAGATTTATAGATAATGAAGCCATTCTCTGATACTGAGAAATTCTGAAGCCCAAGAAAGGGCTTTGCAAGAAACAAAAAGTCTGACTGCCAAGGAACTCCTTTACTGAATGGCAATCCAATATTGTACCCTCAACTTTTACCAGGTATCACTGTGAAAAACATTCCCAGGAAGAAGGTCTTTGTTCCTTCCAAAATGGCCCCAAATACATCATTCATTAGGAAATTCCCAGTCTCCTGTGTGTATCCACAGGACAAATTTCTCTGTGTATAGAGGGTTAAAGTTTCTTTTTCAAAGAACTGTTAAGCTTCCTCTTAACACTTGAAGTGTTAAGTTTACTAAACACTAAAAACTATGTAAACTCTGGCTTTCCCTATTTACTAGGTATTCAGGAAGCTCAGAACTATGGTGAACTGCAATAGTGCCTCACCAATAATTAGCATTAGCATCATATTTCTGACATATTAGCAAGTGATTTTGTGTACGGCTTCTAATTGAATTCTTACAGCATTGCTGCAAGAACAGTGCTATTATTATCCTCATTTTACAGATGGGAAATAAAGGCTTAGATGAATTTATTCACTTGTGTAATATTCCACAGCTGGTGAGAGTTAACATTGACCAAGAATCTGGGAATCATGCTCTCTTCCTTTCTCTGCTTGGCTTCTCTATGCTGGTAGCTCCAGAGATGCTGGGGCAGAGTGGGGTGTCCTTAATAACTAAGAACAGAATATTAAAAATTAAATCCAATCTATCCTGCGCTGTCATAGGAACTCTGCTTGGAAACATTGTTTAAAATATATACTGCTAAAGAACCATGGGGTGGAGAAGAAAGAAAAAAGTAAAAAAAAAAATAAAATATACACTGAAATCTTTCAATTCATCACATATTTACATAAATGCAGCTTCCTGCTAAAGGTTTATAGGTTCCATGTGAAGACTATTTCTGAAAGTTAGCAACTCCGAATAATTCTTACCCCATTAAGAATGTATATTCTGAGATCCAGATTGAATAAATGAGGGAGATCTAAGTGTTTTACTCCATATGCTGGGGGAGATGTGCATTTCATTCAATTTGATAGGTAGTAATAGAGGCCCTGCTACATATGGAGTTAAGCAGGAAACACACAATGACTGATCTATGACCTATGCATGTATCTTACACAATTTAATACAGGTAGCAAGAGAAATACCCAACTCACTACTAGGTGAGGCAGATAATGAGAAGTGCTCTCAGTGGGGAAGGGGAAGGAAGTGAGGGCCACATAGGTGGTCTCTCATTAGAACTCATGGGAACACTTCCAGGTGGGCCTGCTTTATATACAGGATATCTAAGGAACTTACTCAAGCTCACATAGTGAACACAGATCACGAATAGGATTCAAACTCTTTTGGGAAGGTCCTGGCACTTTCCAGGACACCATGAGCCTCCAAATACTTCTGTGGTTTTGTCAAGAAGCTACCAGGTGTTAACACATGTAGAAAAGCAGGTGTGGACACACAGAGAATGGGGGGATTGCAAAATTGTCTCTCTGAAGGGAGTCACATGGTCTCATTTTGAAGGATGATCAGCTTTCCACAGACTCAGTGGTGAGGTAGCATTTTTGCAGACAGAACAGCAGAAGCAAGAGGTTGCGACGGGAAAGCCTGGGATGCTGCTAGGAAGTGATACCTAATAATAGGAAATGAGGCAGAACACGCAGTTCTATGCCCTGGGGTGGAGCCATAAGGACACGTGCACTGGAATCAAACCAGCATGAGTCTGCATCCTGGTTCTGACTTTAGTTAACACTGTGACTGGGTGGTAAGAACCATGACAAGAAAGCATTTATTACAGTACTGCCTAGCACATAGTGAGTGCTCAGTAGCTCAGTAAACAGTAGCCACGTGGTACTAGGCACTTGTCAAGTAAAGGGGAGCATTTCAGGGTTCTGGGAGCAGGAAACGACTTGATGTATGCTACTAGGCTTCTAGGTTTCAGAAACCTATGTGTTCTGACCCTTGAGAGAGCTAACTCTTCTTTTTAAAAAAGCGCTCTTTGTCTTGGTTTGTTTAGTGCTGCTATAACAGAATCCCACAGATGAGTAATTTATTATGAATAGAAATTCATTGGCTTATGGTTCTCAAGGCTGGGAAGTACAAGTTCAAGGGGCTAGCATCTGGTGAGTGTCTTCTAGCTGCCTCACAGCATGGCAGAAGGGCAAAGAGAGGGCAAAAGACAAAGAAGGGGCCAGACTCATCCTTTTATAAGGAACCCACTGCTGCAGTTACAACATTAATCCATTCACTAGGGCAGTGTCCCCATAACCCAAACATTAGGACCTATCTCCCCACATGTTGGGGATCAAGTTTCATTAGGACCTACCTCCCCACACATTGGGGATCAATTTTCCAACACATGAACTTTGGGGAACACATTCAAACTATAGCACTATTAGTCTTTTTTTTCTTATAAAGCTTCATTCTTGTTCACAATCATTGAGAGATGGCCATAGCACAGTGAAAAAATGGTAAATGATGTCTAATTTTTTTTGTGATTGTTGACTATCTCCAAATTGGTGTTTTGTCAACATTTCAAAATAAAAAGCAGGCAGAAATTGCTGAGTTAAAAAAATGGTTTTGAATATTAGCTTATCTAAAGAGGGCTTACATGTTAGAATCATGATGGTTGCAGACTCCCCTTAGCTTCCTTTGGGGAGTAGCAGTTCTGTTATTGTAACTAAGAATGCTCACATTCTCCGGAATGTCCTACATCTCTCTCCACTTAGCATGATTATAACTAATAATTAGAACAACTGTTTCCTTCCTCCCAAGTTTTTATTTGACTTCATAAAACTAAGAGAAAGGGGGAGCAAAAGGGCCATGATTCATAATTCTTTCAAAAATTTATCTTTTTAATGGACAAATAATAATTACATATATTCATGGGTTACATAGTGATGTTTTGATACATCTAGTGTATAGTGATTAGATCAGGGAAATTAGCATATCTATCATGTGAAACATTTATCGTTTCTTTGTGTTAGGAATGTTCAAAATCCTTCTCACCATTTGAAACTATAAGATATATTGTTGCTAACTATAAAATATATTATTGTCATACTGCAGCAGTAGAGAACACTAGAACTTATTCCTCCTATCTAGCTGCAGTTTTATATCCTTCAATATAATTCTCTCTATACACCCCTTCCTTCCCACCCTTTTCAGCCTCTAGTATTCTCTGTTCTACTTTTTACTTCTATGAGATCAACTTTTTAAAGGTTCCACGTATGAGTGAAAACATGCAGTGTTTATCTTTCTGTTCCTGGCTTATTTCACTTAATATAATGTCCTACGGTTCCATCCATGTTGCTGCAAATGATAGGATTTTATTTTTTTTAATGACTGAATAGTAACTCATTATGTATATGTACCACAATTACTTTATCCATTCATTTGTTGTTAGACACCTGGGTTGATCTAATATCTTGGCTATTGTGAAGAGTGCTGTAATAAATATGGGAGTGCAGATGTGTCACTGATATAATGATTGCCTTTCCTTTGGATAAATTTCCAGTAGTGAAATTGCTGGATTATGTGGCAGTTCTATTTGTAGCTTTTTGAGGAAACTCCATACTGTTCTCCATAGTTGCTATACTAGTTTACAGCTGCACTAACAGAGTATGAGAGTTCCCTTTTCTCCACATCCTCATGAATATTTGTTATTTTTTGTTTTTTTGATAATTGCCGTCCTAACTGGCGTGAGATGATACCTGATTGTGGTTTTGTTTTGGATTTCCCTGGTGATTAGTGGCACTGAACATATTTTCATGTATTTGTTAGCCATTTGTATATCTTCTTTTGAGAAATACCTGTTCAGATCATTTGCCCGTTTTTAAATCAGATTGTTTGATTTTATGCTGTTGAGATGTTTGAGTTCCTTCTATTTTCTTAATATTAATCCCCTGTTGGATGAATAGTTTTCAAATAGTTTCTCTATTCTGTAGGTTGTCTTTTCACTCTGTTGATTGGTTCCTTTGCTGCTCAGAAGCTTTTTAGTTTGATATATTCCCATTTATTTATGTTTGCTTTTGTTGCCTCTGCTTTTAAGGTCTTATTTATAATATCTTTTCTCAGACCAATCTCTTGAAGCATTTCTCCTATGTTTTATTCTAGTAGTTTTATCATTTTGGGTCTTACATCTAGGTCTTTGATCAACTTTGAGTTGATTTTTGTACAGGGTGAGAGGTGGGCATCTAGTTTAATTCTTCTGCATATGGATGTCTAGTTTTCACAGTACAATTTGTTGAAGAGGCTGTCCTTTCTCCAATGAGTGTTCTTGGAAACTTTGCCAAAAATCTGTTGGCTGTAGATATGTGGATTAACTTCTGGGTTCTTTATTCTTTTCCATTTGTCTAGGTGTATGTTTTTATGCCAGTACTATGCTGTGCTTGTTACTACTACAGTTTTGTAGTGTATTTTGAGGTCTGGGAGTGTGATACCTCTAGCTTTATTCTTTTTGTTCAGGTTTGGTTTGGCTATTTGGGGTCTTTGTGGTTCCATACAAATTTTAGGACTTTTTTTCCCCATTTCTGTGAAGAATAGCATTGGTATTTTGATAGGATTTGCATTGAATCTGTAGATTGCTTTGGGTAGTATTGTCATTTTAACACTGTTCATTCTTCCAATCTGTGAGTATTGGATGTCCTTCCACCTGTTTGTGTCCTCTTCAATTTTTTAAATCAGTGTTTTGTCATCTTTCTTGTAGAAGTTATTCACCTCCTTGGTTAAATTTTTTCCTAGGTATTTTATTTTATTTTTTGTAGCTATTGTAAATGAGATTGCTTTCCTGATTTCTTTTTTCAGCTAGTTTGTTTTTCATGTATAGAAATGTTACTGATTTTGTTAGTTAATTTTGCATCCTGCAGCTTTATTGAATTTGTTTATCAGTTCTAAGTGTTTTCTTGGTAGAGTCTTTAGGTTTTTTATGTATAAGATTGTATTATATTCTTGGCAAACAGGGACAATTCGATTTCCTCCTTGCCATTTTGGATGTTCTTTATTTCTTTCTCTTGCCTAATTGCTCTGGCTAGAACATCCAGTACTATATTGAATAATAGTGATGAAAGTGGGCATCCTTGACTTATTCCAGTTCTTATAAAAGCTTTTCTCCATCAGTAAGATGTTAGCTGTGTGTTTGTCATACTTGGATTTTATTATGTTGAGTCACTTTTCTTCTAAACCTAATTTATCAAGTTTTTTTTAATCATGAAAGGATGTTGAATTTTAACAAAATATTTTCTGTATCTATTGAGATGATCATATGGTTTTGTTCTTTATTCTATTAATGTGATGTATATATTCCATTAATGATTTGCACATGTTGAGCCATTCGTGCATTCCTGGAATAAATACCATTTTGTCCTGGTGTGTTATCTTTTTGATGTGTTGTTGGATTTGGTTTTCTAGTATTTTGTTTAGGATTTTTGTGTTTATGTTCATTAGGGATATTGGCCTGTAGTTTTCTTTATTTGTTATGCCCTTGTCTGATTTTGGTATTATACTGACCTCATAGAATGAGTTAGGAAGAATTCCCTCTGTTTCAATATTTTGGAATTGTTTGAGAATAATTGGTATTAATTCTTTAAGGGTTTGATAGAAATCAGTGATGGATCTGTCGATCCTGAACTTTTCTTTGTTGTAAGACTTTTTGTTACTGATTCAATTTCATTACTTGTTATTGGTCTTTTCAGGTTTTCTGTTTCTTCTTGGTTCAATCTTGGTGGGTTGTATGTGTCCAGGAATTTATTTATTTCCTCTAGGTTTTCAAATTTATTGGCATACGGTTGTTCATAGTAATCACTAATGATCCTTTGTATTTCTGTGGTATCCATTGTGTTAACTCCTTTTTCATTTCTGATTTCATTTATTTGGATTTCCTCCGGTCTTCTCAGTCTAGATAATGATTTGCCAATTTTGCTTATCTTTTTAAAAAACCAACTTTTCGTTTGGTTGATCTATTGTATTTTTGAGTCTCAATTTCATTTATTTCTGCTCTGATTTGTATTATTTCTTTCCTTTTATTAATTTTGAATTTCATTTGTTCTTGCTTTCCTAGTGTTTATTAATTTTGAGTTTGGATGGTTCTTCCTTTTCTACCTAGTTCCTTGAGATGCATCATTAGATTGTTTATTTGAAATCTCTCTGGTTTTTTTATGTAAATTGCTGTAAACTTGCCTCTTAATACTGGTTTTGCTCTGTCCTATAGGTTTTTGTATGTTGTGTTTCTATTTTGTCTTGAGGAATTTTAAAAATTTATTCTTAATTTCGTTCTTCACCCATTAGTCAGTCAGGAGCCTGTTGTTTAATTTCTATGAAATTGTTTAGTTTTAAAACTTCTCTTGTTATTGATGTCTAGTTTTATTCCATTGGGGTCAGATAAGATACTTGATATGATATAATTTTTAAAAATATTTTGACACTTGTTTTGTGTTCTAACATATAGTCAATTCTGGAGAATGTTACATGTACTGATTAAAAAAATGTGTATTCTACAGCTGTTGGCTGAAATGTTCATAAATGTCTTTTAAGTCCATTTGGTCTATGGTGAAGTTCAAATTCAATGTTTTTTGTTGATTTTCTGTCAAGGCGATCTGTCTAATGCTGAGAGTGGGGTGTTAAAGTCCCCAATTCTTACTGTATTGGAGTCTGTCTCTCCCTTTAGATCTAATAATGTTTGCTTTATATATTTGGGTGCTTCATTGTTGGATGCATATGTATTTATAATTGTTATACTGTCTTGCTGAATTGATCTTTTTATTATTATATAGTGTCCTTCTTAGTCTCTTTTTAATAGCTTTTGACTTGAAGTCTGTTTTGTTTGTTATAAGCAGACCTACTTCTGCTTACTTTTGGTTTTTGTTTGCATGGAATATCTTTTCCAACCTTCACTTTCAGTCTATGTGTGTCTTTACAGGTGATGTGAATTTCTTGCAGGCAGCATATAGTTGGGTCCTTTAAAAATCCATTCAGCTAACCTATGTCATTCAAATAAGGAATTAAATCCATTTACATTCAAGGTTATTATTGATAGGTGAGAACTTACTCCTGTCATTTTATTGATTGTTCTCTGGTTGTTTTGTATATCCCTTGTTTCTTACTTCCTTTTCTATTTTTATTTTAAATTAAAATTACAATTAATTTTTGTTTTTGAGACACAGTTTCACTCTGTTGCCCAGGATGAAGTGCAGTGGTGTGATCTGAGCTTACTGCAACCTCTGCCTCCTGGGTTTAAGTGATTCTTGTGTCTCAGGCTCCTGATATCCTATTGTTTATTTTTGTGGCTGAGTGGCTTTCTGCAGTGACAGGTTTGATTTCTTTTTCTTGTGTATTGGCTCTACTGGTGAGTTTTTTAGTTTTGCATGTTTTCATGGTGATCATCATTGTCTTTTCACTTCCAGATGTAAGACTCCCTTCAACATTTCTTTTAAGGCCAGTCTGGTGGTAAAAAATTTCCTTGGTTTTTGCTTCTCTGTGGAATATTTTATTTGTCCTTCATTTTTGGAGGATAGATTTCTTGAGTATAACATTCTCGGCTGGCAGGTTTTTTTTTTTCATTTAGTATCCTAAATATATAATCCCATTCTATCCTGGCCTGTAAGGGTTTTGCTGAGAAATCTGATGTTAGTCTAATGGAATTCTCTTATATGTGATTGATATGTTTTCCTTGCTGCTGTTATAATTCTTTCTATCTTTTTGACTTTTGACAATTTGACTATAATGTGCCTCAGACAGACCCTGTCTGGGTTGTGTCTATTTGGAATTCGTTGAGCTTCCTAGACCTGGATATCCATATATCTCCCAAGACTTGGGAAGCTTTCTGCTATTATTTCATTAAATGTGTTTTTTCTTACCTTTTCCTTTTTCCTCTCCTTCTGCAATGACCATAATATGAATATTTGTTTGCTTAATGATGTCCCATAAATTCTGTCAGCTTTCTTTATAATTTTTTATTCTTTTCTTTTTGTCTGCCTGTGCTATTTCACAAGACCTGTCTTCAAGTTCAGAAATTCTTCTGCTTGGTCTCATCTGTTACTGAAGCTCTTGACTGTACTTTTAATTTTACTCATTGAATTCTTCAGCTCTAGAATTTCTGTTTTTATATCTATTGCTTTGTTGAATTTCTCATTCAAATCATGAATTGTGTTTCTGATTTCACTGAATTGTCTATGTTCCCTTTATCTTACTGTGTTTCCCTAGGATTATTATTTTGAATTCTTTTTCTGGCATTTCATATATTTCCTTGTGATTAGGGTCCATTGCTGGAGAATTATTGTTTTCCTTTGAAGGTGGCTTTTTTGTTGTTGCTTTTTCATGGTTAATGTGTCCCTGTGTTGACTTCTATGCTTCTAGTGGAAGAGTCACCTCTTCCAATTTTATAAGTGGGTTTTATAGGGAAAGATTTATTTGTCTGAATGGGTCTTGGGGTGTTAGTTTGCAGCAGTGCATTCACCTTTGTTCTAGGTGAACACAGTAGTGTAGTCTCTGTATAGTTTCTTCAATTGTAACACACATTAATGGTGTTTGCAAGTTTCTCAGTGGCTTAGGCTGATAGAGTTTGTAGGTGATGGTGATGTGGCTTTGCCAGAGATGGGCTCACCAGGCTGTTTCTCAGGTCAACAGGTCAAGAGTACATGTGTGCACATGATGGGTTGGCCAACTTAGGATCTGGCTCACTTGGGTTGGGAACACAGCCCTGTTACTCTGGCAGAAAGCATAGGCACAGAGTTACTTGGATGTCCTGGGTGTGTGTGTGTTTGTGTGTGTGTGTGTGTGTGTGTGTGTGTGTGTGTGTACCAGGAGTGGCTCATGGGCTGTTTCTCAGGTCTTGGATGCAAGCACACAGCTACTTGGCCAGCCTAAGGGCGTGTCTGCTACAGCTAGCCCATGGGGCTATTCTCAGGTTTGGGACATGGACACGTGGCTGCTTGGCTGGCCTGGGGACATGTCTGCTCATGGCAGGCACAGAGTGATTTCTCAGGCCAATGATAGGCACAGAGCACTTTCTCAGGCTCAGTATGCAGGTGCAGGGCTACTTGGCCAGCCTGCAGCATGTCCACCAGGGGTGAGCCATGGGGCTGTCTTTCAGGTCCTTACTGGGGGAACAGGGCCATTGGGCAGGCCACGTCTTGTCTGTTGTAGTGTAGCACTTTGGAGTTGTTTTGCAAATCCTGAGCATGGGGATATAACCAACCTCCTGGCTGTGGGGCATATCAGCTGCTCAGAGGCTCAGGGGCCTCTCCTGCTTGGGAGATAGCATGCAGTGGCTTGGCTGGCTCAAGAGCATGTTCTCTCTAGGTAGTACTGGCAGACTGTTCCTCTGGCTGGTAGTGTGGTGGTGGAGGTTGGTTCCCCTGCTTTGCAAAACCAGAGTCACAGCCAATCCTGGGCCCAAGCTCTGTGCAGCTAGGATTGTGGCATTCAGCTACTTGTGTGGGCTTGGTGGAATGAAGACAGAGCCCTAGTGCTCCAGAGGTGCACTGGCCTCCAGAGTAGGGTGTACCCTAAAAGTGGCTCTGGTCTCAAGATGGTGCTGTGCTATAGTTGCTTGGTTCACAGGAGTGGATTGGAGTGGGGAATGCATACCTTGTGCTCCTAATCTAGGGCAGTGTGGCTGTATGAATTCCCAGCAGCTCTCCAAAGTGGGTTTAAGGATTTTGAGGACCATGGAGATTCTTGTAAGCACTATAGGTATTTGTGGTGGCAAGGAGGGTTGGTGGGGATTTTCTACTTGCCTTTTCTCAGCAATGGGAAGGCCCTCCTGACCCCAGGCAAATCTGATCCAGGCAGAGGATATGGGGCTCCACGTTGCCCTCCTGAACTTCCAATCACCACGGGTGCATCTCTACTCCCCTGCTGTATGTCAGCACTCTCCCTTAGCTGTTTATTAATTGCCTTGGTTCTTGTTTGGGGTGGTGAATGCCAGGTGTCTCTAGTTAGCCATCTTTCTTCCATAATTCATAATCTGAAGCATTTTTTTTTGTTTTGGGGTCTTAGCACATTTGCACATTGATTTTGGTACAGTTGTAAATCCCTGCCTAGAGTAGGGCCAGGTTCATGAACATAGTCACCATGTCACTATGATTTATTGCATGTTTCCCAATTGCTAGGCATTGTGCTGAGGGCTTCATTTTCTCTACAGAAAGTGTAACAAATTTCAGAGCTACAGAGCTGAAGTTAGGCACCATGAGTTCAAATCCTTGCTCCTTCTTCCACTAACTCTTTTCTATAGAGATAAACTAATATGACAGGTGACTTCTATTGTGTAATCCACTGTGCCAGCTGTAGGTTAAATGCTTCCATACATCCCTTATTTGTGAAACACCTTCATCAAGTATGTGGCATTTTCATTTCCATTTTATAGAATAGCAGGGACTTAGAGCAATAAATAGCTTGTCCAGGGTTACACAGCTAAGCACACTGTTAGCTTTGTCTTGTATGAATTTGGAATCAATCTATTGCAAACAGGGCATGGACATTTGAATTAATAAATAAATAAAGGTCATTCCAGAAACATGTGTTTTTCTGATTCTTAAAAGTAAAGCCATAAAGATACATTTAAAAGTCATTAGATGTGTTGGATTTCAGAAAGCTCCAAAACGTCTTTCTACTCTTTGAACTCATCACAGAAATAGATATTTAGAAGAGTGTTAAAATTCGTGGAAAAATCCCTAGTTGATTTGTATTTAATGGGAAAGACATGTATGTGAGAGGAAATAAGAATTTTAACAAGTCCCCTGTGGAGAGCAGATCCGTCCATTATGTAACACAATTTGTCATTACTTCATGCTATGGTTCGAATGTCCCCTCCAAAACTCATGTTAAAATTTAATTGCCATTTTAACAGTATTAAGAGGTGGTACCCATAATGTAGAATCAGGGTGGATGTCCATTTTCTGGCCTGGTCTCATTGTCGCTTTTTGATAACTGCAGCTGCAATCTTGAGCCCCTCATGGTCCAGCTTCCCAATGTGGCCTGCTGGTCTTCTCAGGACTCTTCCCATCCCTTCTGTCTGGCTCCCTCCTCTTCCATCTCCCTGGGCAGAAAGGGGTAAAGAAGAGCTGCTCATTTAAGTCTCAGGGCCTTGGTCTGAGCCAGTCATCCTTTTCATTCTTGGTAGAATCCCCTTTTCTACCCTTTCTCTCAGGCCTATGGAAAGTTCCAGAACCAAGATTTTAATTTTAACAGTCTATTGAAATATAATTCACATACCACACAATTCACCCATTTAACATGGGCAATCCAATACCTTTAAGTATATTCACAATTTGTGCAACCATTACCACAATCGAAGAATATTTTTATTACTAATATTCTGATATTCGTAATGAGTTCATTGCTAATTTTAGAATATAACTAAAAGAAAACCTATGCCCCCAGCCATTACTGTCCTATCCCCAGTCCCTAGGCAGCCATGAGTCTACTTTCTCTCATTAGAGCTTTGTCTATTCTGGACATTTCATGTAAATAGAATCATATAATATGTTGCCCTTTGTGTTGGCCTCTTTCACTTAGCATGTGTTCAAGGTTCATCCACATTGTGCCATGTATCAGTACTTCTTTTTTATTGTCTGATATGCTGGATGTTTGGGTCATTTTTACTTTTTGGCTGTTGGTAATAAGGCTGCTTTGAACCTTCCTGTAGAAGTGCTCGGGTGGTCCTATGGTTTGATTGCTCTTTAGTATATGCCCAGAGGTGGAATTGCTGGAATACAGAGGCGTTCCAGGTTTAACTTGCCAAACTGTTTTCCATTTTCCATTCCCACCCAAATTTTTTTAAAAAAAGAAATTCCCGTGGGTATCGTATACACTTCATGAATGTTGACCTTAAGAGCAGTATGCTGGCAGGTGATACTGATATTTAACGGCTGAAATGTGGTATAGTGGAGCAAGATCTGGGTTCTTTGCCCAGTTCTGCTCTAACTGCCTCCAGGACTTGGAACAGATTACAGAAGTCCCTGAGTTCCAATGGCCTTATTCTCTTATGTTAAATCAGTGGGTTTTTAGTAGAATTTTTCTGTAAGGTCCTCCAGCTAAACTGTTTGCAACAAAAAAAAATTATTCAATTTTTAAAAAATTATTAAAATAGCACATAAATTGAGTAAAAAATTAAATAAGGGTTAATGATGAAAAATACATCTTCGTTTAATTCCCAGTCCCATCCCCATGCCCCAGAAGTCACCATTTTGTTATATATATGCTTTTCTATATATCCTTCTGGAATATAAGTTATAAATATATATGCACACATACACATTCCATAATATACTAAAAATAATAGATTTTATAGATTCCAAAATATATATTTTAATCTTATACATGTATATTTTAAATTTTTATTTCAAGATGACCATATTCTAAAACTGACCTCCACTTTGCTTTTCTTCAATTAATAATATTTTGGGGGCTCTTTTTATTTCAGCCACTTATTCTTTTTGATGAATGTATAGTACTCCATTATGTCTGTTTCATAATTTATTTAACCTTTCTTTTATTGATAGGAATGAAAATTTCTAGTTTTGTCATAATTACTTCAGTGTTTCAGTGACTATCCTTCTACAGTCATCTTTGCGGCTGTTGGTATATCTGTAGAATAACTTTAGGGGTTGATAAAGTTGATGGTGCTTGAATAGTCTGTCCTCATTGCCATCTCCATGGCACTTGGCAGAGCTCAACCCACCCCCATGGTAGTACTTTTGGACACTGCTTATTGCTTGGCAGGGCTCCATAAAAGCTGTACAATGAGAAGAGGTAATAGTTAGGGAGGGGTGGTGGGTGAGAGTCCCTATCAGAAGTCCTCCCCACTCACTTATGTCTCTTCTCTCCCTCCAGCCTACTTCAGACTGGCTTACCCAAGTTCCTCTCTGTCCTTTCCCCGTCCCTTGCCACGAAAGACATCCTGTCATTGATGTCATATGTATAGTGTCCATTGCTGTGCTCAGGTCCAACAGACTGAATGATAATTTATAATCCAAAAGCTAATGAGACTCCCTTCTTCAAGTTGGACTGGAATTAGATTATTTCCTGGAGGAGGCTAGTAGGAGACAGCAATAAATGGTGAATCAAACACCCTCGAGAGCTTAATATGCTCCAGATGGTGCATTAAACTCTGTGATAGATGAAAAGAGAAATAATTTGGGAGGTGGGGAAGACAGGTCCTTGTTCTCAAGAATCTTGACTCCTATACTAGAAGGGGAGATAAGAAAACTGTGTAAGTGAGAAATTACATAATAATGACCACACATAGTGTTAGCCAATAAATATGTTGGCAAATTAGCAAATGAACTTAACTGAGTAACAATATAAGGATTGTTAGAAGGTGGCACAGGATTACTGCCCAATGAGCACTCCAGCAAAGAAGAGGAAATAATGCATATAAGGTCCTTGGCACAAAGAATGCTTTTAATACAGTTCCCTATTGCTTATTATAGGATGTGGGTTTTTTAAGTGATGGTCTGGGAAAAAAAGTAATGTAGAAGTGGATTTCTCTTTTCTCTGTTTATATCTTTCAATTTTTGCTTCATATGTTTTAAAGCTTTGTTTATAAGTGCATGCATTTTTAAGGATTGTTATTTCTTCTCGATGAATTGTCTCCTTTATCATTTTAAAATATCCCTCTTTCAGGAGGGTAGATTGAGCCCAGGATTTTGAGATTACAGTAAACTATGATCCTACCACTGCACCCTAGCTGGGATGACATGCGTGAGACCTCGACTGAAAAAACATAGGTCCCTCTTTGTATCTGATTATCCTTGATTTGAAGTCTATTTTGTCCGATATTAATATAGCTATGCCATCTTTCTCATGCTTAAAGTATGCATGGAATTTTCCCTGCCATATTTTTACTTTCAATCTGTATATGTCTTCATATTTAAAGTTGTTTTCTTGTAAACGGTTTGTTGTTGAATCTTGCTTTCTAATCCAGTCTGACAATCCCTGCCTCTTAATTAGGGTATTTAGTTCATATATATTTAATGTACTTATTGATACTGTTGAGTTTAACATTCACAACCTCCATTTATTTGCTATTTGTTGACTCTTCTTTGTATTTTGGCTCTTCTATTTCTTTTCTTTTTTTTTTTGATGGAGTCTCACTCTGTCCCCCAGGGTGGAGTGCAGTGGTGCAATCTCGGCTCACTGCAACCTCCGCCTCCTGGGTTCAAGTGATTCTCTTGCCTCAGCCTCCCAAGTAGCTGGGACTACAGGTGTGTGCCACCACACCCAGCTAATTTTTGTATTTTGTTCAACTTTTCTATGGCATTAACTTAGTATTTTGTAGTATTTCATTCTATCTCCTTTATTGGCTCGTTAGTGATACCTCTATCTAGAAATGTGTTTTTCATGGTTGTTCTAGGAAATGATGTATGCAATCTTAATTTATCACACAGCTTCAGATATAAGCTGAATATAAAATGTTTTATGTTTTTATATAAACTGCTGTTATATAAATACATAAAACTGAGTAATTCAATTTATCTCTTATCCTTTGTGATAGTGTGGTAATATATTTTATTTCTATTTATGTTATAAATCTGATACTACAGTGTCTTAATTTTTGTTATAAACAGCGAATTAACTTTTAAATAATTTAAGAAAAATAAGTCCTTTATGCCAATACATATAATCAACACTTCCTGATAGTAGTCTGCATTTCTGCCTTTAGATATGAATTTCTATCTAGTTTCATTTTCCTTCAGTCTGAAAAACTTTAAGTATTTTTTGTTTTGTAGGTATGCTGTTGACAAAAATGACATTCTCATTTTTGATTCATCTGAAAAAGTCTTTATTTCACTTTCATTTTAGAAGGGTATTTCCACTGGATACAGAATTCCAGTTTGAGAGATTTTTTTTCTCTCAGCTCTTTTAAGATGTCATTTCAATGACATCTTTATTCTGGCCTCCATTATTTCTGGTAAGAATTCAGCTGTCATTCTTATCATTATTTCTTTGTGTGTAGTATGTATCTTTTTTTCTTCTTTCAAGATTTAAAAAATTTGCTTATGATTTTCAGCAGTTTGACTGCAATTTTGTCTAAGTGTAGTTTTTTCTGTATTCATCCTGTTTGGGGGCTACTGAACTTCTTGGATTAGGAAATTGCTATTTTTATAAATCAAAATCTGGACCATTTTCAGTTAATATTTTTCCAAAACATTTTTCAGCTCCTTTCTCTGCTTCTCTTCTTTAGAGATGTCAATTACAGGTATGTTAAATGGCATGGTACAGACCCAAAAGTCACTAAAGCTTTGGTCATGTTTTGCAATTTTGTTCCCTCTTTGTGCTTTAGGTTAGATGATTTTATTGACTTGCTTTATGTTACTGATAATTTTTTGTCTTCAGGCAGATCTACTTATTCCATCCAAAAATTTTTCAATAATATTATCCAACTGAAAAATTTTAGATACCGTATTTTTAATTCCAGAATTTCTTTCTTTCTTTTTTATACGTGCCATGTCATTCCTAAAATTCCCTACCTCTTCATCTGTTATGTAGTTCTTTTCCTATATACCAGTGGTACTCATCCAGGGACAATTTCCTTCCCCAAGGAACATTTAATAATGTCTGAAGACATTTTTTGGTTATCATATCTGAGAAAGTACTAACTAGGGGTGTATTAGTCTGTTCTCACGTTGCTGTGAAGAAATACCTGAGACTGGGTAATTTATAAAGGAAAAAAGTTTAATTGACTCACAGTTCTACATGGCTGGGGAGGCCACAGGAAACTTACAATCATGGAGAAAGGCACCTCTTCACAGGGTGGCAGGAGAGAGAATGAGTGCCAGCAGGGTACATGCCAGATGCTTATAAAACCATCAGATCTGTGAGAACTCAGTCACTATCCTGAGAACAGCATGGGGGGAACCATGCCCACAATTCAATTACCTCCACCTGGTCCTGTCCTTGATATGTGGGGATTATTACAATTCAAGGTGAGATTTGAGTGGGGACACAGAGCCAAACCATATCAAGGGGTAGAGACCAGGGATGCTGCTGAACATCTGCCAGGCACACGACAGCCCCTCGCATGTTAAAGAATTAGTAAGTCTAAAATATCAGTAGTGCCAAGGGTGAGAAATTCTTTTATAGATTCTTTAACGTATTTATCATAGCTATTTTGAAGTCATTTTCTGCTAATCTAACATCTGAGATTTTGTAGTTCTGTTTCTACTTACTGATTTTTTTCTTTTGACTATGAATTACATTTCTTATTTTTATTAATATTGGATATTGGCATTTTTATTAATATTTTTATTAATTTGTATTAATACATTTTAGAGAATCTGTATTCTGTGTTTCTCTAAAGAGTGCTGACTTTTGTTACAGTAAGTAGTTAGATTACTGATAAATCACTTTGAATTTCATAGGCTTGACTTAGGCTTTGTATGGGCTCGATTTTAGATACTGCTAGAGTGATGGATTTCAATTTTGCCGTTAGTCTTAGGACAAATATTTTAGTCCTGGGACATGAGCTTTACTTTCACGGTGTGGTCTTTCTGGTCTTTAACATAAACCCTCAAGTGATTACCAAGTCTTTCTAACTGGTGAGACTCAACTCCCAAACTCCATTTCCTTTGAGAGAGGCAGCTGCTGAAATCTCTGCTTAAGCTCCTTTTGGCTTTTTGTCGTTGCTTCCTTTCTGCTACTGATAGTCTCACTTCTTGCTAATGCAATTCAAGGCCAGCCAATGATTTGGAGGGGAGTTTTTTCTAGACACAGGGGTTCCCTTTTCTGTGCCTCCCTTCTTTGTTGGGTTTCCTCTTTAATTTTTAGTGACCCTAACAACCCCAAATTTCTCCTCTACCTCTTCTTACCAATAGTCTTACAGCTTTCTGCTTGAAATGTACCAGACTGTCGTTATGGAAAGTGGGAATGCTCTTGCAGGAAAGGCAATATAAACATGGGTTACACAAGTGCAATTCCTTTCTTTCAAGGGTTGAATTACCTAAAGTTTCTACCTAATTTTGGTTATTCTCCAATGCCTTCAAACATTGTAAAAATATTTTGTTCAATGTTTATAATTACTACATAAACATAAAGGTCAATCTGACCTAAGCTACGCTGTATTACTAGAAGGCAGCAGTCTCATCAGTTGATAGCTTTATTTTTTGCATTTTGTTTTGTCCCTGCTATGTTTCTGAATACTAATTTTGATTGTTTCCAATATGATTTTGAATTTATAAATGTTTTTATTTTTTTTCTCTTCCATGTTTTTCTTAGCTCTTCCAACTAGCTTATCTTCTTCTGATTTCTTGTAATATTATTCTGAATCTTTATATCTCTTTGATCTCCTTTATCAGAGAATCAGGTTGCCTGTGATATCTTTGAGATGAAGAAGTAGTCTTTCAATTTTCAGCAACCAAAACGTTAGTGGAGCTTTTATAAAGTCCTTAGTCATAGCCTCTCTGTTTTATCATCTGATAATGGCTGTATCTCTTTCCTCTTTTTTCCTGGCAATATACTTCAATTCAGATGCCATGTCCTCGATAATGAAAATTGTGTCTCACCATGGTTTCTCCTTAACATTGACCTCTTTTTGACTATTGATCAGTTTGCTTTTCTCATGCCCTACCCTATTCAAAAGATCTAATCAAAGGTTAATGAATGGAGTAGCCTCTCAGGACTGCAACAGTAACTTCCGTGGACATTTGTGAGTATCTTAAAGTTGAAGACATGCATTATCTCTTGTCCATCTTCCCCTTTTTAGACAGATTTTATGGTATTTTTCAGGTATGCATCATTTCATACTTTGGTGTTGTGGCTCTTTCCTTGTTCCTTTTAAGAAGATGTTTTCCCTCTATTTTTTTTCTTGATGTTGTTTGAGAGGGCTTTGAAAGGGATGAGAGAAGTAACTTTACACAACTGTCATTAATCACATAGTCCCTTTGCTTCTCATTTTAGGCAGTCATAAATTACTAAGTAAGGGCATAGGCAGTCTTGCTTTTGCATGGTCCTGATATGCACAAGTTTCAGTTACACAGTACTATGCTGTCTTTGTCTGTTTTGTGCTGCTATAACAGAATAGCACAGACTGGGCAATTTATAATGAAAAGAAATTAATTTCTCAAAATTTTGGAGGCTGAGAAGTCCAAGATCAAGGTGGTAGCATCTGGTATCTGTTGGGGCCATGTCCTCACATGGTAGAAGGTGGAAGGGCAAGCAGAGACCAAAGTTGTATCCTCACATGGCAGACGAGTGGAAAAGAGCAAAGCCACTCTGGCAATCCTTTTTAAAATCAGCATTAATCCATTCATGAGGGTAGAGCCCTCATGACCAAAATACCTCCCATTAAGCCCCACCTCTGAACACTGTTGCAATGGGGATTAAGTTCCAACACATGAATTTTGGGGGACACATTTAGACCATGACATAGGCAAAATGAGGACTGCCTATATGCATAATGTTCCAGAAAGTTTTAAAACATGAAAATGGGAATGTATTTCATATTTTCCCTAAGACATCTATATACATTTTGAGGCTTGATGGGAGCACAATAAAAGCGTTTCTTTCTCTTGGTACTTTTTGTTTTTTGTTTCCGAAAGCTGAGTGTAGGCTGAGGACAATGCGGGAGCTAAGGGTGCTCGCTAAGCGTGTTTAGAAAGGTTTGATGCGTGCGTCAGCTTTAGAAGTGGGAGTGATTAATATTTTATGTACCAATGTGGAACACTTCATATTATCAGAAAATAACTGGAGACTTTATAAGCTGTTTTAGCCAAAGCTTATCTATCACAGAAAAGAAAATAAAGAAACCCTGAGGAGGAGCAGAATTCAGAGATTCATCTTGATTGACTCTGCCATCTAGGTTCCATTTTTCCTGCTCTTCTCTCCCCCACAACCTGGGCTATGAGGGTGGACACAGACCCAGCTCCTCCACTCCCTGCTGGTGTGTGTGAATTTTTACTATAGCATTAGGGTGAACCAAGGGGAAGGTAGGAGATTCTTGTTACTTGTTAAAACCTCCTGCGTTATGATCTTTCCTCTCCAGCACAGGTTAAAGGCAGCTATCTTTGCTTAAGGAGAGAATTCACCAATGTGTTTGTCAAAAACAAATTGGCAATTTTCTACCCCGAATATGAAGATTCTGACAATTTTTTTGATTTTTTTTAAGTTTTAATTGACACGCAGTAATTGTGCATGCTTATGGGGCACAGAGTGATATTTCAATACATACAATGCATAATGATCAAATCAGGGTGATTGACATTCCCGTTGCCTCACATATTTATCATTTTTGTGTGTTCAAAATCATCTCTTCCAGTGATTTAAAAACATACAATAAATTATTGTTAACTATAATCACCCTACAGTGCTACAGAACACTAGAACTTACCCCTCCTGTCTAGCTGTAATTTTGTATCCTTTAACCAACATCTCCCTGTCCCCCCTACCCGCTACTCTTCCCAGCCTCTAAGAACCCCTATTCTACTGTCTAGTTTTGTGAGATCAACTTTTTTAGTTCCTACATATGAGTGAGAACATGCAGTATTTATCTTTCTGTGCCTGGCTTAATTTACTTAACATAATGTCCTCCAAGTTCATCCATGTTGCTGTGAGTGACAAGATTTCATTCTTTTTTATGACGAAATAGTATTCCATTCTATGGTGATTTTTGTTTTCCTTTGGATAAATGCCCACTAGGAGGATTGCTGGATTGTAGGGTAGTTCTACTTGTAGTTTTATGAGGTGCCTCCATACTGTTCTCCATAATGGCTATCCTAATTTTCATTCCTACTAATAGCGTATAAGAGTTTCCTTTTCTCTGCATCCTTGCCAGTGTTTTTATTTTTTGTATTTTTGATAATAGCCATTCTAACTGAGATGAGATGATATCTTGTGATTTTGATTAGCATTTCCATGATGACTAGTGATGTTGAACATTTTTTCATATATTTGGCCATTTGTATGTTGTCTTTTGAGAAATGTCAGTTCAAATCATTTGCCCATTTAAATTTTTTAATTTTTATGTATTTATTTCATTTTAATTTTTTATTTATTTTTGAGACAGAGTTTTGCTCTTGTTGCCCAGGCTGGACTGCAGTGGCGCAATCACTGCAACCTCTGCCTCCTGGATTCAAACGATTCTCCTGCCTCAGCCTCCTGAGTAGCTGGGATTACAGGCACACACCACCATACCCAGCTAATTTTTTGTATTTTTAGTAGAGACAGGGTTTCATCATGTTGGCCAGGCTGGTCTCGAACCCCTGAACTCAGGTGATCCACCCACCTTGCCTCCCAAAGTGCAGGGATTACAGGTGTGAGCCACTGCGCCCAGGCTATTTATTCATTTTTTTGAGACGGAGTCTCGCTCTGTTACCCAGGCTGGAGTGCAGTGGTGTCATTTTGGCTCACTGCAACCCCTGCCTCCTGGGTTCAAGCGATTCTTGTGCCTCAGCCACCTGAGTAGCTGGGATTACAGGTGCCCGCCACCAAGCCTGGCTAATTTGTGTGTGTGTGTGTGTGTGTGTGTGTGTGTGTGTGTATATATATATATATATATTTTTTTTTTTTTTTTTTTAGTAGAGACAGGGTTTCACCATGTTGGCCAGGCTAGTCTCAAACTACTGACCTCAGGTGATCTGCCCACCTCGGCCTCCTGAAGTGCTAGGATTACAGGCGTGAGCCACCATGCCTGGCCCCATTTGCCCATTTTTAAATTGTAGTATTATTATTTTTACTCTTGAGTTGTTTGAGTCTTTTGTATACTCTGGATATTAATCCTTGTTAGATGAATAGTTTGCAAATATTTTCGCCCACGTTGTCTCTTCACTCTGTTGATTGTTTCCTTTGCTGGACAGAAGGTTTTTAGTTTAATGTAGCCCCATTTGTCTATTTTGCTTTTGTGGTCTTGAGGTCTTACCTAGAACACACACTGGGGAAAAGACAGTGTCTTCAATAACGATGCTGGGAAATCTGAATATCTATGTGCAGAAGAATGAAGCTAGACCCCCAACTCTCACCATATATAAAAATCAACTCAAATAAATTAAGACTTAAGTGTAAGACTTGAAGCTATGAAACTACTAGAAGAAAACATGGGGGAATACTTCAGGATATTGGTCTGAGATTCTGACAGTTTTTAAAGTTAGTGTCTGTTTTTTGAACTATTAAACTTAATGAAAGAAATTTAGCTTTACTAGACAACATGTTTTAAATATCAAGTGAGTGTCATGGAAAGTTACAAGCAACATCTCCTGGTGGAGAATGGTGAGTGGTTAGAGAAGTCCTCAGGAAGACGTGGGATTGAATTAGCTTTGGCAGGATTCAACCATGTGAAGGAGGAGGAGAGGAAAGTGTGGGGAGATGGACAATTCTGTGGTCGTTGACAAGTGTCTGGTGTGCCTAGAGAGTTGGAAGATCTAAGGAGACATAGGGAACAAGTAAGGGAGCAAGTGAGTGCCACTGCTTACCGCAAGTTCATTCCCCATGCTTCTACCATCAGAGCCAGGGGTGCCATATTTTGTGTGTGTAAAGTTTAAAAATCATCCATTAATAACCATACATCCTGACATAAACCTTTATTTTAGCTTTTATCATGCCAAATTTCAAACATATACTGCTATGATAAGAATGTTCGTGTTCCCCTGAAATTCATGTGTTGAAATCCTAACACTGGCCAGGCATGGTGGTTCACGTCTGTAATCTTAGCACTTTGGGAGGTTGAGGTGGGTGGATCGCTTGAGTCCAGGAGTTCAAGACCAGCCTGGGCAACATGGCAATACTCAGTCTCTACAAAAAGTAAGCTGGGCATGGTGATGCGTGCCTGTAGTCTCAGCTACCCAGGAGGCCTGAGACAGGAGAATCGATTGAGCCTGGGAGGTCAAGGTTACAGTGAGCCATGATTGCGCCACTGCCCTGCAGCCTGAGTAACGCAGTGAGACCCTGTCTCATAATAATAATAATAATAATAATAATAAAATAGAAATTCTAACCTCCAAGGTGATGATATGAAGAACTGGGACCTTTGGGAAATGATTAGTGCTGAGAGTTGTGCCTTTACCAGACACTGAATGTCCTGTCACCTTGATCTTGGACTTCCCAAGCCTCCAGAATTGTGAGAAATAAATATTTGTTCTTCATAAGCCACTCAGTTTATGGTATTTTTGTTACAGCTGCCAGAATGGATTAAGACATATACAGAATAAATACAATGTTATATTGAACCTTCTTGTACTCATCACGCAGTTTCAACAATTAGGAACATTCAGTCATAATTTAAAAATTGATATCTTCACTCACTCTCCACACACTCAATTACTTTTTACTGTTTTTTGAGGTAATATTTACAAACAGTGGACCATACAAATCTTAGCTGTAATTTTGACAAAGGGATAAACCAATAATATGTCCCTATCATGATGTAGAGTATGTCCATCTCCCCCAGAAGATTCCCTTAGGCCCCTTCCCAGTGAATCCCTACCCCCACCCCTGCAAGCAATTGTTTTTCTGATTTATTTCTCACCTTAGATTACTTTTGCCTGTTCTAGAATTTAATTAAAATGGACTGATGTAACTTTTGTATCTGGCTTCTTTCTCTCAGCATAATGTATGTTAGATTCATCCACATTGTTTGATTCAGTAGTTGGTTCTTTTTTATTGCCAAATAGTATTGCATTATATGTAATATTTTATTACATAAATACATAATGTAATATATGTAATATGTTTGACTGTAATATATAGTTATGTTTTAGCTATATAATATAACATAATTATATAGCTAAATATATGCTATACTAACATTATATATAGCATATGTAATATATAGATAACATAATAATATATTAGATGTTAGATATATAAAATATGTATACATAGTATATATAATATAAAGTCATACATTACAAATATAGTTATTATGTTACTTGTTATATATAGCAATATATAATGATATATATACTTTGCTAATGTTTTAGGAATGCATATATGTGAGGGATATTAGTCTATAATATTTTTTCTTATGTTAGATTTTTAAATCAAAGTTATGCTTGTCTTATTAAATGAATTGAAAAGTTGTCCTTATTTCTCTATTTTCAGAGAGTCTGCGTAAGATTGGCATTATTTTGGCCTTAACATTTGCTAGAATTCACCAGTGAAGATATCTGGGGTGGCATTTACTTTTTTTTTTTTAATAACAAATTTAATTTTATATTTCATCTCATTCTAATTTTAATAAGTTGTGTTTGTCAAATCTGTTCATTTTTTCCAAGTTGTTCCATTTATTGACATAATTTATTTATAATTTTTTTATTGTTCTTTTGGTGTATGTAAGAATTACAGTGATATCACCTCCTTTGCTCCTGTTTCTAGAGATTGATTTCTCTTTTTTTCTTTCAATGGTCTTACTAGTGCTTAGTACCTTTTTCTTTATATTACAAAGAACCAATTTTTGACTTTATTTTCTTCATTGTCTGTGTTATCTTCTTTTTTCAGTTCTTTTTTAATTTTTTTACTTACTTTGGATTTACTCTTTTCTTCTTTTTCTAGATTTGTAAGATAAAATCTGAAATGATTTAAGTCTTGTGGTTTATTCTTTGAATGACAGGTTATTTAGAAGTTCATTATTTAATTTCCAGTACTTGAGACTTGTAAATTTCTAATTTACTTTTATTTTGGCCATAGTACATACTCTGTAAGATTTCTACTTTTTAATATTAATTGAGACTTGCTTTATGGCCCACCATATGGTCTATTTTCATGAATATTCCCTGTATATTTGCAAAGAATATGTGTTTCATAGCTATTAGCTGTGGTGTTCTGTAAATGTCACTTAGGCCAGGGGATTTTGTGTTGTCATTCAGATCTTCTATATTATTGCTAGGTTTTTTCTAATCGTTCTATCAATTACTTAAAGATGAGAATTAAAGTGTCCAAAACTCTGATTGTGACTCTATTTCTCTCTTTTCTTCAATCAGTTTTTGCTTCATGTATTTTGAAGCTCTATCTCTATTATTAGGCACACAATTGTAAACATATTATTCCTCCCTGATATGTTGACTTTTGTCATTATAAAATGCTCCTTTTTATCTTTGGTAATGCTTTTCATCTTAAAATCTATTTCATTGGATATTAGTATAACCAGTCCATCTTTGTTGTAATTAGTGTTTGTAGGGTATACCTTATTTTTATCTTTTCACACTCAACATATTTATGTCTTTGTATTAAAGTGTGTCCTGTGTAGACAGCCTGTACTTGAGTCTTAGTTTTTTATCCAGTCTGAGAAACCTCTGTTTTTTAAATTAGAACTTTTAGTCCATTTACGTTTAATATAATTAGGGGTAAGGTTGGATTTAGGTATGCAATTCTGCTATTTGTCTTCTGTTTGTTTCATTTGCTTTTTGTTTCTCTGTTTCTCCATTTCTACCTTCTCTTGGGTAAATACGATATTATTTTTGGTTCCTTTTAAGCCTTTTTGCTATGTCTATTTTAATTTTTTGTAGTAGTTTCTCCAGGGACGACATTTTGCATTTTGTGTCTTTAACTTATCACTATCAACTTAGACAATTTTTTGTTACTTCATATATAATGTGGAACATTATAATAGTAGCTTGATTCCACCAATCTACTCTACTGTTTTTGGAAGTTGAAAGTCACCCTCCTCTTTTTCAACTTAATTTAAAAATATTATCATACAGTAAACTTACTATTTTTCTTTTGCTGTATAGTTCTCTGAGTTTAAACACATGTGTATCTTCATTTAAACAGTACAATCAAGATACAGAACAGATTCCTTACCCTCCAAAATGCCCTCATCCTATCCTTCTGTAGTGACAACTTCCACTCACCTATCATTCCTGGCAGCCACTGACCTATTTTCCATAACTCTGGTTTTGTCTTTTTGAGAATTTCAAATAAATGGTCACATACAACATGTGAGCTTTTGAGGCTTGCTTCTCTCACTCAGTGTATTAGTCCATTTTCATGCTGCTGATAAAGACTTACCTGAGACTGGAAAGAAAAGGAGCTTTAATTTGACTTACAGTTCCATATGGCAGGGGAGGTCTCACAATCATGGCAGAGGGTGAAAGGCACTTCTTACATGGTGGCAGCAAGAGAGAATCAGGAAGAAGCAAAAGTGGAAAGCCCTGATAAACCCATCAGCTCTCATGAGACTTATTCACTATCACAAGAATAGCACAGGAAAGACCAGCGCCCCATGATTCAACTACCTCCCCCTGGGTCCCTTTCACAACACGTGGGAATTCTGGGAGCTACGATTCAAGTTGAGATTTGGGTGGGGGCACAGCCAAACCATATCACTCAGCATACTGTCTTTGCAATTCATCAGTGTTGTTCCATTTATCAATAATTTGCTTTAAAAAAAAATCTGCTGAGTGATAGGCCATTGTATGGTTGTATCACACTTTGTTTATCTATTTGCCTACTGCAAAACACTTAGATTGTTTCTAGCTTTTGGATGTCACACATAAAGCTACTATAAATATTTTTGTACAGATTTTTTTTTTTTTAAGACAGGTTCTCATTCTGTCACTCAGGCTGGAGTGCAGCGGTATGATCATAGCTCACTGTAACCTTGAATTCCTAGGCTCAAGTGATCCTCCCTCATCAGCTTTGAAGTAGCTAGGGCTATAGGCACGTGCCACCACACCTGGCTAAGTTTTTAAACATTTTTATTTTTTTGTAGATATGAAAAATGTTGCCCAGGCTGGCCTTGAACTCCCGCCCTCAAGTGATCCTCCCACTTTCGCCTCCCAAAGTGCTGGAATTACAGATGTGAGCCACCACACCTTTGTACAGATTTTTGTGTAACTGTGTGTTTTCTTTTTTTCCTAGGGCAAACACCTGGAAATGGGATTGCTGGGTCATATGGTAAGTCAATGTTTACCATTATAGGAAACTGCCAAACTGTTTTCCAGAGTGGCTATACCATTTTGTGTTCTTATCATCCATGCAGGAAAGATCCAGTTGCTCTGCATCCTTTCCAGTATTTGATGTTGTCAGTATTTTTAAAAATTTTGGTTATTCTGAGAGGTTTATAGCAGTATTTTATCATGATTTAATTTGTATTTCTCTAAGTTACCATCCTTATTTAGTATGTGGTGAAGTACCTATTCAAGTCCTTTTCCCGTTTTTGAAAAAATTGAGGGCCAAGTGTGATGGCTCATGCCTTTAGTTCCAGTACTTTGGAAAGCTGAGGTGGAAGGATCATTTGAGGCCAGGAGTTCAAGACAAGACTGGGCAACATAGTGACACCCTGTCTCTAAAACTATTTTTTTTTAATTGAGTTGTTTGATTTCTTCTTTTTTTCTGATTATTTTTTTCTTCCTACCCAGACAAGAGTTGTTTGATTTCTTATTGTTGAGGTTTGAGAGTTTTGTATATATTCCAGATGCAAATCCTTTGTTGAATATGTGATTTGTAAATGTTTTCTTCCAGTTTATAGCTTGTCTCTATTTTTTTGGCAATACCTTTGGATGACCACAAGTCTTTAATTTTAATAAAGTCCAATTTATCGATGTTTTTTAGTGAATCATGATTTTGGTGTCATTTCAAGAAAGTCTTTACCTAACCTCAGGTCTTGATGATTTTCCTCCTAGGTTTTAAATCTAATGGTTTTATAGTTTTGTATTTTTACATTTAAACCTCTGATTAATTTTGGGTTAACATTTATATAGGTCAAGATTTATTTATTTTGGCATACAGATGGCAGCTGTTCTAACATCATTTGTAGAATCATCTTTATTTTAAAAAATATAACTCATACTCTTGCTTTCTGAATAGAATACAATAGCTCAGCAAAAATACATGAAGTATATAGTTAACAAGTAAGTCTCCCTTTTACTACAGTGCACTAGATTCTTGGTTACCTACCTCCATAGATAACCACTGTTAGCAATTTCTAATGTATTCTTCCATTGAAATTCTATGCATATATAAGCATAGGCATATATATTTCCTTTTTAAATGCATGCACATACAGACACACACACACACACACACACACACACACACACACACAGATAATGGCTTATTGTACCCACAATTTATAGCCTGTCTATTCGCACTTAGTAATATATTGTTTTGGTGAACATTCTATATCAGTTCATGAACTGCCTCATTCTTTTAAATAGCTTGGTAATGTCCCATTGTATGACTGCCATAATTTACTCAACCAGTTGAGGCTGATGCATCCTTAGCCTGTTTGAATTCATTTCCTATTCAGTTGTATTCTTCTAATAATGATCTTATTCACAGGAAGTTCAGGTTCCTGTCAAACTCCAAAGCAATTCGTGACATCCCTCCTGTTTAGCAAGAGTGGCAGAGTACAGCAGGGCTGCTTTTTCTTCAAGGAAGAAGAAAGAGATTTTCTACAAGTGCAGAATTATCTTCAAATAAAATTCAGACCGACATACATCAAGAATGTCTCTTGTAATGAAATTTTCCTACCTGAGAAGAAGGCAGTGACCCTTATAGTATAGCTTAACAATGGGATTAAATGGTCTTATTTCTTTTCAAGAAATGTCCTGTTAAAGAAGTTATTTCTGACAAGCACTTCTCTTTCTGTCTTTCAACAGCAAGTGCTGCTCACATGCCAAGCAGAATTGTAAACTTGGACTTCAAGACCTTCCCAAAGTCACATATTTAGCTGTTATATCAGAGCCTGATGTAAGGAAGAAGTAGAGGATGTGGCCATCTCTTAGGTCTCACTGACCCCATGGCTGTTGGCAAGGCTGTTGGTTAGACATTTGCCAAAATTTGGGAAATATAAAAATGAGGAAGAAACATGACAAATTTGGGCATCTTGTCATTTTACCAGGGCCCACAAGAGCCTGAGACTAATATTTATAATGTGAGAAAAGATGCTGATGTCAAAGGCAGAAGGTGAAATCCTTCTTCGTCATCTGTGAAATGTGGTTACAGGGCAGGAAAGATGATCAGTTCTTCGTAAGTATTATCACCCCATGATGTAACTCTGATGAAACTCTTGTTTCCCTGAATTCTAAGTACTTGGCTCAGAGTGTTTTAAATCTTCAGAGCCAAGAGCTTCATAAAGGTGAATGAATATTGCTTTGTGTTTGGGCAGTGCCATAATTTTAAGTTAAGATCATACAATTCACATGACAGAAGCTTCTGGAAAGAAAATTCCTTGCTTTGATTAAGCTGGCTGGGTCATTAGGACTCCGTTATGCTCATAGCAGTTGGCCATGGTAGAATGAAAAACCATTGTGTTTATGACCTGAGAACTCTTTCAGCTAAATGGAAATGATGATATTAGTGTAGCGACACAATTATGCTATTTCATTCTGGGAGCAAATATGGAATTGGTCCCTAATGTGTTTTAATTGCTCATGCAACTTTATGGAATTTTAAAGTCTGTAGTAGTTATACACATTTCTTCCTGCGCAGATGGGCCTTTCTACCCCTTGCCTGGTTATTTGACTACTGTCTGAGGTACAGTTTCATTAGTCTATTCTGAATTCTTTGTCCTTCTGATAATTTGAAATTTTCTTTTCTGAAGGTTAGTGACAGATTCCAGATGCCAAGGGAATGAATAGCAGGTACCATGTATTATACACGTACTATATGCCAGGCTTTATTCTAGACACAACAAGAAATTAATAATTATATTTGCTAGCATCTATTGAACACTTGCATTGTGCTAAATACTGTTCTAAGTGCTTTACATAATAACATCATCCACTTAATCCTCATGAAAGCCCTATGAGGTAGGGACTGTTATTATCCCCATTTACAGACCAAGAGGACAGTGAAATGCAGCAAATGCCTAAAAATAACTCAGCTAGTTAATGATGGAAAAAAGGAGTGAATCCAGGCAGTCTGTTCTAGAGCTTGGGATGTTAGCCACAGTGACCTACTTCCCAGATAAGTGAAAGTTCGCACACAAAGCATTCTCTGGGCCCCATCCCTGGGCAAGTGCCTGAGCTGGCATGTCATTGAGTATGAAACCAGGTGTGCGCTGCAGTGCCAGACAGCATGGAGTGTGCAGTCATTCACTCCACAAATAATTGTTTAGCCTTACACCTATCTGGGGAAATTAAACACATACTCAGCTGTTGAAAATAACTAATTAAAGAGCACTACAAACTGTGTGTTATGGGAGATAGAAGGAGATAAGATGGCTTCTCATGGTTTTGTGGGTACAGGAAAGACCACATGTGGTAGACGAGAGTTGAGAAGAGCCTTGTAGGATGTATTAGACCAGGATGCCCTGGGGAGGGGAGGGAGGCAATTTCTACGTAAAGGGAGCGTCATGAGCCAGCCACTTGGATATGCTAGGTCTTGGTTTCTTTTTGTGAAAATCGCAGGCAAAATGAGAAAATTAAATGTGATGACCTCTAAGGTCAGTTGCATCTTTGAAATTCTGTGATTCTCTTGACCTAAGCTTTATGGGCCTTGATTAACAACCTGACTGTATACTCAAGAATTCAACAAGCAATTTATTTAATTGTATCCTAGCTATATTCACGCTGGAAAGCCATCTGCCAGCACTTACTTGCTAGAAGGAGTGGGCTCTCAGACTTTTCCTTTGCATGAATCCCTTCCCTGAGTCTAACTCATTTACTTTCCCTCACATCCACAAGACATTTTCAAAATTATGGAATCCTTTTACCTGGGCAAATAATTTAATATCTTCAAATGTCTATTAAATGTTCCACATATTAGACCATCAGTGTGATTAATTAATAAATGGACATTTAAAAATGTTTAATCTTCTTAACAAACCTTTGATTATCTATTAGTGATCAAAAACTATGTTAATAACAGGGAATATAGCTGTGAACAAATGAATCTCACTTCCTGGTGTCTTGGCGTTCGTATCTAGGGTTTTAACATTACTGTAGAATCAGAACGCATATGTCCATCTGGGTTTCCTACTTACAGGCGGTGTGACCCTGGGCAAGTTACTTAAATTCTCTGTGAGTCAGTTTCCTCATATGAAATGGAGGACATTTAGAGAACTAACCTTATAGAATTGCTCAGAGGAGTAATAAGTAATTTGGAAAGTGATTTATAAAGAGCTTGGGGAAATACCTAAAACAAGGGGTTTTAAGAAGACTTTGTTAAGTAAACAGATTATTGAAGTCCATCGACCATCACATGTTTTCTCTGCATATTGACATACCATAAGTTAACTGTTATTTTAAATACCACTAAAGTTTGTTCTTTAACTCAATCTATAATTTTTGCAGTGGTAGGACTTCTTGTTGAATCAACTCATGAATTGCTTTTCCAGAAAAAGAGTAAAGTCATAACAGGTGTAGAAATGGAGCTCTGCCATGTCCAACATTTTCCTCTTTAATCTATCCCACACTTCCACCTTCTAGCCAAGAACCATCCTTTCTTAGATGTTTTGCTTCCGTCACCAGCACTGTTTTGCTTTCTGGTATTATTTTCCCCAAATAAACAATATTTTTTTAAAAATCACCTCATGAGAGCTGCTGCCTGAGAAATGGCCTACTGGGAAGAAGAGAGTCTTATGGGTCTAAGAATCCCAGGCTTAGCATGCAGACCCTTAGTGTGTCAAAGCCTGAGCTGGGATTAGCCAGGTTTCCAGGCAAAGGAAATAGACTGTGCAAGGGCTTGGAAACAAGAGACAGCTTGAACATACAACTGCCCATGATGGAAAGAGAGGGACACGTGTGGGCTGAGGGAAGGAGGCACATGACCAAAGAGATGGCCAGATCATAGAGAGGTCTGCAAAGATTTGCCTTTGATGTGAAGATAGTGGAGGACCAGTGAGGAATTTTAAAGGGTTGTGTAGTGTAGAGTTTAATGATGCCCCAAAATAGGCCTGGCCTCAGCTTCCAGGAGGTCATCTCTAAGCCCTTGGAATGCCATGCCTGCTGCAAGTGTCTTTGTTTACCTGGGAGCCTCAGGCTAAGCCAGAGAGTACAATGTGATGTAGGCTGGGAGCTTTGAGCCACATGTTATCAGTCGACCTCCAGGGAGCTAGAGACTGAGATCACAGCTACATGGACAACCACTCATGCCTACACGATGGAGTCCCAGTAAGAACTCTGGACACTGAGACATGGGTCAGCATCCCTAACTGGCAATACTTTGTGTATATCTTCATCACACAGTGTGCATGTCCACAAGTCCACAGGGCGAGGACAACAGAAATTCCACACTTGAAGGGACTTTTCCTTCACTCTGCTCAGGATCCTCTTTCCTTGGCTGATTTTACTTTGTATCCTTTATCTGTAGTAAATGATAACCGTGAATGTAACAGTTTTCAGTGAGTTCTATGAGTTCTTCTAGAGAATTCTCAAACCTGAGGGTGGTTTTGGGAATCTCCTCAAACTTGCACTTGGTGTGAGAAGTGAGGACAATTTTGAAGACTGTTCTCTCCAGCTCTCAGTTGGCTACCTCTGTTGGGGTGGTTAAAATTTGCAGTGGATGACACTCATAAGGATAAACTTTAAATATTATAAATGTAATATTAAAATTTATTAAAATTTAAAATGTAAAATGAAATAAAAATCATCCATGACCCCAATTCTCTCTCTCCCTCATACACATGTGTGTGTATATATATACATGTATAATATTTATTAGATTTTTGTTTTAGTCCAGACACCCAGCTTATTTGCTAAGGCTTTACTGGGAAGTGCAATCCCAGGGCAACAACGGTGAGGGGAAAGGGAAGGAGGCAGGAAAAAACAAAAACCAAATATGATGTGGTACCTTATTGAGCTTTCAAGAACTTTGCAGGAACACTCAGCTGGCTGTCTTTTGACAGTTGGTTAGGGACTGGGAGGGAGGGATTCTTATCCAAGCCTCTTTCTGATCTTTTGCCTCTTATTGGTCAAATTTTGCCCTATGGTATATCGGCTTCCTGGCATTTCTGTGCTTTGTTGCCACCCTCTACAGGGAGCCATTGGTAAAACCAGCTCCCACCCCATGGCCCAGGGCTTCATCTGGGCCTGGGAGTGGTGGGCAGTTCCATGGCCTATATGGGTTTATTGATGGAGCAGTGGGGCCTGAGCCTGAGCCCAGCCTTTGCCTGGGGAGGCTGAGGCAGCAGGAAACTAGGTCATGGTGGCAGCAGCTGGGACTCCCATTGAGCAAGCAGCCAAGGCCCCTGAGGTGGGGGAATCAGGAATCTAAGCAAACTGGATCTACTGCAATTTTTTCCCAGTTAAATATGTGCTATTAATATGTTATTAAACATGTATCAGATTATAGCATAGATATGATTTTTAATGGCAATATAGTTTCTGATTGGCTATAAATTATGTGCTTAGTGCCACATTGCTAGACGTCTAAATTGTTTGCATTTTTTGGGGTATTCAATTCATTCTGATGAACATCATTATACACATTTTCTTTGGACCATATTTCCTTAAGATATGTTTCTAAAAGTAGAAAGGCTATGTCAGAAAGGAAAATCATGCTTTTGAAGTTAAATGAATTTTTGCATGTTGGACTTCTGAATGAATTTCTTGAGCACCTGATAGATTCTCTTGGCCTGCAATGCAGACTTGGTGCAGAGCTCTTCTGAGTAACAGGTGAAGGTGTTCCCAGCCAGCCAGGGACATCATGTCTCACAGCAAAGCCACTGATTGAAGAGGCAGGAGACCTGATTTGAAGTCATAAGCTAAAATGTCCACAGGATACCTGCAGATGCCAACCATGGGGATCTGGTGGGGGTAAGTCAGTGGATGTTGGGCCTGTGGAACAATAGAGGACATACATTTGAATGATTAGCCCACCAGAATTGAGATTGCTCAAGTTCAGATTTATAAGAAAACACAAACAGCCAAAGCAATGCCATGCAAAAAGGACAAAACTGGAGACATCACGTTACCTAACTTAAATTACACTACAAGGCTGTAGTAACCTAAACAGCATGGTACTGGCATTAAAATAGACACATGGGCCAATGGACCAGAATAAAGAACAACAGAAACAAATAGAAACAAAGCCATGTATCTTCAGCCAACCAATCTTTGACAAAGGTGACAAAAACACTATGGAAAGGACATCCTTTTTAACATATGCTGCTAGAAAAACTGGACAGCCATATTCAGAAGACTAAAACTGGACCCCTGTCTCTCAAAGTATACAAAAATCAATGCAAGATGGATTAAAGTCTTAAATGTAAGACCTGAAACTGTAAAAATACTAGAAGGAAACCTAGGGAAAACTCTGCTGGATATTGGTCTAGGCAAATAATTCATGATTAAGACCTCAAAAACACAAGCAACAAAACCAAAAATAGACAAATCAGACTTAATTATTAACTAAAAAGCTTCTGTACAGCAAAAGAAATAATCAACCAAGTGAACAGGCAACCCGCAGAATGGGAGAAAATATTGGCAAACTATGAAACTGACAGGGGACTAATATCCAGAATTTACAGGGAGCTCAAGCAACTCAACAAGCAGAACAAAACAAATAAACCCAATTAAAAACTGGGCAAAGGACGTGAATAGACATTTTTCAAAAGAAGATACACAAATGACCAACAAATATATGAAAAAATGCTTAACATCACTAATCATCAGAGAAATGAAAATTAAAACCACAATGAGATACCATCTTATAATAGAGTGGTTATTATTCAAAAATAAAAAAATGTCAGATGTTGGGGAGGATGCAGAGATGTTGGTGGGAATGTAAATTAGCACAACCTCTATGGAAAATAGTATGGAGGTTTCTCAAAGAACTAAAAACAGAACTACATTTGATTCAACAATCTCACTAGTGGGTATCTACCCAAAGGAAAAGAAATCGTTGTATCAAACAGATACCTGTATTCATGTGTTTATTGCAGCACTATTCACAATAGTAAAGATAAGAAATCAACCTAAGTGTATGTCAATGGATAATTAGATAAAGTATGGTACACAATGGAATACTACTCAGCCATAAAAATAATAAAATCATGTATTTTGCAGCAACATGGATAGAACTGGAGGCTATTATCTTAAGCAAAACAACTCAGAAACATAAAATTAAATACCACATATTCTCACTTATAAGTGGGAGCTAAGTGATGTCTACACATGGATACAGGCTGCGGAGTAATAGACACTGGAGACTCAGAAGGGTGGGGGTGGTGAGAGATGAGAAATTACTTAATGGGTATGAAGTACACTGTTTGGGTGATGGTTACACTAAAAGCTCAGACTTTACTACTACCCCTTAAATGGATACAAATAAAATTTGAAAAACCATATTTTATAAGAAAACAAAAACAGTGCTAGCCAAGTAAAACTTACCTTAGAGGCATATCCGTGACCCTGGTTATTGTGATGTGAACATGGCAAGCCCCTCAATTTCTCTGGCTTCAGCGTAAGATGAGGGGTCACCTTTGTCCATCTTGGAACATCTTCCAGAATTTTTCCTCCCCATAGATCTCATGCTGGGAAAGACTTTGTATACATAGTGCATTTATGAAGGAGCAGTTAATAGTGCTACCACAGTGAGTTATGGCACCAACCAACAATAGTTTTTAAAGTGGATATTTTATTTGATGAGACAGAGTCTTGCTCTGTTGTCCAGGCTGGAGTGCAGTTGCGCCATCTCAGCTCACTGCAACCTCCGCCTCCCAGGTTCAAGCGATTCCCGTGCCTCAGCGTCCCAAGTAGCTGGAATTACAGGCGCCCGTCACCACGCCCAGCTAATATTTACAGTTTTAATAGAGATGGGGTTTCACTATGTTGGTCTGAGTAGTCTCGAACTCCTGACCTCAGGTGATCCACCCGCCTCGGCCTCCCAAAGTGCTGGGATTAAAGGTGTGAGCCACTGTGCCCGGCCTAAAATGGATATTTTAATGAGTTTATGCAGCCTTAACTCAGGCAAGTGCATAACAAATCGACAAAATAGACTATCATTATTGTCCTGTCAGGCTCCCACCGTGTGTAAACCACTAGCCAGGAGGCACTGGGAAGCCCCAAGGTGTCTGCTGGCTTTGGGTTTCATGGCCATTTACTCCTCCAGGGGGAAAGCATCTTTAACAGCATTTTATAAAGGAGAAGGCTCAGCTCTGAGGGGTGAAAAGACCTGCTTGAGGCTGTGTGCCCTTACAAAAATGCAATAGTTGGTACCATGGTCGGCCAGACCCCCAACCTGGGTATTAACCATCCACTTTCCATTGGGCTGAGTTGGGGAGGTGGGGTATTCAGGGATGGCTCTAAGGAGTAGGTGAGCTGAGTCATGGAAGGTACATCAGATCTTTCCAGGTCATCAAGGACAAGGGAGGCTGACAGAAAGGGCGTGTGGAAGATGGGAACTAGCGTGGCAGGTAGAAATCCAGATTAGCATCTGGATTTAGGTAGGAAGAGACCTGACTGTAATGAGACCTTCTTTAGGATGATTGGACTAAGAAGAAGGGGACTGCTATAGTCTGAACTCTTCTGTCTGCTGCCAGATTCCTATTTGAAATCCTCACCTCCAAGGTGATGGTATCGGTAAGTGGGGTCTTTGGGGAGTGATTAGGTCATGGGGGCAAAGCCCTCATGAATGGGATTAGTATCCTTACGACATAGGCCACAGAGTGCTCCCTCATCTCCTCTGCCAAATGAGGGCTCAGTGAGAAGGCACTAGTAGCTCTGAACCAGGAAATGGGCCCTCACCAGAAAGCAGATTTGCTGGTACCTTGATATAGGACTTTCCAGCCTCTGGAACTGGGAGAAATGCGTTTCTCTTATAAGCCACCCAGTTTACCGTCTTTTATTATAGCAGTCTGAATGGACTAAGAAGAGGACAATTGCAAGAGAGGGAGGGGAGCTATCACAACAGGGGGAGGGGGCTATTGTAATAGGAGGAGGGGGGTACTGCAATGGAGGGGTGGGGGTTATTGTAATAAAGAGAATACTCCAACCATGAGCTCTGCAAGCTGTCTAAGGTCAAGCAGAAAAATGGTTTTCTTTTACAGGGAGGAGTAAACAAGGTTAGAAAGAACTGGGTGTGTGAATGACAGTGGATCCAGCGCCCGATGACTGACAGCGCATCAAGGAATACTTTTCCATGAGGTCAGCTGATTCTCATGAGGGGCCGTTAAGAAGGGGTTGTTTGTTGCTCCAATGCTCAAGGTTAAACCAAACTGTAGGGGCCTGGGGAGAGAAGCCTGAGGAACATCTGCTCAAGTCAAGTCCGTGGGCATTTTTGTCCAGGTTGGTCAGTGGGGAGGAAGAGTTCAGCTGATCGTTTATGAGACAGAGAATCAGGATTCTCTGTGTCTGTGAGGGTCTGTGTCTGGCTTTGTCACAGATAAACAAGGGGTTGTTTATTTAAATCTTATGCAGAAGGGTGGCTCTTTGCAGCGAGCCACCTCCCCTAATGCAAAAGCATCGATGGGGGCAGGATTTCTTTTCTGGGACACAGGGCTCAGGTGAAGTTCATCATTGCCAGCAGGAACAGGTGTGAGCATTTGGGAACATACAGCAGAGAGCGATCAGTGGGGAAGGTTGGGTTGTGAGTCCCAGCTGAGCTGGAGAATTTTGCAAATGAGGAACAAGACAAGGGACGGAGCATGGGTGCGGTGGCCTTGTGCTTGTCCTCGTCATGCTCACCTGCACACACGGCTTCTTTTGGCTGGGCCTCAACTCCCAGGAGCCCTTCTCTTGGAACTGTCGGTCCCAGGCCTGGCATTCTCTCCAGAACAAAGCAGGAAAGCGTAGCTGAAGCGTCCTGTGACCGCCAGCAGGAGCTCACCTTTACAAACAAACTCCTTGCCGGGCCTTTGGGTTGGCGATTTGCCCAGACAAGAAGCTTAAGACTTCGAAGCTGCATTGCTTCGAGGCACCCAATGCTTGAAAGTGAGGACGCAGAGAAAGTCCTGCAAGTGTGTTTGGATGAGATCACCTTTTGGACTTGTTCAAGGTCCTTCAGCTATTTAGTTCCCATGTTTGATGGTGAAAATGGACTCAGCAGCTATTGCCTTTGGCAAAAGGTACTTGGTCTGGTAAGTTGCATATTTCAATTAGAAGCTTGTGCTTAACTATAATTTTCTATCACACCAGTTGGTCTTTGCCTTGAAAGAGCCATTTAATTATCTTTGTTTAAAACCTACAGGGTGTAAATGGAAGTGTCTATAAAGGAAGGCTACTTAAAAAAATGACACGTTATGGGCAAAACACCAAATTTTTTTCTTTTTGGTTGCTAAAGAATGTTTTCGGCCAGGCTCGGTGGCTCACGCCTGTAATCACAGCACTTTGGGAGGCCGAGGTGGGTGGATCACGAGGTCAGGAGATCGAGACCATCCTAGCTAACACGGTGAAACCCCGTCTCTACAAAAAATACAAAAATTAGCTGGGTGTGGTGGTGGGCACCTGTAGTCCTAGCTACTTGGGAGGCTGAGGCAGGAGAAACGCTTGAACCTGGGAGGCAAAGGTTGCAGTGAGCTGAGACTGTGTCATCGCACTCCTGCCTGGGCGACAGAGGGAGATTCAGTCTCAAAAAAAAAAAAAAAAAAAAAAAAGGTTTCTTTTTGATGCAAGCTGGCTGAGAAAGGGATTGCGGGGCTCCTAGGATGCGCGGGAATACATTTGGAGAGGAGTCCGGGAAGGTAACGGCTGGTGGGGTGGGAGTGCAGCCAGTGGGGTCACAGGAGTAAGGTGCTCCAGCAGTGAAGCCCAGTGGGATCCAATCACCAGCTCCCCTGTTTGTTGAGTCCCAGTTACAGAGAATATATACCAGCCTTGGGGATATTTTTCTTTCACCATCAAGCAATCATTGTGGCGGTACATGACTTACTTTAACTTTATGACAATTCTATAAAGGAGGCACTAGCGGTATCTGCAATTTATAGATGTCATTAAAATATAAGCTCTGGGAGGGCATAAATTTTTGTCTGTTTTATCCCCTGTTATATTCCAGCACCCCCTAAAGTACCTGTCACCGGGTAGGTGACATGCCAGAGAGCAGGGCTGGAGCGGAGACTGGCCATTTCCTTCTCTGTTTGTCACATTGCATGCCTTTGTCATTAACATTTCCACCTTCTGCAAGAATAGGTGACCAATCCGATGACTTTGAAGCCCCCTCCCGCAAAGGGACTCTATGACTGTGGAAAATCACCTCTAAAGTGAGGATGTCACCTGGCATTATTTTGTTCTGACCTTTGGTTAGGAGCTTTTGCAAAGTTGGCCTCTAGTGGCTGGGAGTGGGTCATCTTTGCTTTCCTTGGAGTGACCTGAAAGTTTGGGCCCGTCTTGGCTTCCCATGCAGTACCAAGAGGCTGTTCAGGGGCTGAGTCCACCTGTGTACCTGGTGAGGGTTCTGAGTCTGTCTGGGGTGGATGCCAGTGCGGACTTGAGTCCCAGCCCTGGCCTCTCCCAGCTCTCCCGAGGCCCCTCTGAGCTGGACGGTGCTCTCCATGATGCTCAAGTCTGCACTGATCTTCTGTCCTCTTCCTCCTCTCCCTCATGCCCTCAGGCAGTGCTAATTCAGGCCCTGCTCCCCATGTTGCCCACATGGAATATCATCTGTGCCTTTTATCCATGATTACTTACATCCCAGGTGCCCGTCACAGCTGAAGGGAAGCCTTCTCACTCACCTTCCAGCTCACATGATCACTTGTTTCTCCTTTTCCTTCCTTTTTCTCTTAGTGTCTGGACCCAATTACTTCCACCCTGTACCATTGCTTCCTATTTTTCATTATCCTTCATCGGGCTTTCATTGTGGATTATACATCCATGTGTGCATGGATCTGAGATGTTCTTGGCTTGATGGAGCCATCCCTGCTCCCCATGCAGAGCTCGAGGCCTTCTGCTCTTGGAAGCACCTCTCTTGTACAGTGTGTTGACATGATGGCCTCCTCCACTGCATGGTTTTCTTAAAGTAGGTGTCCTAGATTATTTTCTTGATAGCACCAGTGTCAGACTAGTGCCTGGCACATAATACTTAATTAATGTTTCTGGAGTGAAAAAGAAACTTCCCACCTAACGTGAATGCTCTCCTAGCAAGAGGGCTATTCCCAAGACCCCCTTGAGCAAGGAATGGTGTCCAAGAAAGATGAGTTGAACTGGCCTCTGGTTGGCATCACATGCTGGCAGAGCCCTGCCATGTGCTGGAATGTTCCCTGAGTGGTGGAGCTCTTAGGCCTTGGCGTGACCCTTCTCTCTGGAGCAGAGAGTGGCTGTCAGGGAGGCGGGTGCTGTGGTGTAAATCTGTGGGGAGGGGCGATGGGGCAATGTCAAGTGTTAGGGGTGAGGGGGCTAATTAGTGCCTGGCTCAGTTTATAATCTCCTTAGGTCCATTTTTATTATTTATCTTTCTTCCCTGGTGTTCCTTAAACTGCTCAATTTAGTTACAAGAATGCCACAAATTAGCAGCAAAATGTTTGGGATTCTCTTTTCCCATCACTGTTTGGATTTGGCCAGCATAAATATCTGGGCTTCCATGTTCCGATTTAGCATTTTAAAAAACAAGTTCCTCATTCTATTAAGATATTATCCCCACTCCACCTGATTCTTAAACAGCATGGTATGTATCAGCACCTTGCCTATAATTTGATACACTTAAGCCCATCTAGCTCAGAATCAAGTTCAGCATAAGCATTATGGTGTGCGTGATGCTAAAACTCTTTGTCACTCTTAATTAACTTGATAGACTTTTTATTTTTTATTTTTTTGCAAATGAGTTGGCTGGATTTCAGAGTTGTGTGAGTTCTTTGAACTTTGACCTTGGGTTTTCCTGTCCCTTTGATTCTTTTTTAAACTAAATTTTTTAAAGAATAGTTCAGATTTACAGAATCATTGCAAGGATGGTATAGGAACTTAGTTCCCCTCTTTATTAAGATTATAAGATTCTCACATCAAGTGTACATACTATCAACATGACTTCTCACTGTTGATATTGATCTTGATCACCTGGCTGAGGTCATGTTTGTCAGGTTTTTCCAATTCTCTCCCTTTCCCTACTGTGCTCTTTAGCAGAAAGTCACCATATGCAGCCCACACTTAAGGAGTGAGGAGTTACGCCCCTCCCCTAAGGGCAGAGCATCCACATAAGTTATTTAGAATTCTTTTGAATGGAAGCTTTGTCTATTCTTTCCTATTTATATATTCAGTCATTTCTTTTTACATTGATATGAATGCTGCATATTCATTTTATACTTCGGGTTATAATCCAATGCTACTTTATTTATTTTGTTCACATTTTTGCAGTGCTGGCCACTGGGTGCTCTTTCAGTTGGCTCCTGTGTCTCTTTGACACACCTGCATTCTTCATTTTTTTTTTTTTTTTTTTAGTACTTTTTTGCACTACAGGTTCCTCCAGGCTCATCTTGTGTGTTTCTTGACCCAGCCCTAAAACCAACCATGTCTTAAAGAGCCCTGTTTTATTTCACTGGAGAATGATATTAGAAACCAAAATTTGAATGTTAGTTGTGCTTCTTGCTACTGGTGTGTCATCTCTTATACCCTCTCAGCTGACAGAGCAGCAGATGTATATATACTGATGGTTACATATAGAAATATAAATATGTACACATGTATGTACACATTTATAAATGTTGCTATATGTAACCATCTATATCTATATTAAGCTGTTCCTGGTTTTAGGGGGAAAGTGTTCAGTTTCTCACTATTAGGTATGATATTAGCTATAGACTTTTGTAGATGTACTTTATCAAATTGAAGTTCTCTGCTATTCCTAGTTTGCTGAGAGGTATTTTTTTTTTAAAATTTCAATAGTTTTTGGAGAACTGGTTGTTTTTGGTTACATGGATAAATTCTTTAGTGGTGATTTCTGAGGTTTTAGTGCACTTGTCACCAGAACGGTGTACACTACACCCAATATGTAGTCTTTTATCCCTTACTCCCCTCCCAACCTTTCCCCTACCCACTGAGTCCTCCAAGTCTATTATATTATCCTTATACCTTTGCATCCTCATAGCTTAGCTCCCACTTATGAGAGAGGACATATGATATTTGGTTTTCCATTCCTGAGTTACTTCACTTAGAATAATGGCCTCTAGCTCCATCCAAGTTGCTGCAAAAGACATTATTTCATTCCTTTTTATGGCTGAGTAGTATTCCATGGTGTATATACATCACATATTCTTTATCCACTTATTGGTTGATGGGCACTTAGGTTGGTTCCATATCTTTGCAACTGCAAATTGTGCTGCTCTAAATAGGCATGCACTTGTGTCTTTTTCATATACTGACTTCTTTTCCTTTGGGTAGATACCCAGTAGTGGGATTGCTGGATCAAATGACAGTCCTACTTTTAGTTCTTTAAGGAATCTCCATACTGTTTTCCATAGTGGTTGTTCTAATTTACATTTCCGCCAGATGCATAAAAGTATCCCCTTTTTACCACATCCATGCCAACATCTATGGTTTTTTGACTTTTTAATTATGGCCATTCTTGCAGGAGTAAGGTGGTATCTCATTATGGTTTTAATTTGCATTTACCGTGATTAATGATGTTGAGCATTTTTTCATATGTTTGTTGGCTGTTTATATATCTTCTTTTGAGAAATGTCTATTCATGTCTTTTTCCCACTTTTTGATGGGATTATTTGTTTTTTTTTTTTCTTGCTGATTTGTTCGAGTTCCTTGTGGATTCTGGATAGTAGTCCTTTGTTAGATGCATAGTTTGTGAATATTTTCTCTCACTCTGTGGGTTGTCTGTTTACTCTGCTGATTATTTCTTTTGCTGTGCAGGAGCTTTTTCATTTAATTAGGTCCCATTATTTATTTTTGCTTTTGTTGTATTTGCTTTTGGGGTCTTAGTCATGAATTCTTTGCCTAAGCCCATGTCCAGAATTTTTCTGATGTTATCTTCTAGAATTTTATGGTTTCAGGTCTTAGATTTAAGTCTTTGATCCATCCTGAGTTGATTTTTGTATAAGGTGAGAGATGGGAATCCATTCTTCTAATGTGGCTTGCCAGTTTTCCCAGCAGCATTTATTGAATACGGTATCCTTTCCTCAATTTTTGTGTGTGTATGCTTTGTTGAAGATCAGTTGGCTGTAAGTTTTTGGCTTTATTTCTGGGTTCTCTATTCTGTTCCATTGGTCTGTGTGCCTATTTCTATCCAGTACCATGCTGTTTTGTCTTGTAGTATAATTTGAAGTCAGATAATGTGATGATCGCAGAGTTATTCTTTCTGCTTAGTATTGCTTTGGCTATGCAGCCTCTTTTTTGGTTTCATATGAATTTTGGGATTGTTTTTTAGTTCTGTGAAACATGATGATGGTATTTTGATGGGAATTGCATAGAATCTGTAGATTGCTTTGGGCAGTATGGTCACTTTCACAATACTGATTCTTCCCATCCATGAGCATGGGATGTGTTTCTATTTGTTTGTGTTATCTATGATTTCTTTCAGCAGTGTTTTGTTGTTTTCCGTGTAGAAATCTTTCACCTCCTTGGTTAAGTATATTCTTAAGTATTTTATTTTTTGCAGCTGTTATAAAAGGGATTGAGTTCTTGATTTGATTTGCTGAGAGTTATTTTTTTTAAAATCATGAATGGGTATCAGATTTTGTCAAATGCTTTTCCTGTGTCAATCGATATGATCATATAATTTTTCTTCTGTAGTCTGTTGATGTGGTGGAGTACATTGATTTTCAAATATTGAACCAGCCTTGCATGCCTGGAATAAACTCTACTTGGTTGTGAAACAGAATTCTTTTATATGTTGTTGATTTGATTTGCTAATACTTTTTGAGAATTTTTGAGTCTATGTTCATGAGAAATATTGGTCTGTAATTTTCCTTTCTTGTAATGTTTTTACTATATGATTTTGTTATTTTGGTAATACTGGCCTCATAGAATGATTAGGAGTGATCTTACTCCTTTTATTTTCTGGAAGATATTGTGGAGAATTGGCATTATTTCTTCCTTATATATTTGGTAAAATTCACCTATGAAGCTATCTGAATTGGTGCTTTTTTGTGGAGGCTTATTCATTATTGATTAAATTTCTTTGAAAGATATAGGGCTATTCAGGCTACCTATACCTCCGTGTGAATTTTTGTAGTCTGTACCTTTCAAGGAATGAGTTCATTTCATCTAAAGTATCAAGTTTGTGGGCATAGAAAGAGTTGTTTGTAGTCTCCTTTTGTTATCTTTTTTAATATCCATGAGACCAGTAGTGATGAAATTTTTTAAATTTATGATACTGGTAATTTGTGTCTTCTTTTTTTTTCTTGGTTAGCTTGGCTAGAGGTTTATCAAATTTATTGCTCTTTCCAAAGAGCCAGCTTTTGGCTTCATAGAATTTTCTCTATTATTTTTCCTATTTTTGACTTTATTGATTTCTGCTCCAATTTTTATTATTCATTTTTCTTTTCTTTAGATTTAAACTGTACTTCCTTCTCTAGTTTGCTAAGATGGAAGTTTAGATTATTGATATTATAGCTTTATTCTTTTCTAATACATTCATTTAATGCCATATGTTTTCCTCTAAACACTGCTTTTACTGCATTCCACAAATTTTGACAAGTTGTAGTCTCAGTTTCAATTAGTTCAAAATATTTTTAAATTTCTCCTGACACATCCTCTTGTACCTATGCATTATTTAGAAGTGTGTTGCTTAATTTCCAAATATTTAAGGATTTCCAACTATCTTTCTATTACTAATTTCTAGATTAATACTTTTGTGGTCTAAGAATACACTTTATATTATTTTTGTTCTTTGAAATTTGTTAAAGTGTGTTTTGTGGCCCGTAATGTATCTATCTTGGTGAATACTCCATGTGAGTTTGAGAAGAATGTGTATTCTGCTGTTGTTTGATGGAGTATTCTATAAATGGCAATTAAATCAAATTAACTGATAATTCAAGTTGATTGGTAGTATTGTTTAGGTTTACTATATCCTTATTGATTTTCTATCTATTTGATGTATCAATTACTGAGAGGAAGGTATTGAACTCTCCAACTATAGTAATGGATTTGTTATATTTCTCTATTCATTTATATCCATTTTTGCCTTGTGTATTTTGATGCTTGGTTGTCAAGTGCATACACATTAAGGATTGTTCTGTCCTCTTAGATAATTGACCCCTTTATCATTATGTAGTATCACTAAAAACTTTCCTTGTTCTAAAATCTTCTTCGTTAGAAGTTTATATAGCTAATCCAACTTTCTTTTTTATTTTTTAAATTTTTCATTACTTTTTCTTTGTTATTCAGTGGCTTGCAGGGAATGGAAACTCCTGCTTTCTCTAGAATAGTGTTAGCATGGTCTGTATTTCTCTATACTTTTACATTGAACTTTATATTTAAAGTCAATTTCATACAGATAATATATACTTGTGTCTTTTTGTCCTCTGACAGTCTGTCTTTTAATTATAATATTTAAACAATTCATCTTTATGATTATTGCTATATTTGGGTTAATATTAATGTCAGTCATGTTTATAACTATTTTCTGTTCATTGCCAGGGGTTTCTTTTCTGCCTTTTCTGATTTTACTTGAAGATTTTATATGGTTCTATTTTATCTAATCTCTCAGGATATCATTACACACCTTTAAAAAAAATTAGTGGTTGCTCTCAGAGTTTACAATATCATCCAGGTCTACCTTCAGATAAAATTATTCTGCTTTATGTGTGGTAAGGGTATCTTATAAAAGTGAATTCCTAATTTCTCCCTACCATACTGAGACATTGCTATCATTCATTTCACTTACTCATTTGCTATAATCACCCAATACATTGTTAATATTACTTCAAACAAATAGTTATTACTTATATCAATTAGAAATAAGAAAAAGATTTTATTTTACTTGCATTTATTTCTTCTCCAGTGCTTTTCCTTTTTTCGTGTGTAGATTCAAGTTTTTGACCTATATCGTTTTTCTTCTGCCTGAAAAAAAATCTGTTAATATTTCTTGCAGGACAGGTCTGCTGGTGATGAATTTTCTCAGTTTACATTTATAGGAAAAATCTTTATTTTTTTCACTTTTGAAGGATAATTTCTCAAATATTGAAGTCTAGATTGGCGGATTTATTTTACCCTTTCAACAGAAAATTTTTCATTCTATTCTCTCTTGCTTTTATGGTCTCTGATGTATATCTGCTGTAATTCTTATCCTTGTTCCTCTGTAGGTAAAGTGTGTGTGTTTGGTTTTTTTTTCCTCCCTCAGGCTTATTTCTAGGTTTTCTCTTTGTCTTTGGTTTTCTGTAGTTTGAATATGATATGCCTAGGTATAGTTTTTTGTTATTTATTCTGCTTGATGATCTCTGAGATTTTGAATCTGCGATTGGGTGTCTGTCATTAATTTTGGAAAGTTCTTGGCCATTATTACTTCACATATTTCTTCCACTCCATTTTCTCTTTCTTCCATTTATTCTAATTGTGTCTTTGTTACACCTTTTGAGATTATCCCATTGTTCTCAGATGTTCTGTTTTGTTTTGTTTTGTTCATTCTCTGCATTTCAGTTTGGAAATCTCTATTGACCTATTTTCAAGCTCACTGATTTCTTTCCTTGACCATGTGCAGTCTTCTGAGGGGCCCATCAGAAATATTCTTCTGCCAGGTGTGGTGGCTCACGCCTATAATCCCAGCACTTTGGGAGGCCGAGGTGGGTGGATTACCAGGAGTTCGAGACCAGCCTTGCCAACACAGTGAAACACATTTCTACTAAAAATACAAAAATTAGCTGGGTGTGGTGGCATGTGCCTGTAAGTCCAGCTACTCCAGAGGCTGAGGCATGAGAATCGCTTGAACCCAGGATATGGAAACTGCAGTGAGCTGAGATATCACCACTGCACTTCAACCTGGCTGACAGAGCAAGACTGTGTCTCAAAAAAAGAAAATGAGACTGTCTCAAAAAAAAAAAAAACTTCATTTTTCTAACAGCAATTAAAAAATTTCTTGCATTTCCTTTTGATTTTTCTTAGAATGTCTATCCCTCTGCTTACATTTACCATCAGTTCTTGCATGTTGTCTACTTTTTCCATTAGAGTCCTTCAGAAAATATTTGTAGTTATTTTACATTGCTTATCTGATAATTCAAACATTAGGGGTATACCTGAGTCGGGTTCTGATTCTTTCTTTTTCTTTTTAGACTGTGGGTTTTTTTTTTTCCTTTTGCCTTGCCATATAATTCCCCCTCCCGCCCGGTTTTAACCATTTTTAACTGTATAATTCAATGGCATCAGGTGCATTCACAGTGTTGTACAGCCATCACCGGGCATGAGCAGGGTGGGCTCTCATGGCATCTCCACGTCTAGCATAGCCTGACATATAGTGGTTGTCAACCAATTCTTTTTTTTTTTTTTTTTTTGAGACAGAATTTCCTCTGTCACCCAGGCTAAAGTGCAGAGGTGTGATCTCGGCTCACTACAACCTGCACCTCCTGGGTTCAAGCAATTCTTGTGCCTCAGCCTTCCAAGTAGCTGGGATTACAGATGGCCGCCACCACACCCGGGTAATTTTTGTGTTTTTAGTAGAGATAGGGTTTCACCACGTTGGCCACACTGGTCTCGAACTCCTGACCTCAGGTGATTTGCCTGCCTTGGCCTCCGAAAGTGCTAGGATTATAGGTGTGAGCCACCTCTCCTGGCCCCAACCAAATCTTGAATGAATACATAGAAATAAAGAATATTTGTTTTACTTTTTTTTTTCCCAGGAAGCTGATTATATTAGGGCTTAATGTTTTATGGAAGAGAAGCCATGAACCTGTAACTTAGCCCAGTGCTTCAGTGCTTCTTAAACTTTAGTGAGCATTGGAGTCACTTGGAGAGTTGTTAAGATGGACTCTGCAGGTCTGGCTTGGAACCTGAGATTTCCCATTTCTAACATCCTCTCGGGTGATCTTGAAGCTGTGGGTCCCTGGGTCACACCTGGAGTAGCTCTGACTTAGCTCATTCTCTGACTTTATATTAGATGCCTTAAAAAGCTGGGTGGTTCCCTGGGAAAAGTAGCAGCTCCATGTCCTACTCACTAGGTTTTTCTGGTGCACGGTAGCAGCCATGGCAGCAGGCTAAGGCATTTATTTCCCTTTAGACTATAGCAGTTTGAGTCCCTGGGAAGTTGCTAAAAGCACCAATGTAAGTGGCTTTCATTCCCAAAATCAAGGCCCATGAGTCAGTGTACAACCAGCTCCACCCGGAGTCAGAAGTCTTCCTAAGATTAGGATGGTGTAAAGCCAGGAAAGGCTGCAACTCTTTCTATGCCCCAAAACCAACTGCGAAGAGAAGATTACTCCATGAACTTTGGAGGCCATATTGCTACAAGAAGAAGCTTGGAGTCAATGAATCCTATTTCTGTACTTCCTCTTTCAAAAATCACCCTCAACAGAAATCTTCCAAAAGAAAGCTATGTATTCTAAATGATTAGGCTCAGTGATTTGACACTGGCCTCTTTTCCTGGGACAGAAGGGGACCTGGAGATGGCATCTCATGGTGAAGAGCCTTCTGGGTGAGAAGCTTCTATTTTCCATGTTATTATTTAAATATAATGCAGCTGTTATCACTAGGCAGATGACACCTTTAGATCTTACAGAGCAGGATGTTAGCCAGCAGTTGTAATGCTAATTATCTGTGCCCCTGCCCACACAAATTGGTGCTTTGAAGACCTAAATATTCAGAATGTTGCTGGCAGCTCAGTTAATGTTAACTTTTTTGGTAAGAAACATGGAAATGAGTCCAAAATGTCACATACATTGGCAAGAGGCACTCAGACCAGGAACACAAGTCATGGCATCTAAGGATATCTGAGAAGTTAGACCAGCCTCTCTTCTATGGAACGTGGAGATTCCCTCAAATAAGTACCATGGGAGTTCTGTTCCTGTTACCATTGTAGGAATGCTCTAATAGCTATGATTCTAAGTCTGCTCAAGTGATCTTGTACATGGTGAAAACCCTCACGCCTCAAGGTATTGTCTCCAAAGAAATTGTCTCCAAAGAAACTGTTCCGACTTCGAAGGCATATTTTATTAACCTCAAGATGGAATATGTGAACTGTAGACTTGGGAGCATTTGTTTGACACTTCAGTGAATTCTTATATACAGGTACTGCCACGTGGAAGCAAAGCTAAGTGCTTGCTTAAACTGGACACCAGCGTCCTCCCTGGTGGATGCCATTAACAGAGAGGCTTTGGTAAAAATTCCAGGTATGGGTCTGACTGGAACAACTGGTTTTCTGTGATAAAGGAGTTTCACTGAATACCTTATATGTCATCCACTCACCCTCCCAGCCATGGCCTCAAGTCTCCCAAGTGTCTGAGAGTGTCGGACAGTCTCATTCCTGGGAGGACAGTGCAGGCTCATACTCATGAGCCATCTAGGGAACAGAAGCCATTTTTTCCTCCCCAGTGGTCCCATGTTACTCTTCTTCCCAGATGCCATCATCCAGGAAGGTCAAGGGTTCCCCCTGAGCCCCTCTTCTCTAGGGCTTTTGGTCCCCGGGACCCCAAACTTCAATTTCTTCCAGAAGCTTTAAAATGCCATATCTTGTCACTGTCACAGGACTGAGAGCTATTTTATGTTTGAGGCAGGTTAGAAACTTGTTCTTTTTTAAAAAGATGACTTTTCTCATCCTCAGCCTCGGGCTGTTGAATTTATTGCATCTCTCTTCCTGTAGGTGTAAAGGAATAAATTAACATAGTGTTTTCTCCTAATTCCTTGATTGCAATTAATTGCCTTTGTGCGTCGGAGCACTCATCTTCCATATGTGAAGGGATGACAATGGAAACAAATGGGGTAACTGTTTTGGATTTTAAAATGTTCCCTGGTTTTTTCTGGGGAGGCTGAGGCAGGACAATCACTTGAACCCGGGAGGCGGAGGTTGCAGTGAGCCGAGATTGCACCACTGCACTCCAGCCTGGCGACAGAGCGAGACACTGTCTCAAAAAAAAAAAAAAAAAAAGTTCCCTGATTTTTTAGAATTCTGTAATCTAATGGCATACATCAGCACCAGTGCCTGGCTTGCTTGGGCTTCTGTGTTTAGAAAATGTACTGTGTTGGTTGGGTGTTTGGTGTAATCTAGGGCTGCCCTATCCAATATGGAGCCCGCCAGCTGCATGTGGCTCTGGAGCACTGGCAATGTGTTGGAAGTATGAAATACAACCTGGATCTCTAACACTTAGTGGGAAAAAGAAAATGTAAAAATGTCTCATTAATATTATTTATATTGATTACTTGTTATAGGAATAATATTCCAGATATGTTGAGTAAAATAGAATACATCATTAAAATGAGCTTCACCTGTTTCCTTTTACTTTTTTAAAAATGTGGCTACTAGAAAATTCAAATTACGTGTGTGGCTAAAGTTACTTCTATTGGACAGGGTTGGTCTAGATAGCTCAGGTTATTGTGTAATTCAAGGAAGAGCTCAAACCTCTTCAAAAACGATGTCAATCATCACCATAGGCTTGTTCACCCTTCTGGTTACCCACTGCATAGGGAAGCTTCCTTGCTGTATCAATTTACTTGAAACTCTTTTCAATACCCAGGCTATAATGCTTTTTGAAGAATCATAGCATTTTGTAAAAGATCTCTGGGAATTTTCCGATGCATAAGGAACCTAGCTGGTTAGTCATATTGTCTTGATCTTCCTGATGACCAAGAGGAATTCCACAGTAAATGGTTCCTTCAGAAGTTTGTAGGGGCTACACATCTGTTTATAAAAGGCAACAGGTGGTGTCTTTATTTTGCTTTATGAAAATAAAAAAAATCAACTGGATATGTTCGTTGGAATCACATTTTTGAAATATGTATTTAGTATCTGGGTAAAACTGGGCAAATTTCAAAATGCAGAAAAGCCTATGTTACAGAAGACAATACAATTAAGATCAGAAAAATATTAATGTGGAAATAAAGTGTTCAGGAAACTATGAATGTAATTTATAAAACTGATGAATCCTGTATAATGTAAATTGCACAAGCAAAACTGTCTAATGGCTTCATTGTAGGACATTAGCTCCCTCAAAGTACCTTCTTTTCCAGATGCTTCCAGACTATTTCTGTGATTTCCTCAAGGGTTTCCAGATTTAGCAAATAAAAATACACAATGTCTGATTAAATTCAAATATCACATAAACAATGACAAATTTTTAGTATAAGTATGCCCCATGCAATATTTGGGTCCTCTTATACTAAACAATGATTCACTGTTAAGCTGAAACGATTATTTTACATGGGACTCTGCAGATGTGGTTAAGAATCTTTTCTTGGGGAGACTTCCGTGGATTATTCAGGTGGGCCCAACATATTCATAAGGCGTGAAGGTGAGAGTCAGAAGAGATGTGACTGTGGATGCAGAGTCGGTGTCAGGCAGCCATGAGCCAAGGAATGCAGGAGCCCCCTAGCAGGTGGAAAATACAAAGAAACAAATTCTCCTCTAAGGCCTCTAGGAGACACATAGGCCTTGATTTCAGCCCTCTGAGACAGCTTATGGTGACTTTGGACCTAAAAAAGTGTAGGAGTAAATTTGTATTCTTTGAAGTCACTAAGTTTGTGGTCATTTGTTTCAACAGCAATAGGAAACTCGTACAAGGGCTGAGCTGGGTTTTCCCATGGGCTCCTCTAGGTCCTACAGCACAACAAAGACCAATTTCCGACTTCCAGAAAAATATTGAGTGATCCATGATCATAGGCAACTCCTATGATTGACCCCTGTGATTGACCCTTATGATTGCCCATAGGCAATCCAATGTCATATACAACCCCTGCACAGGTCCTCTCAGCCCCACCCGACCTGGGCTCCCAGCATGCTTCTGTCTCACAGCTGTGCGCTTCCAAGCCAAACTGGTCCTGGACCCCAGGACTAGGAGGACATTTCCCCCCCTCACCTGAGTCAGGAGTCCACCCAGGTTTGATTTCTTTAGGGCCACTGTTTTGCCCCACTGCCAGCCACAGGAAATGCATACGTTTCTCCAAGCTGGGTTACCTGGTCTTAAATCCTGCCTTTGTTCCAGGCTTGGCTGGGAGAGGTAAGCCTGGAGTCTTGGTGAGTCTCCCCTGTTGGGGTGAGGTGAGGAACGACCCTTGTGTATCCTTCCTCTAGACCTCGACATCCCATCCTCATGGTCCAACAGTTGCTCTAAGAACATACTTGCAGCGCTGTAAGACACGAAAGAATGGGCAAAAGGCAGTTTCAACCATCACTTAGGAGGGAAATGCCTTCCTAGCACCAACACCCTGCGGAGTTGGCAGCTCTGCCCACAAAAATAACAGCATCTGGGATGATTATGCAGTGCTACGTGGCACTCCAAAGCCACATTTTCTCAAACCCCTCCTTTCTGGTAAAGTCTTTTTGCTCCATGGATTTCGTACGGACCTTTGGCACGTTTCCCTAGAACTAAGAAGAGATTACATCAAAATGCAAATTCAGGCACATCCCACTCAGGAAGAAAACTGTTCACACATGGAAACGAGTTTCCCAGTTTCTCTTCATCTAGGTACAAAAAACCCTCAGCCACCCATTTCACCTCAGGCTATCTTGTTATGCAGTTTTGGAGTGAAATGGACTTGGTCATCATCTCCCAGACCCTAGAGAGAGGAACCATCCAGAAATGTAGAGGAGGTGATTTTAGAGTGTACCAGTGGGTGGTGAGTCATGGGTGTTTAGAGCAAGGGGCCTTAGCCTCAGGCTGTTTGCAAGTTACAGTGATAAGATTATTTAGTACAGTTACTCTAGTGGGTGAGTTTTCCAATATTTTTCTCTTCTTTCAGCCATTTCTTCCTAAAAAGGAAAAAAAAATTGCTTTTAAGCAAGACTGCCTTAGGTCTGTACCTTAATCAGAGTTGGTGCTCAAAAAACACATTTTAAATATGGGGTGGTTGAGAGGAAGCTGAGGAAGAGGGCCCACTCGGTGAGTGTGTTTAAGATTTCCAGGGAGCAGCTGGGGAAGAAGGGAGAAGGAAAGACTGAGCCTTAAGGACTTTAATTAACCCTGAGTGAAGAAGATGCTGGTGGTTGCTCTCCCCCCAGTTTCTTGCAGAGTTTTTCCATAGGGCTTGGGAGTACAGAAAATCTAACCAGCTTGAAGTTCCTACTGAGAAAGTGAGAAGAGAAGGCACCCATTGCAGAGGTGGGGGCCATTTCCTCTCTCATCTTTTGTGGGCTTGTTCAAGATAAAGTCTTCCCTTGGGGGAGAGGTAGAGCAGGAGTGGGAAGCTCCGTTGACAGTCATAGTAGATCTCTCTAATCATTAAAAACAGGCTGGGTGCAGTGGCTCATGCCTGTAATCCCAGCACTTTGGGAGGCCAAGACAGGAAGATCACCTGAGGTCAGGAGTTTGAGACCAGCCTAGCTAACATAGTGAAACCCCATCTCTACTAAAAATACACAAATTGGCCAGATGTGGTGGTGCACGCCTGTAATCCCAGCTACTCGGGAGGCTGAGGCAGGAGAATCGCTTGAACCCAGGAGGTGGAGGTTGCATGAGCCAAGATCATGTCGCTGCACTCCAGACTGGGCAACAGAGACAGACTCTGTCTCAAAAAAAAAAAAAAAAAAAGTGCTGGGCCCGGTGGCTCGCACCTGTAATCCCAGCACTTTGGGAGGCCGAGATGGGTGGATCACGAGGTCAAGAGATCAAGACCATCCTGGCCAACATGGTGAAACCCCGCCTCTACTAAAAATACAAAAATTAGCTGGAGGTGGTGGCGTGCACCTGTAATCCCAGCTACTCAGGAGGCTGAGTCAGGAGAATTGCTTGAACCCGGGAGGCAGAGGTTGCAGTGAGCCGAGATCGCACCACTGCCCTCCAGCCTGATGACAGAGCAAGACTTCATCTTAAAAAAAAAAGAAAATTCACTGGGGAGAATTTCCTGGGGAACATATTTTCTTTTTGAAAATTAGAGGTAATATTGAAGGAGAGGCCATATGAAACTCAGGGCAGCCCCAGGATCTGGACATGTTCCCCGAGGTTTCAGCAAATCCCAGTTTTTGCTGTGGCAGGCCCCAAGGGTCTGTCTGCTCACAGCCACTCTGAGTGCATAACTCTGTCCCTCCCTTGATTTTCACACTGGAGGCATGTGTAGGGGTGGTGGACTTGAAGGAAAGTTGGGGAGACAGAATTGATTTGCAACTTGAAATTTAATCTTATAATAGCCATTCTCTGCTTCAAAGTCCCTGGGGTGCTCTCCTTCAACCTTTCTCTCCTGGCTTCTCTCGTCTCCTTGACTCCCCCATACAGAGCAGCTCACCTGTGTCTTGTTAACTTGTTCTAAGTCAACCTGAGTGAGAGGATCTTTCCTTCAACCCCACAAGAAGCTGATCAAGATATTTTCCTAAATAATGAGAGCAAGCTCCCATCACCCCAAAAGAGAATGTTAGTGTTTTCATTCAGATAACTTTTAAAATCCCACTACACAAATAAATATGGTATATCTGCACTTTAAAATTATATATTATGAAGCACCTTTTTTTTTTTGGTAACGTATATAAAAATTCAGTCTTGAGTTAGCTTAATAACAACTTCACTTTTTTTTTCTATCATTACTATAATGGATTAAAAAGATTCAATGAGAAAGTGCAGTAGTGCACAGGATTATCTTATTATCTTCATTAAATATTGCCTAAGAAAGTGATAATTATTGTAGTCAAACTGTCAAAGCCAAAATGAGTCACAAGACAAATATTGTAGTTAAACCCTGTAGTTTCTCCAGTTCAGGCATTTGCCTAGAAAATGTAGGTTTCTTAGCTCTTCTAATTAACAGAAAAATGCTTTCACAGGTGTGATAGACATACATGATCCCTTACTAAGACATTCCACTGAAGGAAACTTGCAGGTTGTGGATGTAAGCTATTTATGGCCATATAATGCCATTTTCTGAAAGGAAATTTTGAGAAATATTCCAAAAGACTAGAGGCTGCATAATTTGCAGTCAAGACATGCCACCCTGGAGTATTTGTAAACACATTTATGAGCATACATGCCAGAGACATTTGCATATTATAACTTTTAATTGGTCTTGTGATTCCACATGGAAACCTTTAGTTGAATGGAAATTCTACTCCTCCCTCCTCTAGACAAGAAAGTTTCCTATAATGTCTTCACAGGCTGGCTTACAAAAGAGAAGAGCAGTAGCTTGAATCACGTTTTTTAGCAAATATGTAACTTTTTTCCTTAGGGCAAGAATTCCCCTCCGTGCTAATCAAGTGACATTAGATATGTGGCAGCTCACTGATATCACCTCCTCAGTGCTTCTTCATCCTTCAGTCCTCTGACTGACATCAAAGGCCCAGACCAGGACTGGCTGTGTAATCTGTGGGGCCCAGTGCAAAATGAAAATGTGGGGTCTTTGTTCAAAAATTAGAAATTTCAAGATGGCAACAGTCAAGCATTAAGCCAGTGCTCTGTTCTGAGCACTGGGCTGTGCACGCCTGCCCAAGTTGCACGCTCTTGAAGCTGGTCCCGTTCAGAGTCTGTTTGGCTCTCTCTACCCTATCAATGTGCCGACTTGCCCAATTCATTTTACTTTAGCAAATCTTCTATTTCTACACTGGAAATGAATTGTCTCTTTCCCTGGCCATAGAAACAGGAGACCCCAAGCTTTCAGGGAACTGAAATGTCAGGAGGAGTGGCTCTCCTTGTGGCTCCTTCAGTTTCTTACTGTCTTAGTCCATTCTCATGCTGCTAATAAAGAATACTGGAGACTGGGTAATTTATAAAGGAAAGCGGTTTAATTGACTCACAGTTCCGCAGGGCTGCGGAGGCCTCAGGAAACTTACAATCATGGCAGAAGGGGAAGCAAACACATCCTTCTTCACATAGTGACAACAAGGAGAAGTGCAGAGCAAAAGGGGGAAAAGCCCCTTATGAGAACCTCAGATCTCGTGAGAACTCACTCACTATCACGAGAACAGCATGAGGGTAACCGCCCCCTACCACGTGATTAAATTTCCTCCCACAACACGTGGGGATTATGGGAACTACAATTTAAGATGAGATTTGGGTGGGGATACAGCCAAACCATATCACTTGCATCACTGCTAATTAAATATTCAAGCAGCATTTCTCCTTTGGGCATTTTATAGTTCAAACATCCCTTCATGTAACATTATTCTATTATTTCATCTGAATTGGATTATTATTCTTTCCTGAAGTTTCAAGATGGATGTTGTGGTCACCGGACACCTAGCAAGTCTACCTAGATAATTCAAAAGAGGAAATTTAGGTCTAAGAAAAATTTGAGAACATTGGAAGAAAGGGATCAAGGTTAATTTCAGGGGAGGTTTTGAATTGACTCCAGGAGATTTTATTTCAGCAAATGAATTTATCAGAGCAAATAATTATTGCATCGGTAGCATGGGCTGGGTGGCACTCATTCATCAGTGGGTGAGGTATGGCCTGCTCTCTAAAGGAATTTATAGTTTAGTGAAAAGATGGGGCATGTATGCCCATGGTTTTAATGAGCATGACAGAAAAGCAGGAATCTGGGAAGGCTTCCTGGCAGGTGGATTAGAGCTGGGCCTCAAATGATTTTGACAAATAGAGATGGAAAGTGAGGAAGGGTACTTCGGGAAGAACCTGTGTGAGCAAAGGCCTAGAGGTAGGGAAGTCCAGGGCCTGCTTGGGTAGTGGCAGATACTCCATTTATGAGGAAATATGCAGTCCATGTGAAGGGGAGTAGGAAATAAAGCTGCAAAAATGGCTGGGACAAGACTTACAAGGGGCTCAGATGCCAAGAGAAGGAGACTGAACTCTACACAGAGCAATGTGAGAAGTGGCTGTGGGGGCTGACAGTAGCTTTTGAATTTGGGAATTGTATGTTATAATTTAGGAAGATGGACCAGGCAGTTGTGTTAGAAAAAATAGACACTTCAGAGGTTGTGATGAATTGCTTTAATTTCTGACACCTCATATGAAAGCTGCACTTGCAGTCTTGCAAGACAGGCTTGGGGGAGAAAAGAAAAAAGAAGAAAAAAGAGAGATACTTGGGGTGGGAGGCAAGGCAGTTGGAAGGTTAGTGTTTGGGAGAACTGCAATAATGGCTTGAGCATGATTCGCAGCAAAAAGAATGAAATAATTTCCAGGGCTGGCAAAGAATGCAAGGAGGACCGCAGGTAACTCCACGGTTGGGTGGCTGGAAGGATGTTGGCTCACCTGATAGAAATATAGAGTTCGAGGTAGAAGGCGGTGTGAGGGGCATAAGCATCTCAGTGGGCTGATGGTGAGCAGGGGTGTCTGCTGGCACACACAGGTTAGGACACACGGGAGACACTCCACACAGCTGGCAGTGAGCCAGGAGAGTTCACGCGCTGGAGTCCTCTTCAGAGAGTGCTAGCTGGGGACTAGGAGGTCTCAGAAGGTCAAAGAAAGTCGACATGGAGAGAGTGGGAAAGAGCTGGGCCAAGGGACAGCTCTCTACTTAGGAGGCCATGGGGGAAGATAGAGAAGAAGTCCAGTTGAGAAAGCTGGGAGAACGCCCAGAGAGGGGAGCACAGGGTGCTTCATGGGAAGGGGAAGCACCAGGAAAGGGGTGGCTGGTCAGCAGGGTCAAGGACGGTGAGGGCGAAAGACCACCTGATGAGGAGGTGAGGAGGTCAGTGGGGGCTTTGAGGAAGCAGTTCTGGTGCAAGGCTATCCAGAGACTGAGGAGGCAGAATGTTTAGACTGTGGAACACGCACCTAAGGGATGGGGAAAGGAAGGGGAGACTCCTTCAGCTTGCAAAGGTGGCACTGCAGAGGTTTGACTTTCTGTGCAGGGGGTGTCTAAGTGTGTCTGTGGCTTGAAGACAGGAAAGTAGTGAAAGAGAAAATACGCAAAAGAGGGAGAGCCACAACCGAGCAGAATGTAAAAGCAGGTGAGAAAAGATGCCAAGAGCCATGTCTTCCTAGATGGGGAGAGAAATGAAGACACCACACACCATTTCCATAGATGACCTCTCTGTTGTCCCAAACATCACCAGATGCCACAGATGTTACCTGTTGGAGATGCAGGTTAAATTAATGTATGCTAAAATTAGACTTTATGTTATACAGCTTTGTCCAATAAACACCTTCTTGGTGATACTATCAACCACAGACATGGGGGAGGGCCAGGCTCATCTCGGCGGAGGGCCACCATTCCATTTCATCTGGAGATTGGTGCAAAGTTCCTTAATCAATTCTATCTTATCTTTGCTGTGATGTCTCATGCCTCTATAACTACTGCTCTAGCATCTACATATTGATAGATTTTTTTGAGTACTGGAAGCTGCTTTTCTTTCATGGCATTTTCACATACATTTGACCCTCACTATGACTCTGTGAAGAACTTAGGGCTGTTAATGCTGTATCCACTTCCCAGATCAGCAGCCTGAAACCTGGGGATGTTGAACAATTAATCAAAGTCATACAAGCACTGTTATGGGACCGGATATGGGGTCTTTTGAACTCCTGATGTAATTCTCTTTCTGCAACATGAGATACGGGGTGAGAGTTCCCTGCCAGGCACTTTGACAGCACCTTTTTGAGACAGTAGTCAGAGTCAAGGCTTTCTAAGTGGAATTAGAATTTGAGGTCAGCCCTGCAGCGCCCAGGCTGAGTATGATCTCCTGCTGGTTACTCAAAGAGTGGGAATTTTCTGTTTTCTGAGGTGCGATACCCGTGATGGAGTTGGCGGGTTTTACGCCCGTATACCTCATTGCACTCGTACATAGGGTCAGGCAGAGGGGCCATCTGATGCAAGAAGCACCAACAAATGAGAGAAGACAAAGCAGAGGGAGGCCCAGGAGAACGAGACGAGTTGCTGCAAAGGTGTACTTAGCATCACAATGGGGCAGTGCCACGAGCCAAGCAAATCCAATTTATTTTTCTGATAAATAACTGCTGCTCTTGTCACTGTGCAATGATATCAGGCTCTCTTCATGCATCCCTTTCTTTCATCAAGAATCCATTATTCTTGCGTGCATCTTCAATTATCCCGTTACATAGTGAGGAAGCAAAGTTATTTCAGTTGATAAAAAATCTCCTTTTTACTCTCCTATTTGAATGGAGGGATAAGACCCTAGAACACTAATAATCTTTTCTTACATCACATAAAATAGAAAAATGATTTATGGATTTCCAAACACAACTAATGGATTGATGCCTGTGTGTAGAACCCATCCCTGTTCATTCATTCATTCAAAAAGCATCTGTGGAGTACCTACTGTGTGTGAGGAATGCGGATAAATCCTGAATACTTTGCGCATTTGACAAGGGGCCCATCTACCTTGTCTAAGAGAACAGACATGTTTTGGGCCATTTCAAATCCACCCCAATAGGAAGAATGTTTATATATATATATATATATATATGTTTTTTTTTTTTTTTTTTTTTTTTTTTTTTGAGGCACAGTCTTGCTCTGTCACCCAGGCTGGAGTGCAGTGGCAGGATCTCAGCTCACTGCAACCTCCACCTCCCAGGTTCATGCTATTCTCCTGCCTCAGCCTCCCAAGTAGCTGGGACTACAGGCACCCGCCACCACGCCCGGCTAATTTTTTGTATTTTTTTTAGTAGAGACAGGGTTTCACCATGTTAGCCAGGATGGTCTCGATCTCCTGACCTCGTGATCCACCTGCCTCGCCCTCCCAAAGTGCTGGGATTACAGGCGTGAGCCACTGCGCCTGACCGAGTGTTATTATATTAATAATATGGTTGTGAAGGTCTCTCTATTGATGACAAGTCTGTCAAAGAGCTTACACTCTTTGAATCTATGAAAAATTCAAAACAGTTACACAGTTATAAGAAAGGTACAAGTGCAACACACAGAACATTGGTCTCTTAAACCATTTGGGAGTCAGTTGCTGAGCTGATGCCTCATCTTCCCTGAAGACTTTACTAAATTCCTTATAGAAAAGGCATCATTTGACCTAAACTCTGGAAAAATGAAGAGAATTTCAGATATGCAGGAATGAGCAAAAGGCCATCCCAGATAGAAGGATTAAGCTGAACAAAGGTAGAAAAGTGGAACATTATGGAGACACACAGAAGATAGTGTAGGGAGAAAACATAATTTTTTTCCTTTCCCTTTATAGGTTCTTAGCTGAGATGCTTTCCTGAAAGCAAAAGTCAGATAAACAAAAGAAAAAGTTTTGTTAATGCATGTTCTACCCATCATGGGGGAGAGGCCTCACTTCAAAAGTATTTCTTTCTCAAGGCAGTGGCTTAGGGGCCTTGCTTAAGTAGTATTTTAACAAAGAACCATAAATCTTCTATAGTGACAAGACAAGAGAGTATTTTCAGGCTTCTATAAGGCAAGACAATGTGGGAAAGAAAATTTATGGGGAGAGTGAAGTCAGCTCCTAGATCCTCTGACACTGCTATCTCAGAGCTCTGTTTCTGAGCTGATAAAGGCAGAGAGAGGGGCAGAGTGTGCGGCTGTGTCTCAACCTTTTAACTTTAGCTAAAATCCCCAGTGTCTTACAGAGGGATATTTCAGTGTTCTTTAATAGTAAAATTAACAGAAAACAAGAGCAAATTGTGTGCCACTTAATACTTTTGGTTGTAAATAACAAACCCCAACACCCACCAGCTGAAGATAGAAGGAATCTATTGTTTCACATGAGTGAGAGCCAGGCATAGCTTTAGGTATCCATCTGGACATTCATCAAAAAATGTCCAGACCCTGTGTTTCTACTTCTTATTGTTTGACTTCAGTTATGGGCTTCATCCCAGACAGTCTTTTCTCTCATGTCACAGAGGGGCTGCAACAGCTCCAGACCTTGCATTCTCTCTGTCTCTCTCTCTGTCTTTTTTTTTCCTGAGATGGAGTCCTGCTCCATTGCCCAGGGTGGCGTGCATGGTGTCATCTCCGCTCACTGAAACTTCTGCCTCCCGGGTTCAAGCGATTCTCCTGCCTCAGCCTCCTGAGTAGCTGGGATCACAGGCGTACACCACCACACCTGGCTAATTCTTGTATTTTTAGTACAGACGGGGTTTCACCGTGTTGGCCAGGCTGATCTTGAACTCCTGACCTCAAGTGGTCCGCCCGCCTCGGCCTCCCAAAGTGCTGGGATTAGAGGCGTGAGCCACTGCACCTGGCCCTTTTTTTTTTAAATGGTTGTGAGTTTGAGGGTGAAACATTTTATTTTAATTTTTTTAATGTTAATTCAATAGCTTTTGGGGTACAAGTGGTTTTTGTTACATGGATGAATTATAGAGCGGTGAATTTTGAGATTTTAGTGCGCTTGTCATCTGAGTAGTGTACATTGTACCTAATGTGTAGTTTTAAAATTCTTAGTCCCCCTCCTACTCTCCCCCTTCTGAGCATCTAAGTCCACTCTGTATGCCTTTGCTTACTCACAGTTTAGCTCCCACTTATGAGTGACAACATATGGTTTTTGGTTTGCCACTCCTGTGTTATTTCACTTAGAATAATGGCCTCCAGCTCCAATCCAGGTTGTTGAGAAAGACATCATTTCGTTGCTTGTAATGGCTGAGTAGTATTCCATGGTGTATATGCACCACATTTTATTTATCCATTCAGTCAATGGGCACTTAGTCAGTGGTACCACATCTTTGCAATTGTTAATTGTGCTACTATAAACATACGTGTGCAAGTCAGACCCTGAATTCTCTCAGCAGAAAATAGTATATCTTTCCTTGGATAGCTAAAAGACATCTTGTTACATCTTGTTGCTTCTGATTGGTCATGTGTTCATCCTTCAATCAATTACTGTGCCCAAAACAATGTGATCTTCACGGATTGGCTGAGATTTACCTCATGTGCTTCCCTTGGAGCTGGGATGAGGCCATGTCTCTTCCAATAACAAGGAATGAGAGTTTGGTGGAGGTGGTTTTCCAGCAACAAATAAGGGCGTGATTACAAAAAAAGTAGAATAGACTACAGGAGATAATGGAAAAGAAGTCTGAATGTCCACAGCAGGCAGAGGGTCCGGGGGTCAGATTGGAAAGGTAGCGAATACCAATACTGGTCGCTCAGGACGCTCAATGTCTTGGGATCAGCCTTTATGTCTGTTCAGAGTAATAATAATAACAATGATTTACTCTGTGCTAGACATTGTTCCATATACTTTATTCCCATTAACTAATTTTCATATGTGACTAGTACAGTGCTGGGCATAATTGACCTCTCAATAAACATCCACTGACTTGGAGCCACTGTTTAAAGATGCCCAAAGACACAGAGCCCTGAGAGAGCATGACCATCAGAGGTGTGGGAAAACAGTCACTCCTGGAGTATATTATGCTCCTACTGTTTAAAATTTTTGCAGCTTAGTAAGAGGTAGCCCTTGGCCATAATTGCCTCTTGGTACAATTTAGGATGCAGAGGATTTAGAGGAGTTCCCCAGGAAAGGACTGTTCAATAAAATAGTAGCTTACTGAAGTATAGAAATTAGAAGTATTAACCCTGATGGCCCCACAGAGGTGGGTTTATTACAAAGCCTCAGCATCAGGGACCAGCACTTGTACTGTCCCCTTCCAAGACCTTGGAAGGGGCCCCTACAATGTGTCTACATGGCCATGTTTTATAAAATTTGCAAGAAAAGTTTCCTGAAATAAATCACTTGAAACTGAAAGTTGAAAGGGCAAACAATGTGTCTACATTGACACAGAATGGCTATATTCGAGAAAAAAACTTAAGGACTTTTAATAAAAATATGTAAAATGACAGGAAAAAGAAAATAATCTTTGGACATTCATATGAAAAAGTCAAGTCATTTTAAGGGAGAGACACTCAAATTGTAATCAGACTTTTCAACAGCAACAATTCATACCAGAAGGCAACAGAATTACATATTTAAGATACCCAAGGAAAGAAAATGTGAACCAATAATTTTATATCCAGCCAAGCTCTCTTTCAAGGATAAATACGGCCGCAGACAAATTCTCATGAATATGCAAGAACTTAGGGCAATTGTTACCTTGAGCCTTGCTCTAATGGAGAAAGAGTTGTGGGCAACTAAAATGACTGAGGGACATTGGCAAAAGGACTGCTGGCGAGCTTAAATATATAACTCATGGTTATAAGGAGAGAGGTAGCCCAGGTCTCTCACCATATTGATGCTGTACAGCTATCAAAAATGGGAAGCATTTATGAAGAAAAGGATAAGCTCATTGTTGGACTTATTGGTATTAACTGGGAGCAAAATGATATTTCATATTAGAAGCTAGGGAGAAGAATGAGAGTGTAAAGAAGAGACTACTAGCTAATTTTAATATTTTTAAAATAGTAGGCAATCAATAAATAAAAGTCACAAGAGGAGAGACCAAAGTATCATAAAATGGTACTAGCATAAAAGTAACTACTTGTACAAAAATACAAACCTTCCTGAATCCCAAAAGATTAAAAATAAAGAGTAGAAAGATAAAAAAAATAAAAAAGACTATATACTGAGGGCTGGGTGTGGGGGCTCACGCCTACAATCCCAGCAGTTTGGGATGCTGAGGCAGGAGGATCATTTGAGATCAGAAGTTCAAGACCAGACTGGGTAACATGGCAAGACCGTGTCTCTAAAAAAAAGACTATATACTGGAAGACTGTTATGTATATTTAAAAATACATGTAAATGTGTGTGTACATACATACATATATATATACACACACATATATATGTATATACACACATGCATATACATATACACTTTTTTTTTTTTGACATGGAGTCTTGCTCTGTTGCCCAGGTTGGAGTGCAATGGCATGATCTCAGCTCACTGCAAACTCTGCCTCCTGGGTTCAAGCAATTCTCCTGCCTCAGCCTTCCAAGTAGCTGGGATTACAAGCATGTGCCCCCATGCCCAGCTAATTTTTCTATTTTTAATAGAGACGAGGTCTCACCATGTTGGCCAGGCTGGTCTCTAACTCCTGACCTCAAGTGATCCACCCACCTCGGCGTCCCAAAGTGCTGGAATCACAGCATGAGCCACCTCGCCTGGCCCATATATACGTATTTATAGATGGTCCCCAATTTGTAATGGTTCAACTTAAAATTTTTTGACTTTTCTGTGGGTATTCTTTGGTATTAAATGCATTTTCAATTTAACAATATTTTTGACTTATTATAGGTTTATCTGGACATAACTCCATCATAAGTCAAGGAGTATCTGTATATATACTCATAAGCATATAATATAACAGAACTGAGACAAAATATACTGATAATAATAGCAAATGTACCAGGTGTGGTGGCTCATGCCTGTAATCCCAGCACTTTGATAGTCTGAGGCAGGAGGATTACTTGAGGCCGAGAGACCAGCCTGGGCCACATAGTGAGACCCCATCAAGAAAGAAGAAAAATAAAGAAAATGATTGAGAGAGTGAACGAGAGAGAGAGAGAGAGAAAGGGGAAGAACAAGGAGAAGGAGGAGGAGGAGAAGGAGAAGGAGAAAGTCTTACCCTATTAAAAGAAAAAGATTTAGAGTTTTGGCTACCAAACAAAAATTCAGCACAATGCTCTACATAGAAGACACTCCTAAAATGAAGAGATTCAGAGACATTAACAATTAAAGAACAGACAAACTTATACTATGTAAAATAATACATAAATAAAATAAAAAGGATAAAAGTTCAAGGAAGAAAGATTGGTATCTGGTGAGGTAGAATTCAGATCAGAAAGCATTTTAAGAGATAAACATAGTTTATAATCTTCACAATGAAGATACTACAGTTATTAATATTTAGGCATCCAGTAATAAACCTCTGCTTTACTGATAAAGCAGAATCAATGAGAAAGTCAAGAAGAAGTTGTTAAATACATTAATATTAGAATCCACCTCTCTCAATTGCAGGAATATCACATGGACAAAAAAGTTAATGAGAATATGATAGATCTAATTAGCGTGTGTAAGGTAAATCATATATATATATATATATATATATATATATATATATATATATATATATGACACTTTATTTTAAAATACATAAGACATTTAAAAAGTGGATCAAATCATCCCATAAAAAAAGATTTAAATGAATTTAAAGAAACAAATAATACAACTAGCATTCTCTGACCACAATAAACCAGAGAAATCAGCACTAGTTATTGTTTTAATTTGAGTTTGACAAGTACCTTCTAAAAATTATTTAGAACAACAAATGCAGAAGATTTACTAGGAGAACCTGGAAGAAGATGAGCAGCAGGGGTGGGGAGCACAGGCTAAATGTACAATAAAGCCTCTAAAAGTAAAACATTACAACATATCATAAAGCCTCTACAAATAAAATGGTGTGGAATTGGTACATGTCTAGGTAGACTGACCAATGGAACAGAGTAGAAAAACCTGGAAACAGACCTAATTGCATATGGAAATTTAGTACTTGTTGAAGACTGGATTTCAAACCAGAATGGAAACAGCAAGGACACCCCTATCCTTTGGTCAGAGGAAGTTGCAGTCATGGGTGCTCCGGGTTGGAGAGTGTCTTAGTCCATTTTTTGCTGCTATCACAAAATAACTACAGACCTGGTAATTTATAAATACAGATATTTATTTCTTACAATTCTGGAGGTTGAGAAGTCCAAGATCCAGGGCTGGCATCTGGTAAGGGCCTTTGTGCTGTGTCAGTCCATAGCAGAAGGCGAGAGGGCAAGAGAATGTGTGAGGGAGCCAGAAGCTAGAGGGGGCTGAACTCACTTTTACACCCAACCCTTTCTTGTGATAATTAACCTACTCTAGTGATAATGACTTTAATCCTGTTTGTGAGGGCTGAGCCCTCATGACCTAATCACTTCTTGTTAGGCCTCATCTCCCAACACTGTTGCACTGGGGATTAAGTTTCCAACACATGTACTTTGGGCGACACATTTGAACCATAGCAGATGGTGACTCCCCAAAGGTGCATGCTCTTCTCAGAACCTCAGAATGCAAACTTATTTGGAAGTAAGATTCTTGCAGATGTAATTAGTTCAGATGGAGTCATACTGGAGTGGGGTGGGCCCTTAATCCACTATGACTGATATCCTTATAAGAGCAGAAGACACAGAGACATGTAGGGAGAAAGCTGTGGGATGACAGAAGCAGAAACTGGAGTGACGCATCTACAAGCCGAGAATACCAAGGACTGCTGGCAACACCAGAAGCTAAGAGAGAGGCATGAAACAGATTCTCCCCAGGAAACTTTAGAGAGACCATGGCCCTGCCAACAACTTGATTTCAGACTTCAAGCATCCAGAGCTGTGTAAATTTCTGTTATTTTAAGCCATCCAGTACTTGGTTATGGCAGCCCTAGGAAGCAGATACACTGGCATAGAGACTGAGAGGTGTTGGACAAGAGCTAGGATGAAGTGGCCCATGATGACCCTGTGAAAAGGATGGGGTGGGGAGAAAAGGACGGGTTTAAGAAATATCTAGGAGACAGAACTCATGGGACTTAGACTGGGGAAGAGGAAGGAGCCAGGTCTGTAAGTGGGTGACTTGTACATGCTGTCTCTTGAGACTGGAATAGCTATACAGGGTCAATTAGATGTGGGGAGAGGGAAGATGGTTTTTATTGGGGAAATGATGGGTTTGCTTTTGGAACATGGCGAATATATGGGACCAGGGCTTAGGAAAATTCAGACCAGAGATTTTGATTTAGCAATTAGCAACATATGCTACAAATCATTGCATCTAAAACATTTTTGACATCAGTTATTTGGGACACAAACTCTGTGACTCCCAACTGCCCTGTTCCAACTTCTCGGCTGAAGAAACATTTCTAACATCCAGAAAATTTCACTGTTCAAAGACATTCCAAGGGGATTATTTATATAACAACAAAATAATAGAAGTGGCATACTTATCATTATATAATTATCTATAATAACATCTCACAAATCTTAGCAATAGGAGTTTGAAGGGTTCATATTTGTACCATTACACATTGTCCTAAATCTGAGCACTGAAAAATTATGGGCCAAAAATGCTATGGATGCTAATAGGCATCTCATTATATAACAAACCAAATAGCTCACAAGAAATTAAAGTGATAATGATGAAGTCAAACTAATAAAGATTTCTAATTAAAACGGAATAATAGCAGCAAGCCCAAACGACAACAACTCAAGACAACACTGACAATGCATTAATGACAAAGCATTGTCCCTGAAAATTCCAAGTGCTTATTTGCACAGGAAATAGCAGAGAAGCAATACTGTCAAGAAAAATACTGAAGCAGAGCCCTCAGTAAAAGCTGATACGGGGCTGAATTTCATTTAAGAAATCCAAATTTAGAAACACCTTTCATGGGTAACCACTTAAAAAATATAAAAGACTTTGGAGTTGCATGCCATTTGTCTGTTAGAAAAGAAAGTGATTTGTCCAAAAAGATTTGCATATTAGTATTCTCAGCCTATCTCATTCTCCTTCAAAGGGGGAGTCTCTGATACTTTTGTGTTGAGGTTTCTGTTGCATTGATCTGTTTCATTGATCTGTATTGATCTATGTAATGAGTGAAGAAGAGAAGGGAAGAAAACGAGACTGAATTATGTAGGAAAATGGGAGAGATACAGAGAAAAGATAGAGCCCTAAAGCCAAGAGGAGCTGGTGGGTTTTTTTTATGAGGGAGGAAGGAGAAGAAACGTGCAGGAAAAACCTGATAAAAAAGGCAAGAGGCTTTGGAGGGTGTGGCTGCCTTGAGGAGTGGAATTTGAGAGTTTGCTCATCTTATGGAGTGCCAGGCAATGCCATTCTCTTTTTGGCAGAGGCTGGGGAGACTTCATTAACAACTGAAATGGATTTTCAGGTTTTGGGTATTGGTATTGTTTTGTTTTTATTTAATTATTTATTTATTTACTTCTTTATTTATTTAGTGAATTAGTTGAGACACAATCTGACTTTGTCTCCCAGGCGGGAGTGCAGTGGTGCAATCTTGGCTCACTGCAACCTCTGTCTCCCGAGTTCAAGCGATTCTCCTTGCCTCAGCCTCCCAAGTAGCTGGGATTACTGGTGTGCACCACCACGTCTGGCTAATTTTTGTATTTTTAGTAAAGACGGGGTTTCACCATTTTGGTCAGGCTGGTCTCAAACTCCTGACCTCAAATGATCCGCCCACTTTGGCCTCCCAGAATGCTGGGATTACAGGTGTGAACCACCACACCTGGCCTGGTCTTCCATTTCTATTGCCTTTTCACTGGGGTAACAGAAAGAGATTTGACAGCCTGACAGTACAATGTTGAGAAATCTTTCTAAAGATAGAAGTTGGAAGTTAGTAGGGTGATGAGATAGCTTAGGGTGAGGACATGGCATGGAAATCCTCCTTTCATTGGCCCTCAAGGACTGCTGTCTATGGCTTTTCAGAGACTTTTTACCTGTGAAGACCAAGGTTCTCTCCATGGTGTGGATAAAGTAGTTTGCTACATGGCTTCTAGTGTTCTGTGCGGATTTAGATAAGCAAAGCCCATTTGGTATGAAAGCCTCAAGGCTGAGAATTTGTCTCCAGGGCCTCCAGTTCTGCAAGCACCTAGCTTCTCTCTGCTATCCTTTCTCGGTTGGGAGGTGAGAACTGGAACCTTCTTCTTGCAGCCAATGGAAAGCTCAGTGTGTATATGGAATGATGATGGTATTGACTAAGAAGGATATGGCATGGGCAGCAGTTCTAAAATACTCATAAAAGTTATTGAGAACCCAGAAAACCTTTGTTAAGGTGGTTACATCTATTGAGATGTACCACATTAAAACTTATAACTGAGATGTTAAAAAGTTTATTAATTAATTTAAAAATAACAATAACAAAGCCATTGCTGTTCACAAAAATGACGTCCTCATCAAAGATAATTGTATTTTCCAAGAAAAAGAAAGCAAGAAGAGTGGCATTGTTTTACATTTTTGCAAATCTCTCTCTCTCTCTATTTTTATTTAGAGATGGCGAGATGGGGTCTCGCTTTGTAGCCCAGGCTGGTCTTGAACTCCTGGGCTCAAGTGATCCTCCCACCTTAGCCTCCCAAAGTTCTGAGATTACAGTCATGAGCCACTATGCCCAGCTTGCAAATCTCTTTAATGTCTGGCTTAATAGAAGACAGCTACATTTTCATAGCTTCTTCTTCAGGTAATATGTTGTGATATATTTGGTTGAACTATATGAGGAAAATCTGGTTTCACAGAGGTGTGTACTTGGAAAAAGGACTACTATTCTAATAGTCTCTTCAGATAAGTATGAATATTCTCCTTTTATACTATATTAAAACTGGACAGTAGATTCCTGGGCAAGATGGCCGAATAGGAACAGCTCCAGTCTGCAGCTCCCAGTGAGACCAATATACAAGGCAGGTGATTTCTGCACTGAGGACCTGGTTCATCTCACTGGGACTGATTAGACAGTGGGTGCAGCCCATGGAGGGCAAGCAGAACCAGGGTGGGGTGTCGCCTTACCTGAGAAGTGCAAGGGGTTGGGGAACTCCCTCCTCTAGCCAAGGGAAGCCATGAGGTACTGTGCTGTGAGGGATGGTGCTATCCAGCCCAGATAGTATGCTTTTCCCATGGTCTTCACAACCCAAAGACCAGGAGATTCCCTCGGGTGCCTACACCACCAGGACCCTGGGTTTCAAGCACAAAACTGGGTGGCCATTTGGGCAGACACAGAGCTAGCTGCAGGAGTTTTTTGTACCCCAGTGGCACCTGGGATGCCAGTGAGACAGAACCATTCACTCCCCTGAAAAGGGGGCTGAAGCCAGGGAGCTGAGTGGTCTTGTTCAGTGGATCCCACCCCTATGATGCGCAGCAAGCTAAGATCCACTGTCTTGAAATTCTCGCTGCCAGCACAGCAGTCTGAAGTCAACCTGGGATGCTCGAGCCTGGTGGGGGGAGGGGCGTCCACCATTACTGAGGCTTGAGTAGGCGGTTTTCCCCTCACAGTGTAAACAAAGCTGCCAGGAAATTCGGACTGGGTGGAGCCCACTGCAGCTCAGCAAAGCTGCTGTAGCCAGACTACCTCTCTACATTCCTCCTCTCTGGGCAGGGCATCTCTGAAAGAAAGGAAGCAGCCCCAGTCAGGGGCTTATAGATAAAACTCCCATCTCCCTGGGACAGAGGACCTGGGGGAAGGGGTGGCTGTGGGCGCAGCTTCAGCAGACTTAAATGTTCCTGCCTGACGGCTCTGAAAAGAGTAGTGGGTCTCCCAGCACAATGCTCAAGCTCTGCTAAGGGACAGGCTGCCTTCTCAAGTGGGTCCCTGATGCCCATGCCTCCTGATGGAGAGACACCTCCCAGCAGGGGTTGACAGACACCTCATATAGGAGAGCTCCAGCTGGCATCTGGCAGGTGCCCCTCTGGGATGAAACTCCCAGAGGAAGGAGCAGGCAGCAATCTTTGCTGTTCTGCAGCCTCCGCTGGTGATACCCAGGCAATCAGGGTCTGGAGTGGTCCTCCAGCAAACTCCAGCAGAGCTGCAGAAGAGGTGCCTGACTGTTAAAGGGAAAACTAACAAACAGAAAGCAATAGCATCAACATCAACACAAAGGACGACCACACAAAAACCCCATTCAAAGGTCACCAACATCAAAGATCAAAGGTAGATAAATCCACGAAGATGAGGAAAAACTAGTGCAAAAAGGCTGAGAATTTCAAAAACCAGAAGGCCTCTTCTCCTCCAAAGGATCACAACTCCTCGTCAGTAAGGGAACAAAACTGGATGGAGAATGAGTTTGATGAATTGACAGAAGTAGGCTTCAGAAGGTGAGTAATAACAAACTCCTCTGAGCTAAAGAAGCATGTTCTAACCCAATGCAAGGAAGCTAAGAACCTTGATAAGGGGTTACTGGAACTGCTAACTAGAATAACCAGTTTAGAGAAGAACATAAATGACCTCATGGAGCTGAAAAACACAGCACGAGAACTTCATGAAGCATAGGCAAGTATCAATAGCTGAATCGATTAAGTGGAAGAAAGGATATCAGAGACTGAATATCAACTTAATGAAATAAAGTATGAAGACAAGATTAGAAGAAAAGAAATGAACAGAGTCTCCAAGAAATATGAGACTGTGGGAAAAGGCCAAACCTACATTTGATTGGTGTACCTGAAAGTGACAGGGAGAGTGGAACCAAGTTGGAAAACACATTTCAGGATATTATCCAGGAGAACTTCCCCAACCTCACAAGACAGGCCAACGTTCAAATTCAGGAAATACAGAGAACACCACAAAGATACTCCTCGAGAAGAACAACCCTGAAACACATAATTGTCAGATTCACCAAGGATGAAATGCAGGAAAATATGTTAAAGGCAGCCAGAGAGAAAGGTTGGGTTACCCACAAAGGGAAGATCCCAAAGAATAACAGCAGATCTCTCTACAGAAACCATACAAGCCAGAAGAGAGTGGGGACCAATATTCAACATTCTTAAAGAAAAGAATTTTCAACTCGTAATTTCATATCCAGCCAAACTAAGCTTCATAAGTGAAGGAGAAATAAAATCCTTTACAGACAAGCAAATGCTGAGGGATGCTGTCACCACCAGGCCTGCCTTACAAGAGCTCCTGAAGGAAGCACTAAATATGGAAAGGAAAAACCAGTACCAGCCACTGCAAAAACATACCAAAATGTAAAGACCACCAACACTATGAGGAAACTGCATTAACTAATGGGCAAAATAACCAGCTAGCATCATAATGACAGGATCAAATTCACATATAACAATATTAACCTAAAATGTAAATAAGCTAAATGCTCCAATTAAAAGACACAGACTGGCAAATTGGATAAAGAGTCAAGACCCGTTGGTGTGCTGTATTCAGGAGAATACGTGCATCTCACGTGCAAAGACACACATAGCCTCAAAACAAAGAGATGGAGGAAGATTTACCAAGTAAATGGAAAGCCAAAAAAAAAAAAAAAAAAAAAAAGCAGGGGTTGCAATCCTAGTCTTTGATAAAGCAGACTTTAAACCAACAAAGATAGAAAAAAAAAAAGACAAAGAAGGGCATTACATAATGGTAAAGGAATAATGCAACAAGAAGAGCTAACTCTCCTAAATATTCATGCACCCAATACAGGAGCACCCAGATCCATAAAGCAAATTCTTAGAGACCTAAAAAGAGACTTAGACTCTCACACAATAATAATGGGAGACTTTAACACCCCAGTGTCAATATTAGACAGATCAATGAGAGAGAAAATTAACAAGGATATTCAGGACTTTAACTCAGCTCTGCACCAAGCAGACCTATTAGACATCTACAGAACTCTCGACCCCCTATCAACAGAATATACATTCTTCTCAGCACCACATAGCACTTATTCTAAAATTGACCACATAATTGGAAGTTAAACACTCCTCAGCAAATGCAAAAGAATGGAAATTATAACAAATAGTCTCTCAGACCACAGTGCAATCAAATTAGAACTCAGGGTTAAGAAACTCTCTCAAAACCACACAACTACATGGAAACTGAACAACCTGCTCCTGAATGACTAGTGGGTAAATAACAAAATTAAGACAGAAATAAATAAGTTCTTTGAAACCAATGAAAACAAAGACACAATGTACCAGAATCTCTGGGACACAGCTAAAGCAGTGTTTAGAGGGATATTGATAGCACTAAATCCCACATGAGAAAGCCGGAAAGATCTAAAATCAACACGCTAACATCACAGTGAAAAGAACTAGAGGAGCAAGAGCAAACAAATTCAAAAGCTGGTAGAAGACAATGAATAACTAAGATCAGAGCAGAACTGAAGGAGAAAGAGACATGAAAAATCCTCCAAAAAATCAATGAATCCAGGAGCAGGTTTTTTGAAAAGATTAACCTAATAGACCACTAGCCAGACTAATAAAGAAGAAAAGAGAGAAGAATCAAATAGACATAATAAAAAATGATAAAGGGGATATCAACACTGATCCCACAGAAATACAAACTACCATCAGAGAATACTATAAACACCTCTATGCAAATAAGCTAGAAAACCTAGAAGAAATGGATACATTCCTGGACACATACACCCTCCCAAGACTAAACCAGGAAGAAGTCAAATCCCTGAAGGGACCAATAACAAGTACTGAAATTGAGGCAGTAATTAACAGCCTACCAACCAAGAAAAGCCCAGGACCAGACAGATTCACAGCTGAATTCTACTAGAGGTACAAAGAGGAGCTGGTACCATTCCTTCTAAAACTATTCCAAACAATAGAAAAAGAGAGACTCCTCCCTAACTCATTTTATGAGACCAGCATCATCCTGACACAAAAACCTGGCAGAGACACAACAAAAAAAGAAAATTTCAGGCCAATATCCCAGATGAACATCGATGCGAAAATCCTCAATAAAATACTGGCAAACCGAATCCAGCAGCACATTAAAAAGCTTATCCACCACGATCAAGTCAGCTTCATCCCTGGGATGCAAGGCTTGTCAACATATGCAAATCAATAAACATAATCCATCACATAAACAGAACCAATGACAAAAACCACAGGATTATCTCAATAGATGCAGAAAAGGCCTTCAATAAAATTCAACACTCCTTCATGCTAAAAGCACTCAATAAACTAGGTATTGGAACGTATCTCAAAATAATATGACTTATTTATGACAAACCAACAGCCAATATCATACCGAATGGGCAAATGCTGGAAGCATTCTCTTTGAGAAACTACACAAGACAAGGATGCCCTTTCTCACCACTCCTATTCAATATAGCATTGGAAGTTCTGGCCAGGGCAATCAGGCAACAGAAAGAAATAAAGGATATTCAAATAGGAAGAGAGGAAGTCAAGTTATATCTGTTTGCAGATGATATTATTGTATATTTAGAAAAGCTCATTGTCTTAGCCCAAAAACTCTTTAAGCTGATAAGCAACTTCAGCAAAGTCTCAGGATACTAAATCAATGTGGAAAAATCACAAGCATTCCTATACACCAATAATAAACAGAGAGCCAAATCATGAGTGAACTCCCATTCACAATTGCTACAAAGAGAATAAAATACCTAGGAATCCAGCTTAAAACGGATGTGAAGGACCTCTTCAAGGAGAACTACAAACCACTGCTCAAGGAAATAAGAGAGGACACAAATGGAAAAACATTCCATGCTCATGGATAGGAAGAATCACTATCGTGAAAATGGCCATACTGCCCAAAATAATTTATAGATTCAATGCTATTCCCATCAAGCTACCATTGACTTTCTTCACAGAATTAGAGAAAACCACTTTAAATTTCATATGGAACCAAAAAAGAGCCCGTATAGTCAAGGCAATCCTAAGCAAAAAGAACAAAGCTGGAGTCATCACGCTATCTAACTTCAAACTGTACTACAAGGCTACAGTAACCAAAACAGATAGGTAGACCAATGGAACAGAACAGAGGCCTCAGAAAGAACACCACACATCTACAACCATCTGATCTTTGACAAACCTGACAAAAACAAGCAATGGGGAAAGGATTCCCGATTTAATAAATGGTGTTGGGAAAACTGGCTAGCCATATGCAGAAAATTGGACCTCTTCCTTAGACATCTTATACAAAAATTAAGATGGATAAAGATTTAAATATAAGACTTAAAACCATAAAAGCCCTAGAAGAAAACCTAGGCAATACCATTCAGGACATAGGCATGGGCAAAGACTTCATGACTAAAACATCAAAAGCAATTGCAACAAAAGCCAAAATTGACAAATGGGATCTAATTAAACTAAAGAGCTTCTGCACAGCAGAAGAAACTATCATCAGAGTGAACAGGTAACCTACAGAATGGGAGAAAATTTTTGCAATGTATCCATCTGACAAAGAGCTAATATCCAGAATCTACAAGGAACTTAAACAAATTTACAAGAAAAAAACAACTCCATCAAAAAGTGGGCAAAGGATATGAACAGACACTTTTCAAAAGAAGACATTTATGTGGCCAAAAAACATACGAAAAAATGCTCATCATTACATTTAGAGAAATTTAGGTCATTAGAGAAATGCAAATCAAAACCACAATGAGATATCATTTCACACAAGTTAGAATGGCAATCATTAAAAAGTCAGGAAACAACAGATGCTGGAGAAGATTTGGAGAAATAGGAACGCTTTTACACTGTTGGTGGGAATGTAAATTAGTTCAACCACTGTGGAAGACAGTGTGGCAATTCCTCAAGGATCTAGAACTAGAAATACCATTTGACCCAGCAATCCCATTACTGGGTATATACCCAAAGGATTATAAATCATTCTACTATAAAGACACATGCACATGTATGTTTACTGCAACACTGTTCACAATAGCAAAGACTTGGAACCAACCCAAATGTCCATCAGTGATAGACTGGATAAAGAAAATGTGGCACATATACACCATGGAATACTATGCAGCCATAAAAAAGAATGAGTTCATGGCCTTTGTAGGGACATGGATGAAGCTGGAAACCATCATTTTCAGCAAACTAACACAGGAACAGAAAAGCAAACACTGCACGTTCTCACTTTTAAGTGGGAGTTGAATCATGAGAACATATGGGCACAGGGAGGGGAACATCACACACTGGAGCCTGTCAGGAGGTTGAGGGCAAGAGGAGGGATAGCATTAGGAGAAATACCTAATGTAGGTGACGGGTTGATGGGTGCAGCAAACCACCATGGCACATGTATACCTATGTAACAAACCTGCACATTCTGCACATGTATCCCAGAACTTAAAGTATAGTAAAAAAAAAAAAAAAATTTTTAATTAAAAAAAAAACTTGAAAGTAATAGTTTCCCAAAAGTTAGATACAATGTGGAATAAAGAATGATATTGATGAACTTATTATTCTTGGCTATATTAAAAACAATTTTTCTATCTTGTATTTTGAATAGGCCTTTTACCAATGCATGGTTTTGTAACATCATGAACTAACCAGTTGGAAGATACTAGTTTCCTAAGTTAGGCAGCTCTTCCAAATGTTGATGCATTTCGTTAGACACAATCACCAACTACATTTGTTAATATCAGCCCTGATCACATTAGGAAGTATTTAAATATTAGAAGGCTGTACAGCTCACGGTAGCATATGCAAACTTTCCAAAATCTAATTTTTACTTGAAAGCTTGAATTTTATCATTGACAATGCATAATATCAGTTATTTTCCTTGAAGTGACACACTTACCTCATTCACTCTGGAGGAAGTTCCCATCGTTTACCAGTCTGAATAACCATAGTTTGTCAGATTCTTTCAAATAGAAGCAGTGTTCTATGAAAAAATGGCTAGTTCAGTGTACAACTCAAATAATTGCACAAGATATTTTATTCAAGACAACTATGGTACTATGGCAGGCAGTAGAAATATTTTACATGTAGTTCTCAATTTTGTCACAATGGGTATTAAAAGGTGTGATTTTATTGGTAGAGACAAAATAAAATTCATGATTTTTACTTCATCAAGAAACTTCTTGAGTGAAACTGGCTTTTTTCCCTTTCTGTGAGTGCAGGGTGGTGAAGAACACAATGATGAGTAGCACAGTTGGATGTGATACCATGGCTTTCCGTGGTCGCTAAGGCACCTGCAGTTTTACCCACCACCATTTTACACCATCAGTGCAAATGTCAGCATGGAGAAAGTCAAATTGCATCGTGGCAGCACCATGAAATTGTTTGGATCTTGCCGACTCTCTGAAAGAATCTCAGGGATATCCAGGGTCTACAAAGACCCACTTGCTGAACTTCTGGCACAGTTGAACTTCATTACTCACAGATTCAATATTTGCAAATTCACCAAAATCAATACTCATGTGCTTTTGTGGTCACTTGCAGAAAAATGTATGCAGAGTTGCTTAAATCTGAGACACCTGACATGCGTGTTTTCAGCTGAGGTCAAGCAAGGCGATGCTCTGCCTTCTTGTTTCAGCTGTCATCTGTAAACAAGTGACTTTTCCACGGTTTATCTAGTGCCATGTTTTTCACACCTTTGTGTTTTTTTGGTGATTTTACTGTTTAAAATGGCCCCGAAGCAGAGTGCCAACAGTGCTGGTGAGTGTTCTTAAGCACAAGAAGCTGTGCTGTGCCTCACAGAGAGAATATGTTATTAGATAAGCTTTTACAGGCTTGAGTTGGCTGAGTTTAATGTTACTGAATCAACAATATGTAATAAATAAGGCGTCTTTAAATAGAAGTGCACTGAAAACAAGGTTTTATATATATATATACAAATTATTTTTTATTTTTTATTTTTGTGACAGTCTCACTCTGTTGCCCAGGCTGGAGTGCAGTGGTAAAATCTTGGCTCTCTGCAACCTCTGTCTCCCAGATTCAAGAGATTCTCCTGCCTCAGCCTCTTGAGTAGCTGGGATTACAGGCACCTGCCACCACTCCCGGCAATTTTTGTATTTTTAGTACAGATGGGGTTTCATCATGTTGGCCAGGCTGGTCTTGAACTCCTGACCTCAACTGATCTGCCCGCCTCAGCCTCTCAAAGTGCTGGGATTACAGGCATGAGCCACCACACCCGGCCAAAACAAGGTTATATATTGATCAGTTGATGAACATATTGTGACCCCAGGCTTGCAGCTACCTAACCCTGTATTTCCCCTGTGGGTGATGATTCAGTGTTTTAATTTGCTAATTCAGTGTTTGTGGTGACTTTATAAACCATAACCACCTTGGATAATGAGAATCAACCATAAAAGGGGAAATGGCCCACATTGAACATCACTTCATTAGCTAGGATGGGCTAAGCTATGCTGCAGTAACAACATTCCCTTCTCAGTGCCTCAGGGTAGTAAAGATTTGGTTTCTTGCTCATGTTTCCTGTTCCTTTTGGGCACCTGGGGCTCTTGTCCTTACTTCCTTTCCTCTGGAATATGGGCTGACCGAGCCCCTACCAACAGTGACATTGCTGGCCATGATGGTAACTGAAGGACATGTAGATCACAGGTACTGAAAGAATTATTCTGGAAGGAGCATAATTTCTGCCCACTTTTTGTTGCCCAAAGTCAATCCCACAGCCACAGTGAGTTTCTGTAGGGCAGTCAAGGGCAATTGCACCACATATCCAGGAGAAGGGGTAGATATTTACCCAATGTTGGGTAAATGGCACTAATGACCATCACATTCATTACATGCCATGGACTCCAGCATGCCATCAGTTGAAGATACGTCACTATTTTATACACTGTCAAATATAAATAAAGCTGGACCTGAGTTAAAGTGGTAAAGACAGGTTTTAATCAGTAATAACTATGGCAATAGGAAAATGAGTCCAGTGTGAACTGAAATCCAACATGTACAACTTGGATTTGTACAGAGGTGACTGGGAGTTTTAAAGGGAGAATGAGGGAGTGGGGAAGGGGTGAGTGGGGGCTCAGTGGAGTCAAGGAAGTGGAAGTACAAAGGTTCAGTTGGTGTAAATGCAACCAGGCCAGCTGTGTCTGCTGGCTGGCAATTATGGACGTGACAATGCGATCCTTCCATGGAGACTGGGAGACAGAGGCCCTATCCTCAGCTGATGGCTGGAACAAACAGAAAATTGGGGGGGCAGCTTTGAGTTTTCTCAGGCAGGAACTTTAAAGGGGGATAGGGTCATTTTAGGGATGTAAGCTTGAGTTGTTGGAAACTATGTTAGTGTTTTCCAGTCTTCATGGGCTCAGGTTGAGGCCTCATTGAAAAGGGTGCTCAGAGGAACCTGGCTAGGGTTTCATCATGGAGAGAATCTTTGCCTGTGCCAAAAAGAAAGAAGAATGCTGCTAATTAAACTATGACATGCTATCCATTATCAGACTCATCCTGATTTCAAGGGAGTTAAAATATAAAAATACTGAAACTTAAAATTGAGGAAATATGAAAGATGCTGGAGGAAAGCATCGTATTTGAGTATGAAAAGTAATAATTATAATAACTCATGTTCACAGCTGTTAATAATTCTTATTACCTCAGCATAGAATAGTTATTATGCCTATAAGTAACTGTATGTTAGAGCAAACCCATTGGTATGTTATTCCTTTAACTTTTTATTTTGAAGTAATTACAGGTTCACAATTAATTGCAAAAACATGAATGGGGGAACTTTCATGTACAGTTAAACCAGTATCCACTAATGAAAATTCAAATACAATATTACAACCAGAGAGTTAATATTGGTATAATTCAGATCATACCATATTAACAATTATTGGTACTATTATTAGAATAATATTACAATTATTATTCAGATTTCACCAGTTTTATACACACTCATTTGTGTGTGTGTTTCTGTGCTTTTTTTTTTTTTTTTTTTTTTTTTTGAGATAGGGTCTTGCTTTGTTGCTCAGGCTGGAGTGCAATGGTACCATCTCGGCTTACTGCAACCTCTGCCTCCTGGGCTCAAGCAATCCTCCCACCTCAGCCTCCCAAGTAGCTGGGACCACAGACACATGCCACCACGCCCAGCTAAGTTTCTGTATTTTTGGTAGAGACAGGGTTTCACCAAGTTGCCCAGGCTGGTCTTGAATCCCTGAGCTCAAGTGACCTGCCTGCCTCAGCCTCCCAAAGTGCAGGGATTGCAGGTGTGAGCCACTGTACCTGGCCTCTATACAATTTATTAATGTATAGATTGGTGTAGCTACCACCCCAGTTAAGATGCAAACCATTATATGTTTTCGTGGCACTAACAATAAATTTTATACACGTGAGTTCAGTGTTCAAATAGATGACTCCTATAGAACAGCTGCTATTTGCAACTTAAGATTGGTGGGCACATAGTTGATGACCTTGACTCTTTGAAATGCTCTGGATTAACTTGAGCAAGTAGGGTTGTCTAAAATATGAAATTCTCCTCTGAAAAGTAATTTGTGAGAGTCTTCTAAAAAGAGCTATTGAGGTCTCTTAATTTTAGAATGAGATGTGGAAAGCGGTGGGAAAACTGGGAAAGGAAAAATAAAGAACATGCATAATGGTTCATATCACGTTCTTCAGACTTTTAGACCTCATCTTTAGAGGCATGACTTTATTATACACGTCTGTGATTTTAAAGTGCCCGTTATCTTCCATAGTCTCATCAAGTTGCTTAAAGAATAGAAAACAGGAATCATCAGCCGGGTGTGGTAGCTCACACCTGTAATCCCAGCACTTTGGAGGCTGAGGTGGATGGATCACAAGGTCGGAAGTTTGAGACCAGCCTGGCCAACATGGTGAAACCTCATCTCTACTAAAAATATATAAATTAGCTGGGCGTGGCAGTACTCACCTGTAATCCCAGCTACTTGGGAGGATGAGGCAGGAGAATCTCTTGAACCCAGGAGGTTGCAGTGAGCCGAGATCACACCATTGCTCTCCAGGGCTGGGCGACAGAGTGAGACTCCGTTTCAAAAAAAAAAAAAAATGAAAAAGAAAACAGGGATCATCATGGTGGACGGGAGGCAGGACTAGACTGCAGCTCTGGACAGAGCAGCGTGTGAAGGCTCGCATTGTGAATTTTAGCTCCAGATCGACTGCAAGAAGAACTCAGCAATCCCGAGAGGACCCACAGACCCTCTAAAGGAAGCAGACTGCTCCTGTAGGACTTGGGAGACACCCCAAATACTGTGACTACTTCAACTGAGGAAATGGGAAAGGGAGACCCTCCTCTTCTGAACACACACCCCTGCTGGAGAAGCTGAAGGTCTGTTTGCAGAAGTTTCCTACTTACCTGGAGCTGAGTCAGTTTAGAGAGCCGAGTGAAATACAGGGGTAGAGGAAGCAGCAGAAAGGCCCTAGGAGCTTGCTGGGTCCCCAAGCAGGTCATTCCTGCTGGCACCACAGGGTTCCATCAGGAGGGTGGCCAGAGGAGCAGGGAGCAAAACTTCACAGGGAGAAGGAAGGCTCTAGCTGAACTTTGTAACAATTTGAATAGGGTGAGAAGCCTCCTGGCCAGAACTTGGGGGAGGGTACAAACCCAGTGTGCAGACTCCACAGAAGGGGAAGAACCAAGCCCTTTTCTTTCACAGCTGGGAGTTGGGTAGCCTGGGGCAAGTTTTCAAGCCCCTCTCGCCCACCACCTGGAAACAGACTAGGGGTTGTTGGGGACTCGGGGGCACAGTGGGAGTGAGACCGGCCCTTCGGTTTGCATGGGAGCTGGGTGAGGACAGTGACTGCTGGCTTTTCCCCACTTCCCTGACAACCTGCATGACTCAGCAGAGGCAGCCATAATCCTCCTAGGTACACAACTCCAGTGACCTGGGAATTTCACCCCCATCCCCTACAGCAGCTGCAGCAAGACCCGCCCAAGGAGAGTCTGAGCTCAGACATGCCTACCCCGCCCCCACCTGATGGTCCTTCACTACCCACCCTGGTAGCTGAAGACAAAGGACATATAATGTTGGGAGTTCTAGGGCCCTGTCCACTGCTGATCCCTTTCCACACTACTACAGCTGATGCTTTCTAGAAAGTGCCACCTCCTATCAGGAGGCCAACTAGCACAAAAACTGAGCATTAAACCACCAAAGCTAAGAACCCTCACGGAGTTCATTGCGCCGCCCGCCCCCCCCCGACCCCCGACATTGCCAAATCCACTGAAACAGGCAGTGGTATGGCTGAGAGACACATAAACGGTTCATACTACAGGATTCTGTGCAGACAACCCCCAGTACCAGCCCGGAGCCGGATAGACCTGCTGAGTGGCTAGACCCAGAAGACAGATAACAATCACTGTAGCTCAGTTCACTGGAAGCCACATCCATAGGAAAAGGGGAAGAGTACTACATCAAAGGAATACCTTATAGGACAAAAGAATCTGAACAGCAGCCTTCAGCCCTAGACCTTCCCTCTGACAGAGGCTACCCACGTGAGAAAGAACCAGAAAACCAATCCTGGTAATATGCAAAATGAGGCTCTTCAACACCCTCCAAAATCACACTAGTTCACCTGCAATGGATCCAAACCAAAAAGAAATCCCTGATTTACCTGAAAAAGAATTCAGGAGGTTAGTTATTAAGCTAATCAGGGAGGCACCAGAGGAAGGTGAAGCCCAATGCAAGGAAACCCAAGAAACGATACAAGAAGTGAAAGGAGAAACATTCAAGGAAATAGATGGCTTACAGAAAAAATAAAAAATTCAGGAAACTTTGGACACACTTTTAGAAATGTAAAATGCTCTGGAAAGTCTCAGCAATAGAAATGAACAAGTAGAAGAAAGAAATTCAGAGCTTGAAGACAAGGTCTTTGAATTAATCCAACAAAGACAAAAAAAAAAAAAAAAGAGAAAATATGAACGAAGTCTCCAAGAAGTCTGGGATCATGTTAAGCGACCAAACCTAAGACTAATTGGCGTTCCTGAGGAAGAAGATAATTCTGAAAGTTTGGAAAACATATCTGGGGGAATAATCGAGGAAAACTTCCCTGGCCTTGCTAGAGACCTAGACATCCAAATACAAGAAGCACAAAGAACACCTGGGAAATTCATCACAAAAAGATCATCAGCTAGGCACATTGTCATCAAGTTATCCAAAGTTAAGACAAAGGCAAGAATCTGAAGAGCTGTGAGACAGAAGCACCAGGTAACCTATAAAGGAAAATTTATCAGATTAACGGCAGATTTCTCAGCAGAAACCCTACAAGCTAGAAGAGACTGGGGCTGTATCTTCAGCCTCCTCATACAAAACAATTAACAGCCCAGGATTTTGTATCCAGTGAAACTAAGCATCATATATGAAGGAAAGATACAGTCTTTTTCAAACAAACAAATGCTGAGAAAATTCGCCACTACAAAATCACTACTACAAGAACTGCTAAAAGGAGCTCTAAATCTTGAAAAAAATCCTGGAGACACATCAAAACAGAACCTCTTTAAAGCATAAATCTCACAGGACCTATAAAACAAAAATACAAGTTAAAAAGCAAAAACAAAACAAAAACACCAAAGCATATAGGCAACAAAGAGCATGATGAATGCAATTGTACCTCCCATTTCAATACTAACATTGGATGTAAATGGCCTAAATGCTCCATTAGAAGATGCAGAACCACTGAATGGGTAAGAACTCACCAACCAACCATTTGCTACTTTCAGGAGACTCACCTAACACATAATGACTCACATAAACTCACATAAAGTAAAGGGGTGGAAAAAGCCATTCCATGCAAATGGACACCAAAAGCAAGCAGGGGGAGCTATTCTTATATCAGACAAAACAAACTTTAAAGCAACAGCAGTTAAAAGAGACAAAGAGGGACATTATATAATGGTAAAAGGCCTTGTCCAACAGGAAAATATCACAGTCCTAAACATATATGCACCTAACACTGGAGCTCCCAAATTTATAAAACAATGACTAATAGACCTAAGAAATGAGAGACAGCAACACAATAATAGTGGAGGACTTCAATACTCCACTGACAGCACTAGACAGACCATCAAGACAGAAAGTCAACAAAGAAACAATGGATTTAAACTATACCTTGGAACAAGTAGACTTAACAGATATATACAGAACATTTCATCCAACAACTGCAGAATACACATTCTATTCAACAGCACATGGAACTTTCTCCAAGATATACCATATTATAGGCCATAAAATGAGCCTCAATAAATTTAAGAAAATTGAAATTATATTAAGCACTCTCTCAGACCACAGTGGAATAAAACTGGAAATCAACTCCAAAAGGAACCTTCAAAACCATGCAAATACATGGAAATTAAATAACTTGCTCTTCAATGAGTATTGGGTCAAAAACGAAGTCAAGGTGGAAATTAAAAAATTCTTCAAACTGAATGACAATAATGACAACCTACCAAAACCTTTGGGATACAGCAGAGGCAGTGCTAAGAGGAAAGTTCATAGCACTAAATGCCTACATCAAAAAGACTGAAAGAGCACAAACTGACATTCTAAGGTCGCACCCCAAGGAACTAGAGAACTAAGAACAAACCAAACCCAAACCCAGGAGAAGAAAGGAAATAACCAAGATCAAAACATAACTAAGTGAAATTGAAACAAAAAAAATTACAAAAGATAAATTAAACAAAAAGCTTGTGCTTTGAAAAGATAAATAAAATTGTTAGCCCATTAGCAAGATTAAGCAAGAAAAGAAGAGAGAAAATCCAAATAACCTCAATAAGAAACAGGAGATATTACAACTGAAAGCACTGAAATACAAAAGATTATTCAAGGATACTGTGAACACCTTTATGTACATAAACTAGAAAACCTAGAAGGGATGTATAAATTTCTGGAAAAATACAACCCTCCTAGCTTAAATCAGGAATTAGATAACCTGAACAGACAATAACAAGAAGTGAGATTGAAATGGTAATTAAAAAATTACTAAGAAGAAGTCCAGGACCAGACAGATTCACAGCAGAATTCTACCAGACATTCAAAGAAGAATTGGTACCAATCCTTTTGACAATATTCCACCAGGTAGAGAAAGAAGGAACCCTCCCTAACTCATTATCTGAAGCCAACATCACCCTAATACCAAAACCAGGAAAGGACATAACCAAAAAAGAAAACTACAGACTGATATCCTTGGTGAACATAGATGCTAAAATCCTTGACAAAATACTAGCTAACTGAATCCAACAACATATCAAAAAGATAATCCACCATGATCAAGTGGGTTTCAAGCCAGGGATGCAGGGATGGTTTAACATATGCAAGTCAGTAAATGTGGTACACCACATAAACAGAATTAAAAACAAAAATTACATGATTATCTCAATAGATGAAGAAAAAGCACTTGACAAAAACCTGAATCCATTTATGATGAAAACTCTCAGCAAAATCGGCATACAAGGGACATACCTTAATGTAATAAAAGCCATCTGTGACAAACCCACAGCCAACATAATACTGAACGGGGAAGAGTTGAAAGCATTTTCTTTGAAAACTGGAACAAGACAAGGATGACCACTCTCACCACTCCTCTTTAACACAGTACTGGAAGTCATAGCCAGAGCAGTCAGACAAGAGAAATAAATAAAGGGCATCCAAATAGGTAAAGAGGAAGTCAAACTGTCACTCTCTGCTGATGATATGATCATTTACCTTGAAAACCCTAAAGACTCCTCCAGAAAGCTCCTAGAACTGATAAAAGAATTCAGCAAAGTTTCTGGATATAAGATTAACATACACAAATTAATAGCTCTTCTGTACACCAACAGTGACCAAGTGGAGAATCTAATCAAGAACACAACCCCTTTTACAATAGCTGCAAAAATAAATAAATAAATAAATAAATAAATACTTAGTAATATACCTAACGAAGTAGTCAAAAGACCTCTACAAAGAAAACTGCAAAACACTGATGAAAAAAATCATAGATGACACAAACAAATGGAAACACATCCCACGCTCATGGATGGGTAGAATCAATATTGTGAAAATACCATACTGCCAAAAGCAATCTACAAATTCAGTACAATCCCCATCAAAATATCACCATCATCTTCACAGAATTAGAAAAAACAATTCTAAATTCATGTGGAACCAAAAAAGAGCCTGCATAGCCAAAGCAAGACTAAGCAAAAAGAACAAATCTGGAGGCATCACACTACCTGATTTCAAACTGTACTATAAGGTCATAGTCACCAAAACAGCATGGTACTTGTATAAAAATAGGCACATAGACCAATGGAACAGAATAGGGAACCCCAAAATCAGCTCAAATACTTATAGCCAACTGATCTTTGACAAAGCAAACAAAAACATAAAGTGGGGAAAGGACACCATTTTCAACAAATGGTGCTGGGATAATTGGCTAGCCACATGTAGGAGAATGAAACTGGATCCTCATACAAAAATCAACTCAAGATGGATTAAGGACTTAAACCTATGACCTGAAACTGTAAAAATTCTAAAGATAACATTGGAAAAACCCTTCTAGACATTGGCTTAAGCAAGGATTTCATGATCAGGAACCCAAAAGCAAAAGCAATAAAAACAAAGATAAATAGCTGGGACCTAATTAAACTAAAGAACTTTTGCACAGCAAAAGGAACAGTCAGCAGAGTAAACAGACAACCCACAGAGTGGGGGAAAATCTTCTCAGTAAGAAAAAAAAAATCCCATCCAAAAGTGGACTAAGGACATGAAGAGACAATTCTCAAAAGAAGATGTAGAAATGGCCAACAAACATGAAAAAATGCCCAACATCACTAATGATCAGGGAAATGCAAATCAAAACCATCAGGCGACACTGCCTTACTCCTGCAAGAATGGCCATAATCAAAAAATAAAAAAAACAGCGGATGTTGGCATAGATGCGGTGATCAGGGAACACTTCTACACTGCCGGTGGGAATGTAAACTAGTACAGCTACTATGGAAAACAGTGTGGAGATTCCTTAAAGAGCTACCCTTTAATCCAGGAATGCCACTACTGGGTATCTACCCAGAAGAAAAGAAGTCATTATACGAAAAAGATACTTGCACACACATGTTTATAGCAGCCCAATTCACAATTGTAAAATCGTGGAACCAACCGAAATGCCCATCAATCAACAAATGGATAAAGAAACTGTATGTATGTATGTGTGTGTGTATATATATATATATATATGATGGAATACTACTCAGCCATAAAAAGGGACAAATTAACAGCATTTGCAGTGACCTGGATGAGATTGGAGACTATTATTCTAAGTGAAGTAATTCAGGAATGGAGAACCAAACATTGTATGTTCTCACTGATATGTGGGAGCTGAGCTATGAGGACGCAAAGGTATAGGAATGATACAATGGACTTTGGGGACCTGGGGGGAAGAGTGAGGGGGGGTGAGGGATAAAATAATACAAATGTGGTGCAGTGTGTACTACTTGGGTGATAGGTGGACCAAAATCTCACAAATCACCACTAAAGAACTTACTCATGTAACCAAGTATACCACCTGTGCCCCAATAACTTATGGAAAAATAAAACAATAATAATAATGATAAATTCTACAAAAAAGGAATAGAACACAGGGCACTGAATTGCAGCCCACTCTCAGCCACACTTGCCACTTGACAACCACCTGTTCTCTGCTAGACCCTGCCATGAGCCATTACGCAGATTGTCTTGTTTGTTTGGATAATGACCTCTTGAGGTAGGATTTCTTCCCTCCCATTTCACAGATGAAGAAACGGATTTGCAGACTGTAGAATGTAAATTACTTGTCCTCTGTCACTCAACCAGCAAGTGGCTGAGCTGGGCCCCACATCCAGCTTCTTTGACTTCCAAGCCCATGTTCTTCCACCAGGCAGTGCTGTCTTTCTTCTTGGCTGGGCATTTCTCCATATTGTTTCAGCAGGTCTGGAGAGGAGGTTATCAGAACTCTGTAGAGCCTCTTGCCTGGATGGTTGGTTGCCATTTTTCAGCACAACCCACAGGAGCTAGACCTGCACCTACTGGCCTGTTCTGCCATACTTTTTAAGGTTGATTGCTTCACTGTCAATTTCAGACTCTCTTCCTCAGGCCCTGTGAGGTTCACCCAGCACATACAGTCTTGTGGGCCTCCCCACTCCCCAAGCCACCCAGCCATGGGATGCTCTGAACAGAGCCGCCTTGTTCTTCCATGGGGCAGGTAGGAGGAGCGTACAATTGCGCAGCGCAGGAAAAAGCAGCTACCACCAGAGGGCACTGTGCCCCTTACATGGTTGGTACCTAGAGGACAAATGGCCCTATCCACTTACTCAGCAGAAGAAGGTGATTCTCTGAGATTTACATTCTCTTTTGGCCCAGACACTGCCTTATGAGGATGAATCACAGTGACTGCTGCATGTTATAGAATCCTTATGTGCTCTGCTGGCATATTGCAGTTGAAAGAAAACGAGCCACTTTAAGGCATTTCCCCTTCCATCTAACAGTGATGGATGAGGATCGCTGGGGCTGCCTTTTCCCAAAGCACAAATGAATTCACTTGCTCTCTTTAGAACCCACCGTTCAATTGATTCCGACACTAAAATATAGTAAGTAGTGTCAGAGAAAGGTCAGCAGATTGCTTGGAATTGCAGGCAAAATCCTATACCTCCTGGTCCTTGTTGATTTTAGTTAAATACAGTATTCATGTGCCAGTCAGCAGCTCAATCAACTAGAAGGGGAGCTGTGGCTCTGGATGGGGAAAGCCAAGGATTTCATTATGTAATGGAAACTGCTTTTATCCCTAGTATCAAGCGGCCCAGATGTAACTGGCTTTAAATTCTTCTGACCTAGTAGACACTCTGATGTTGAAAAATATAAAGTAATGTCAACATTCTGGAAGGGAAAACATGAGATGGATATTGGGCCAATTCTTTTACAGTTTGGTCCATTGGTTTTGATATGCTGTGCATGGGCAGCCACCTTGAGAGAGTGAATGCTGTGGTAGAGGCAGGACCCAGCGTGACTGCAACTGGCTGAAGATGTGTCACTGTCCATCCACGACAGAAGTCCAGGCTGCTGGGGCAGCACTCCACAAATCCTGCTGTTCGACTCTTGCTGTGCTCTGGTCTGCAGGTGGGGAATGGCTCTGGTCAGAGCCTCCTTGCCATGTGGATTTGGTCCCTACTTTCCTGTGAAAATCCTTCTTCCTTCCGGGCCTCAGTTTCCCCATCTGTAAAAGACTGAGTGGACTCTGTGGCTGAGCCCCTCCATTGCAGGCTGCTCCCAGGCTCCTGGGGCTGGTTCTCAGACATTGGCCTAATAAATACCCACTTCCATGACTCACCTGGGTTCCAGCCAAGCTGCTGCCTGGCAGCATGGAATGACCCTTCCCCATAGAAATCTGCATTTTAATAGGGGATTGGGGATTTAAAAAAATTATAAAATCAGAACATTCTAATAAAAAAATGAAAGTATACTACTTTACCACCCATCTTGCTATTAACTACATTCTCCGGGGATAATCTCTATTTTTCTAGAAGTTTTTCTATGCATAGAAACTTACATATATTATATTGGGCACATACTCTTTTAATTTTTTAACAAAGTTGTCTATTTACTAACAATAATGGTCTTCTCCTGATGATACCATAGGGGTACCCTTCCCAGTAAGAACAGAGAGTTACCTCATTCATTTTGATTGTGGCACAGAGTTCCCTAGCATGGCCGTATCTTAATTAATTGGTCAATTTTTACTGGTTGACTTTTAGGAGGTCTCCAATGTTTCACCTTTACTATCAAGGCTGTGTGAACAACCTCTCCAAATATCTTGGAATGCATGGAGTTGCTGGATGGAAAGGCATGTGCATTTAACTGTTATGAGGTTACCAAACAGGTTTCAGTTTATTTCCTTTTTTTTTTTTAAAGACGGAGTTTCACTCTGTCACTGAGGCTGGAGTGCAGTGGCATGATCTCAGCTCACTGCAATCTCTACCTCTCAAGTTCAAGGGATTCTCCTGCCTCAGCCTCCCAAGTAGCTGGGATTATAGGCGCCCACCACCATGCCCGGCTAATTTTTGTATTTTTAGTAGAGATGGGGTTTCACCGTGTTGGCCAGGCTGGTCTCAAACTCCTGACCTCAAGTGATCCACCTGCCTCAGCCTCCCAAAGTGCTGGGATTACAGATGTGAGCCACCGAGCCCGGCATATTAATTAACATGTCAATAAAAACCATTCATAGAACACCTGCTAAAGGCCACGCGGTGTTAAGTCCTGGGCGTGCAGAAGTTATGGAGACAGACTGTGTCCTCAGCGCAGTGAAATACGCTGCTGGGGAGAAAAGACAGCCATCCTCGAAAAGGTTGCGGGGTGTAGACCTGGGAAGGCTCACAGACCCTGCAACAGGTGATGAGACCCCATTTACTAGAGGAAGAGGCTGAGTTACAGGGAAGTCAAGGAGTTGGTTTTCCACCTGGAGCCAGGCCTTCTGCTTCGTGCTCATTCCCTCGTGCCATGGTGGGGTCCTATGGGGAAGTTAGTTGACCATCTCTGCAGATGTCCTCAGAAGCACTGCCTTGGTTGGGAGCTACTTCTAAAGTCTGGTCCTCAGGCTGGCTCATCCACCGGGCTGTTCCAGGTACCAGGAAGCCCAAAGAGACAGGGCAGTGATCCTCCGTCTCCTTTTAATCCTCCCTCCCTCTGATTCCAGTCTTGGTGGAGGTCCTAAGGTGGCTTTGGGCGCATTCTGTTGCTCAGAAACATTTGTTTTACATCGCACCATCCATCTTCTGCTGTAGACCTCTTCTCTTGGAAATCGTAATTCAACGGCACACTCTCTAAGGGTACCTGTCAACTGGTACAGCCCATTCCTCTTGCTGTGTGTGTGGTGTTCATCCAGACTTCCTTCCTCTCCGGTATGAGCTTGTTGATGCACTCACCTGTTCTAAGGGTGCTGCTAAAGATGGCGTTTATCTCATTGCTGCTGAAAGCTTTTCCAGTGCGGGGCCAAGCAGAGCATTGACTAGACCTCCTACTGTCTGCCTTGATGGAAGCAAAGGATCACTGGGTTATGCCTTACAGCTCATGGTGCACAAGAACTACCCAGGGAGGCCAGTGTCAAATAGACTCAGTGCATAAATGCTGGCTGGCCAGAGACTAAGCAGGTCTAATCAGGAGGCCATCTTTTACGAACAGGTGAGCAGTTGTTGGCCTTAGGATGGGGCCTCCAGGCTCAGCTCCAGGTTGACTCTCCTCTGAGGAGAATTGATCATCATAGGACAGATTCCAGGCCACTCACATCAAAACCTCCCAGGACAGCTTGTTAAAAATGCAGATTCCTGGGCCCTACTCACAGGGCTTCTGGTTTAGGTGGGTCTGCGGCAGAGTCTAGAAATCTGTATCTTTACTGACATCTTGAGTCATTCTTACGATGGGTGGGATTGGGTGGAAGTGTCCCATACTTCAAGAATCACTGCCTTGTCCTGAGCTAACAACTGACCGGGGGCTGCTTGCGACCTGCTGACACATTTTTTGTTCTTCACTTGTGCCAAAGAACATGATAAAATTTGAATTAGTTGGCAATCTTTAAACACCAGGATTTCTTTTTTTTTTTTCTGGACACAGAAAGTGGATGGAGGAGTGGAAATTGACTTAGAGCAAAAGAAGCTGCAGCCTAATGTGCCTATGGAGGGCAGGCTTGGGAGACACAGCCAAAGTGCCCTGCAGAAAGCCCTGACAGGCACAGCACCAGGAGGCCCTAGGATGTGAGGGGCAGGAGGTGGAAGAGTGGCAAGTGGGATTGGTGGGAAGCCGATACTGGCACCATTGGTCCCCTAGACAGCTAGAAAGTGCATTCTCTAAAGGTATTAAAATGGAGAGCATTGGACTTCAGAAGGCAGAGTCGAGGTGCAGGATTAAACATGGGGGTTCAATGGAAGTTTGCATCTTGAACCTGGGACCCCCAGCTCCTACCCCCAACTCTGCCTCTGGAATGTTGCAGCTAGACTGTGTCCCCCAGGTAGGACCCTGGAAGATTCTACCCTAGGGAAATGGAAAGGGCTCTGGCTTGATCACCTGGGGTGAAGCCCACCAGTCAACAGAGACAACTCATAAGCGTGAAGGTCCATTCAGCCTTTTAGGACCTTCCTCTCGTATATGAATAAACAGCCAGGGATGGCCAGAACTTTGAGGTAGAAATTCTCCGCTAAGAAAGAGAGAACAAAACAAATAAATAGAAGAAAGGAACCTTGAGGAGATGTGACTGTAGAAATCAGAAGACAATGTCAACAAAAGTCAACTTGCTGTTCTCAAAGACAGAATATGCTGCATCCAGAAACCAAGAGCAACATGTGAATGGAAAAGAAATGACTGGAAATAGAATGAGCTCTTGGAGATGGAAAGTATAATAGCCATCAATGAAATCAGTGGAAATCAAATAGGGAATGAAGGGCCTGGAAATATCTCAGGAAGTAGAAAAATAATAAAAAAGAAATGAAAACTATGAAAGCATGGGAGTAGGGGAGGAAGAATCCAGGAGTCCAGTATCTGCCTAATAAGAATGACAAGAAATAAGAAGAGACAAAATAGAGGGAGGAAGCTATCAAAGATAATTCAAGAGGGGCACAAACCACTGTGCTAGAAGGCCCAGCTGGAACAAAGAATGAGATGATAGTATCAATGGTCACAAAATCAAATGCTCATTTATTGCTGACCACATGTCAAGCACTGTTCTAAGGGCTTTGATGTATTATCTCATTAATGTGCACAACCACTTTACACAAAGGGCATTTATCTTCATTTACAGAGGCCTAGTGAGGTTAAGTTATATGTCCAAGGTCACACAACTAGAAGTGACATTGCCAGATTTTAGACCCCAGTAGTCTGACTTCTACCTCTCTCTGTCACCGTGCAATATCAGAACACTATGCATAAAGAGAAGATCCTAAGGTCTGCAGAGAGTAAAACAGGACACACACAAAGAACATGAATCAGATGGTATCAGATTTCTCTATGGCAAACCTGGAAACTGAAAGTCAATAGAGAGATGCCTTCAAAATTCTAAAGAAAAATCATTTTCAATGCAGAAATATGCCAGCCAAATTCCCAGTCAAGTGTGGGAGTTGAGTAAAGACATTTCAAACAGGCAAGGCCTCAAAAAATTTACCTCCTAACTAGCCGTTTTAGGAAGTCATCAGAAATATGTTCCAGCAAAATGACATCTGAGAAAAACATGGAATCCAGAAGACAGGGATCCAGCTCAGCAGAAAGGTATAGGGAAGCCCCATGGTGACAGCTGGAGGCAGCAGAGCTGAAGAGCCTCGGGCGAAGTCTCACCCAAAAGGGGGCATGGCTGTATTGGGAAGGTTGGGTGCAATAAGAGCTAAAAAAATTCCACCTCTGTGAATGCAGAGAGTAAATAGGTAATGTTTAGAATAACTAATTTAAGAGCAGCATAAGCATAATGTTTAGTTATAGTGAAGAAAATACCAGAAAAAAGTATTGAAAGTGGTAGTTACTGAGAATGGGAATTGTGTTTGGAGAGGGAGGGGTCAAAGACCAGTGTTATTATAAGCCTTTGATTTTTAAGCTATATTCATGCATCACATTAAGTTGATTAAGAAAAATATATAGTGGCTTTCTCCTAAAACACAAATTTCTGGCTTTTCTTTGGAAAAACTAGAAAGTCTGACAGCTCAGGGCTGCCATCTTGCACGGTAGCATTGAATGGAGCTCCATAGCTTCTCATCCTTTTGGATGGGACCTGCCTTACCAAGTTTACCACTGTCCCAAACAGGCCAACTTCCCTCATTTCCTTTTCCTTTGTTTCTAATAGGCATTTGAGTGTGTGAGCTGCAATAGAATGAATCACCTCTGTATCCTTCTCACTCGCTAACCCACCTAAGAGTGGGTGTGTAGGAAGTCCATTTGCTGTAGGAACAGGCTCTTAGGTGCCAAAGCTGATGTTGACATCAACAGTTCCCTTTTACTGGGGTCCCGTTTAATACCCCAGAGCAGCCTTGTACTAAATCACAGTCTTTAGAAAGCCCCAAGTACTGGATTATGTAAATGGGATTAACACTGATTTAGTGAAATCCCACTTTGAGAGGCTCAACTTGCAGACAAACGCACTTAAGCCTGATACTCTTAGTGGGGGTTGTCTTCATTGAGCAGAAGGTATATGGTCCCTCCGTTCTGCTTCCAGGAGCTCTCCCTAGAGCAAATCCACCAGGGTGGGGAGGACAAACTCATCTAGTCAGAGCGTTGTCAGTAGGAATTATGAAAAGTGCATTTCATACCCCCAGGAACCGACATTCTGATTTGAGTAAAGTGCCACACAGATCTTTGATCTTTTGGCATGTTGTTTAAAGGATGATTGTCATTCTCATAAGAGGAACAAGTACCATGGAGCCTTAGATCAAGGTCGTCCTGTTATTCAGAAAGAGCAGTAGGGATTCCTTCTTTTTGAGAGAGAGAGAGAGAGCGAGCGAGTGAGAGAGCATGCACATGTGCATGAAAGTGGAGCTGTAGAGAAGCCAGCCAGGTGTCTGTGAATCTCTGTCCTGAGATGTGAGCAGGTTAGGAGCCAGTACATTTGTTTTTCCTCCTTTCAGATCTTTTGTCAAGAACACACCGGAAAAATCTCAGACAAGAGGCGACTTTGATTGGCTTTGAAAAAGTGTGTGCCCTTCGTTTAATAATTATATTGCAACAAACCACCTCACACGGACGTACTTTTGATCCTAGGAAGTATCAAGTGCAGGAGTCACTGTGGAAAGAACTCTAAAGGCTGGTGATTGGAACCCACAGCCTCGGGCATCCCAACAGTGAGTCAGTGACAGGCAAAGATTTGAGTGCCTGTCCCTCTCGGTCCCTATTGTGAATGCATTTTGTTCATTTCATGCATTTGGCACATTTCGTAGCACAGTCAGACCTCAAGAAGTCCCAACACACCATAAAGCACAGCTGAAGGGTTTGCTCATTCAACACATTGCAAATGAATTTTTATGCAATTATAAATTGTGTCACTGGTCCAATGTTTAATGGCTAATCACATCCATTTGGGAAATTTTCTAGTCCCTAAGCAAGAGGGTTGCCCACTTTTGAGCTACATCTCTTCAGGGTTGCAGGTATGGTACTTCCCAAAGTTTGGCTTCCACTGTGATGTGTTTTGGAGCTGCTGACTGCTGCCCTTCATCAGCCCTCAAACATCCCAAGTCTTCTGAAAGAAGCCAGGCTGGGAGGCAAGATTGAGAGATGACATTTTGATTTACTAAAATTAGTTCAGTTCTTCTGTTCTGAAGCCCTGACAGGGAATCTGTGTGTGGATGAAATAAATAGATGGGTAAGATATCCTTCTAATACGTCAAGTCCTGTGTAAAGAAGTATGAGGCAAGGAAGGTGATAGTGATGCTTAAAACCTGGGAAGGGTTCATACCATGAAGTTCCTTTTCCTGCTGGGTTTGTTTTCTTTATAAATTGATCCTGAGTGTGGAATGTTTCTAAGGCACTGATTACATTGGAGGCTGTGGGATGGGGGAAGTGCATCCGTACCTGAAAACTGCCATCCTATCATTCAGGGCTTTCCACAGGGTTTCTCCACCAGTATCACATGCAGGACTTGTGCACTGGAATTCTGGTGTGCCCTGCCTATTCCCAGACCTAATGAAGGAGGCTTTCTGTATTTAGAGCAAACTCCCCAGATGATTCCCAAACACATTAAAGTTTGGACTCTGTGGATATTCCCTAAGGTGTCATATCCTGTGATCCTGTATATTGCTGATACAAGAAGTGATAGCAAGTCTGAGCCATTCGGGAGCTTCTAGTCTGGTCAACAGAGCAACAGGGTCAACCTGTCACCAAATGCTGAAAGAGTTGAAGCCTCAAGCCTAAGCACATGCACTTGCTTCTAGTGAGTGCCTCATGTTCCAGCTTCACCTTGAGTGACATCAAATGAGTTATTTAATCCACTTCAAACCTAGTTTTGTTTTTCTCATTAAAGAAAGCACTGGTGGAAACAGTTGAATTTTAATCCTTACCTTGGTTTAGTATGATTTAGTATGAAGGCCAAGGACAAGAGGGTCGCTTTTAAAGATGAACATTTTGCTGAAGTGTAGATCATTTAAACTCCTTAATACGCAAGTGCACTGTAACCTTTTCAGAAGAGAATCTCAAGTACAAGCTAAGACCTAATTGGGAAAATAGACGAGATCTGACGTTAACGGAAATGACAAAATAAAGATGTCAGGAGGGCGGGAACAACTCAAGATTCTACAGTGTCTCTTCTCTGCACCTCATCCCCATGGCTCCCTTTTATCAGCCTCTAATTCTTCTCTGAACCATTTGGATTTTGAGGCTAAAAATTTTGGAAGCAGAAAAAAGAAAGATGCAAGGAGACAAGGTGAAAGGTTTAGTAGAGAGAAAAAGAAGTGGGTGCTTATGTGGGGCACAGTTCTTATTCCTTCAAAAAAGTAAATGGGGTTACATTGCCAAAAGGATGGAAGGCTCATTGTCATCATGCCATCCCCCCTACATCTCTGGAGCACTGACGATGCCATTCTTCCCAATTTGTCTTCACTTTTTTGCTTGTCTCATAAACATAGGGCTGCTTTGCTTTAGAACAAAATTGTATGAATGGAAATCTTTTGTTAAGGGTGAGAGAAAATCCCCTTTCATGGAATCCAAGCTCTTAAGCCATCTTTTACACATTCAATTACCCACCAAAGAAGCCATGGAGGCTGTGGGTTCCTGAGTAGACTTCTGTGTTTTTGCCTGACAGGCTCTTGCCTTTCCATCTTATTCATGTATTCTTTGCTCTAAAGAATATCAAAATACCTGAAAATTAGCCATGAATGCAGTACATACCAGGGTCACGTGAGAGATGTTTGTATGATGAATGTAGGAATTGACAAAACATCAGGAGAAGAAAACATGAAGGTTGATTGAGGTCACTCAGGAAAGTAAATATGATTTGCCTGTTGGCTTTTTCTTAAAGGTTATTTGGCAGAAGTTGTAGGAATATATGCATCACTGGTAGTTACAACAAGCTTAAGACACAGTGATTTTTAATAACGCATCTATACAACTAAAACTATTTTCTATAACAAATGAACACAAGTCATAATTGCTCTTGCTAAAATTTGTCATGGGATTTTATAAAGTACATTAGTAACCTTCGCAACAGCCTGGGAGGGGATAATTATTCTAACCATTTTTACAGATGAGGAAATGAGTTGTCGAGAAGTCGTATGACTTGCTTTAAGTTACCCAGCTAGTTAGTTGCAGAATCAAGCTTGTTTTGCCTATCTTAGGACTTTTACTGTCGTATCCATCACCTTTCTAGAAAGAAAGTCATTAAAAACAGTAGAAAAGTTCTTTATATTTAACAAGTTATAATGGTTTAAACAATTGACTTGGGAAAACTTTAAAATGCAGTAATATATAATTTTTTTTACCATGTATCATTGATTTTTATCTTGATATCTACTGACTAATTTTGAGAAAACCCAATGTAAATCCAGGTCAGAAGAAAGACCTATACCTTTAAAAATATTAATTCACTGAGATCTCCAATTAATTGAGGGAAAACACATAATGAAGTATGCCCAATCTTTTTCATTCCCATAAGTTATTATGATTTCTTAAAATAGAAGATAAATGTCTCCTAAATTGACTGTGTAGATAATGGTGTGTGCAATAGGGTGCCATCAGGGACCCAGGACAAGAATAAACAGTTTGATTTCCCAAGAAGAAAAGCATTATTGTCTGTGTCTAGTTCTGTCCATTTCTCATGTTGTAAACTTACTCGGCTGGTTAAGAGGCATTTCCAAGTTAATGGTCTTGAATCCTAAATTAAGATTCAATATGGTAGCCACCTTGTCCACGCTAAGGATGAGCAGTGAGTCCTGGCAAGGATGAGCCCCATGGTGGGGAGGACACTGAGGCCAAACACACAGGCTCCCTCTCCAAGTACTGGCTACTTGCTGCATGTGTGGCTCAAGTCTGCTCTCTGTAAGTGCAACACTTTTCAAAGGAGGAAGCCCCTTGTTTTCCCTCCCAAGCTCACTTGTTTTTTGTTTTATGCTCCACCCATGGCATGGAAATCTGTGGGGCCTGGTTGCACCAGGCCTTCTTCATCCTCTGGCCCCCAGATACCAGCATGGTGCTCAGCACGAGGTTGGTACTCAGGCGATGTCCAACACCTGCTCGTAAGTGAGCACATGCCTGTCACCTACTTTCCCTCATCCTTCAAGTCCCATGTGTCCCCTCACGGACTCGTGGGGCTGCCAGTTCACCCCCCACTTTAGATCCTGTGCCACTTGGCCCCTCCCTTCCTCCTGACTTCAGGCTGTGTTCCCTCTCTCTTGAAGTCATCCATTCCATAGCATCTTTGAGCACTTACTGTTTACCAGGAAGCTTCTAGACACTAAAGATGTTCAAAGAAATATGACTCATGGAGCTTGCAATATAGTGGGTTTCTTTTTTTTCTTTTTTGCTTTTACAGATTTGAAATTTGGGAAAACAAAAGTGATGCATGCTCATTGTTTTAGAAATCCCATTCTAAAAGTATACAAGATTAAAATGTGATAGACTTCTATGTTCTAGATATTTTTCTAAGTATATGTGTGTATATGTAAACACACTGTACACATTATTTTGACATTTAGCAACTTGCTGTTTAAATCTTAGATGTCTTTTCATGTCGGTATATATAGATCCATCTATTTTACTCTTTTACTGTGCAATATTTCAGTGTACTGAATTGTGACTTAAAAATTAATATGTTTATGGAATAATTCATTAAAATGCATTGTTTATTCATTCAACACATATTTACTGAATACCTTCACCATGCCAGGTGTGGTTCTTGGTGCTGGAGATAAAGTAGTGAGCAAGACAAAGTCCTTGTCTTTGTGGAGGTAGCATTCTAGAAGAGACAGACAATCAATCAACAAACTGCTAACTACATAGTTTGTCAGGTGGTGAACAATTAATATAGGGGAAATGGAAAGGGGAGCCTGTAGTGGTTACTATTTTTATAGTGTAGTCAGAGAGGACCCCTCTAGAGTTGGCACATTTGAGCAGAGACATAAAAGAAGTGAAGAGGTAAGCGGACTAATCAGGGAAGGCTCGTCTAGGCAACGGAGTGATGTGCTGGCAAATGACTAACAACCAGCTCTCTGGAAAAAAAAAGGCCTTATTTGCAACATTTGTTGATTTCTAGGATATAAACATTCCCTCCAAGGCTGATTTCTAGCCACCAACATGAGGTCACTGAATGTGCAGTAGGAAAGAGATGCTTATAATCTCTGTGAGTCAGATGGAGCAGGTGCAAGCTGGCTTGCACACACTGAGGCAGAGGGTATACTTGGTGTGGTGCAGGGACAACCAGAAGGACCATATGGCCAGAGTGGACTGAGCAAGGGGGAGAGAAGTAGAGGAATTAAAAAGGCAGCCCCAGGGTAAGTGAAAGAAGCCAGTCACAAAAGGACGAACACTGTATGATTCTGCGTATGTGAGGTACCTAGAGAAGTTAGATTTGTAAAGATCAAAAGTAGAATGGTGATTGTCAGGGGGTGGGGGAGGATAAGAAAGGAAGCTATTTAATGGGTCCAGAGTTTCAGATTTGCAAGATGAAAAAGTTCTGGAGATCTTTTTCACAACAGTGCGAACATATGTAACACTACTGAACTGTGCACTTAATAATGGTTAAGATGGTAAGTTTTATGTTATGTGTTTTTTATCATAATTTTTAAAAAGGTCAGCCTGGGGCCACGTCACAGAGGGCTCTGTAGGCCAGTGTAAAAACTTTTTTATTTCTCTCTCTCTGTAAAATGGAAAGACTTGGTTAGGTCTTGGGCAAAGAATGACTTGATCTGACTTACATTTTTGAATTGTTGAGAAGAGACTGCAGGGGTCAAAGACAGATGCCAGGGAACCAGCAGGAGGCTCTTGCAATAACCCGGGGGTCTGGTGTGGGTGGCATGGCTCAGGTGTTGCTGTGGAAAGGGCCAGCAGTGATGGGATTGTGGATTAATTTTGGAGGAAGATCTGGGTGATCTGCTGGTGGACTGGACATGAGGTGGGAGAGAGAGAGAAGAGACAGAATGACCCCAAGGCTTTTGACCCCAGCAGTAGGAAGGATGCTGCTGCCCTTTAACGGGGCTGTGAACATTGCAGGAGGAACAGATTTACGGCGGGAAATCGGGAGTTTGGTTTTGGACGTTTTGAGCTGAAGATGCCCGTTTTGTATGCAAATGGAGAGGATGAATGACAAATGGAAATGCAAATCTGAAGTTCTGGGATGTCTGGGCTAGAGTTATAAACGTGGGAGTCATTGGCACATGATGGACCTTCTTACCTAGGGAGTGAATACAGATAGAGGGGAGATGTCTGAAGACTGAGTTCTCCAAAGCTTAGAGGTTGAAAAAGAAAGAGGAACCAGCAGAGGAGCCTGGGAAGGAGCAGCAGAGAGAAGGAGGAGAATGGAGAGGGGCCAGGTCAGCAGCAGGCAGGAGGAGAAAGCAGCTCCTGGAGAAGGAAGGATCAGCAGACACAAATGCTGCTGATGACTCAAGTAGGATGAGGGTTGAGATGAGATCATGGAGCTTGGCAGCTAGAAGGTCACTGGTGACCTTGAGGAAAGCCTGAAGTGAACGTCCAATGGGAATGAAGGCCAGAGGAAATGGAAGGTGGGGAATTGGACCTTGCCACTGAGATATCTCTGGTCGTGAATTTTGTGTAAAGCAACAACAGAGGATCAATGGTTGCAGGAGCTGACAGGTCGAGGAGTTTGATGACTTACATTCTCTTATTATAATTACACTATATATATACAAACATGGAACAGAGTAGAAAATTCTCATGTTGATAGCTCATATACAACTCTAAAAACGAATCAAATGATTCATTAGGTGCAAATAAAATGACGGTACCAATAAAGCTCACATCACAACAGTATTAGGAAAGATGATGTTGTTTGCCTGACACCGAATCATTGATGTTAGGTTTCCCAGTAGAAAGGCGCATTTTCATGTTTTTCATTTGCTTGTTGTCTAATTGATCTTTTAAATTTTTTTCCTCTGAGGCCAATGGGCCTTCCCCTCCCCCTTGCATATTGGAAATTACAGCATGTTTGAAGGCTGCTGGGAATGGTCCTGCAGACAGAGGAGCAATGCATCATTATTTATTTAACCAGCCCCATTCTAATCATGCATCAGCGAGCATCCCCGTGAGATTCCACCTGATCGCCTGCTTCTAAATTTTTCCTTTCTCAGCTGTTCTCCATATTACCCTAGCAGATTTCTCTTCCTAGAGCCCAGCTCTGATTATGTCACTGCTCTTTTTGCTTAAAGGTAATCAGCAGCCCCCCTTCTGACCAAATCAAGTCTTATGTCTCAGTTGGCATTCACGGTACTGCCCTCTCTGGTCCAAATCTATCCTTCCATGGAATGGGGCAGCATTTGTGAATGTGTCCCCAACTGTCTTTTCATGTTTCAAAAACATGCATTTTTTTCTCCAAATCCCTGCCCTACTTACACTCAAGGGGCTGTCAGCTCTCCTGAATGTATGAAGGAACTGTACAAAGGGTACCTGACTGGGAAGAGAAGAGTGTTTTATGGAGATCGTCACTCCTAGGAAACAACACAAAAGATGTGCCTTCCAACAGGAGAAGCAGCTCCCTGGCACATTTTGTTGGCAGGATAACCATGTTGCGGAGTAAGGGCTCTGCTAAAATGGGATGAAGAGGTGACAGGGTTAGGTTCTAAGATGCTAATAGTTCATTTTACAAATATGCATCCTTCACACTTGCAGAAATCACCAAGTGTTTGCTCCAACCCAGGCATTTCATAGAATAGGAAGCTATTCACAAGTGACTTTTTTGCCTCTTGGATTGAGCATCTTCATTCTGAAAGAATCAATTGCCAAAAAATGAACTTTAAGCAATACTTCTTTTAAAAAGTCAGTGTTATTTGGGGCAGGGGGGAGCTTTCTGAATCTTACCTGGAGATAAATACAATCTATAGCTCTTTTCGTGTTTCATCTTTTCAGACTACAAGTTATCAAACACTTAAATACTTAAAGCCTCAAATTAACTTCAAGATAATACCAAAATGCACAATGTCCTTTACCCTGATAAGAAGTGCAATGTATTATTTCAAATTAATGCCAAGTATACATGCTCTGAATATATGAAGGGAGCCCTGCAATTTGTATGCCTGGCTGAGCCTGTGCTTGTTCTTTCTGCAGTTGAGGAGGATTGGTGCTCCTTAAACAATGCCAGTGACAACATAGTGCTGTGATTTCCAAATGCCCAAACTACGAGCAGGCGGCTGTGCTCTGGCCTGCCCAGCCCATCTGTGAAGCTGCCAGCTGCCTTTGAAGTCTCTCGTTGAGTAATCCCTAACATTTGTACTTTGTGTTGTACATTTCACAGTACAGACACATATTTGGTCTGACTTGGTTCTCACAACCACCCTGGGATATAGGCAGTGGATGGATTACTAATCATCTTTTCACAAGTCAGGAAACTGAGGCACAGAAAGGTTAAGCGGCTTACCAGAGCTGTGTGCTATTTTGCCAAGTGGTTACTTCAGGGCTTTGGAACTTTTTGGAGGTCAATTTGATGTTATCTTTGAAAGTGAAAATAGGTGCAACCTTTTTGACCATGCAATTGCGATTCTTAGTATTTACCCTATATGTAATGACCGGGGAAGGTCTTCTGGCATATCGTCAAGATGATAAAAAGGCACGTTGCAAATAAATAGACATAGTATTTACATAATAAAGAACCCTACGCATTTGTAGATGTAGTGATCTATGTTTGTAAATGTTTAATAAAAAGGTACACAGCAATAGTTAGCAGTGATTACATCTGGGGAGGAAAATAGGAGAAGGTGTTTCAGGAGAATGTCCCTCTCTATTCTAATTGTTTCTACTAGCAGTAGATGTAGTAGGAGTGGCAGTAGCAGCACAGTGGGAATTTTTGGTTCTTTCCTAGAGTGGATGTTGCAACATGAGATACATGGAGTGTAGAATAGCTGTGCTTTTTGCTACTCTAACATTCACTCATGTTTCAAAAATGACTTTAAAGAAAGTCCATACCTGGGTTTGGACATCCCCAAAGCATTTCATAAAGCTTTTAAAAACAAGCCCAGCAGAATGTCATACAGTATTGAGGCAGCCCTGACTTCTGTCTCAAGCACTTTCAGAGAGAAACATTCTGTTTGGACCTCATCACACTCTCGGCTCTGTTGCCACATGTGCATGACATGTTTCTGCTGCTGAGACTTGTGGATTAAAGGGTGGCCAGGTGACGTCATTCTCAGCTGCCCTGATGACTTGTCAGAAGCATATAAAATATTTTCATAAAGAGCATGTTATAGTGCCAAGAAACCAGCATTCCTTATCCCCTTCTTTAACTCTAGAGAAGACTTTGACTGCATTACCCAATGAAAAGAGGTCCTCGACTTCCAAAGTGAGAAATAAGTGTGTAAATGTTTCCCAGATGTGAGCTGGCTCACCAGGTGCAGGAGCTGCTAAGCATTTTAAAGCTCAGGATGAGTTCATTGGGCCACATTCTCTTACCTGTTGAGCTCATCTAGATTACAGGTTACTTCTTAATATTTCCTCGGAAAAAAAGAACAGGACTCCAGCAGAATTGGCTTGACAACTGTGGAAATCATAATCCCTTGCCAGAAGGTCAAATGAATGGCTGGGGCAGGGTTCTTTCTTTCATCCAGCAAGCCAGGTATGTGCTTGGAGCTGGTGTTATAGGATGTGAAGGGCAGGCTCCTGCTCACTGGAGCCATAGTCTTTTTTGAGTTTTAACTTGAGACCCATAGGCCTGGTGATTGGGACTTCAAAGGTCTGTGAAACTGCTAAAGCTTCTGACAGTAGTTTGTGTGTTTCTATGAGAGTGTGCAGAATTGCTTCAATCCCATTCACTCACCCGGTCACTAGTACTTATTAAGCACCTGTTATATGTCAAGAATTCTAGTCTGGCCGGGTGTGGTGGCTCATGCCTGTAAGCCCAGCACTTTGGGAGGCCAAGGTGGGGGGACTGCTTGAGGCCAGGAGTTTGAGACCAGCCTGACCAACATGGCAAAACCCCGTCTCTACTAAAAATACAAAAATTAGCTGGGCGTGGTGGTGCGTGCCTCTAATCACAGCTACTTGGGAGGCAGAGGAATGAGAATTGCTTGAACCCGGGAGGCAGAGGTTGCAGTGAGCTGAGATCATGCCACTGTACTCCAGCCTGGGCGACAGAGGGAGACTGTCTCAAATAAAAATAAAAGAATTCTAGTCTGGAAATCATTTATAGTAATTTGATAACTTTCCATTTTGTATGCTTCTTTTGGCATCTTTGTAGTTTGGCCGAATCTACTGACATATTTACATAACAATGCAAGTTTTTAGCTTTTGTCCGTATCACTCAAGCTGTTGTTGCAGTTTACACACGTATTTCTCATTTGTGAAGTTGAGGACCTCTGTTTTTTGGATAGTGCAGTCAAAGCCTTCTCCAGCGTTAAAGAAAAAGAAAGGAAAGCTGGTTTCTTGGCCCCATAACATGCTCTTTGTAAAAACTCTTCTATGTGCTTCTGACAATTGCTGAGTTAAATGAGCATCTGTACTCAAGACCCTCATGAAAAGCTGTTTCCCTGGCAGGAATTCTGCCTCCCTTTTAGAGTATGTTGAGAATCTCAGCATCTTAAAAGCAAAGCCACAATAATGTATCTGATTATTCATTAGTATCACCTGGAAAAGCCTTTAAATGCCAACATGGATGTCTAGTTCATTCCCTCAGAGACTTGGATTTAAGTCATCCCAGAAGTGGCTAGGCATCAATGTGTTCTAAAAAGTTCCCCACGTGATTCTAAAGTGGAGCTAGGAGGGAGAGCTGTGAGCTGTGAAAGACCCTAGCACCTCAAGCAGGCACAACTGGGCTGCTGAGTTATTCTGAGGTGGGAGCAGCATCAGGCTCACTCGCCCTATGGGATGCGAGTGGGGAGGGTCTCACAGAGGACCTGGGAGCAGACCCTGTAGGGGGTTGAACGCTGGGGCAGGAGAAAGGGTTAAACTTCAAATTGTGAGGGAAGGAAGTCTGTCCAGATCATGAAGAGCAGCGGCAGATCCCACAGGTAACAATGGGTGTTGCCTCCAGGTGTGGCCAAAGAGCCTGTCTTCCTGCTTCCTGGAGGTCCAAGTGAAACAGCTGCCTTGCTGGAGAGGAGCACTGGGTTTGCCATACAGCTGGAAAGTGAGGTCTGTGGCATGGATAGGTCAGTGCAAGTTTGAAATTGTGGGTGATGGCAAGAGAATGGAGACTTCCAGCAGCTCTGCCAACCCAAGAACCTGTCATTAGTCTCCAGCTTGGTCGTAATAAAAATAAATAATAATTATGGTGAACAACTATCATAGCACATTAAGTGCTTGTATGCCAGCCACTGTGTGAAATGATTTTCATGCATTATTTTATCTAAATATCAGTAAGTGGTGTGGCTCTTGTTGACTTTACTTCAAAATCATCACCCAATCTGTCAGCATCTCCCATCAGTGCTGCATGTAGAATGCATTGCCCTTTGGACTATGTTGCCTTCCCTCCCTCACTGTTACTTTTGTCTTTTGCTGAGACTTCTGCAGTGACCTCCTTGCTGCTTTCCTTACTTCCACTCTTTTCCCCTTTCTCATGTTCCCATCTGTTCATTGCACAGCAGCCAAAGCCTGTTTTCAAAATATGTAATCCAATTGCATCATTTCTTGTCCAACTCCCAAACCCCAAAAGCTTCCCAACACACTCAGATTTACATGCAAACTTCTTACTTTGGATAGGAAGACCCACAGGTTGCTGCCTTGCCCACCTCTGAGAACTCTCCTGCATGTTGCTTATGTGGCCTAGCCATGTTTGTCTTCCTTCTATTCCTGCCACAGGGCCTTTGTATTTGTCACTTCTGTTGCTTGAAATGCAGATCCCCATTCTTCGCTTTACCCACAGTCTCTCTTCATTTCTGTACCTGTCTAATGTAAACATAAATATGTTTCACTGAGACTTTCCTGAACATGCAGCCAACTGCCTTCATCACTCCATGATTCACTATCTCTTTACCACACCTTTTCATTTATCACTGCCTGACATTAAGGTATATATTTGTTCACTATCTGTCTTCCTCACTAGAATGTAAGCTCCAGGAAGACAGAGACTTTGTTATAACCCACACAGACTGTGTTCCCAGTACCTAGTAAGTGCCTGATATAAAACATGGAAGAATCCATACAATAACCCTAAGCGGGATAAACCATTGTCCCCATTTTATGACTGGTTAGAGTAGCAGTTGTCTTGTGATTTGCAGTTGGCCAAATATCATCATGTGATTTATCCCTTGCAGCATCTCTGTGACAGAGGCAGGGCAGCTATTACGATTATTCTCTCAGCTTTACTGATAACAATACTAAACCCAGGGGTATTTCCAAGACTACACATACTTGTTGCACATGATGGAACCAGGACTGAAAGTACCATGCTCTTTTCAACACCATGCTGCTGACACAGTTATTGGTTTGTTTTGGTTTGCTCGAGTTTGTTAGTAAAAGAGGTCTTTGGAAAATTCATACTTATAAGAGGTTTACAAAGAAGATTTTGCTGACCCTTAGTGAGAAGCAGTTGGAATGGCCCCTGAGGGCTGTCACTGGCCTGGTGTCAACCAAGCCCATCTCCTAATTGGAAAAGCAGCTGGAAGAGATAATGGGAGATGAGAGGTAAATTTTTGGGGGCAGATGAGTGTTTAGGGGGTAGACAGTAGTGGCTCCTGGGTTCCTCATAACAACCCCCCTTTTATAGATGTTACAGGCAGCAACTGTGGCCAGAGGTGTGTCTGTGATATCAGTGCTTTTTCACCAATTAACTCAGGGGTGAATAGGAAAGTATCAAGTCCACACATAATCAGCAGTCATCCAAATTAGTTCTTTAAGGGGAGAAATAATACCACTATCCCATTGTCTGCTTAAATCCTCAGCTCCTAGAATAAAGACCAACATCCTTTCTATAGTCTAGAAGACACTGCATGTTCAGCCTCAGTTGTTATGGCCCTGTCTGCATCTCCAGCCTCTAGGGAGACCAGCTGCCCCTGTTTGCTGGAAATTGAGAGGTTTCCTGGGACATGGGACTTTCTCTGCTAAAACTGGGACAATGCTGGGAAAACTGGGGTGGTTGGTCACTCCGGTGTTCACCTTTCTGCCCTATCTATTAATGTGGACCTTTCCTGATGTCTTGAATAGAATGAGAACTATTCTACCTCAGGGCTCTTGTACAGGATGCTCTTGTACAGGGCTCCATGTGGAATGTTCCATTCTCCCCTTCATCTAACAAGCTCATGTTTAACCTTTAGGATTTATTGTAAATTTCAGTTCCTTCTTCCCGTTTCCACTGTCTATGTTCTGAAATACTTCTTCGTAGGACTTTGAACACCTGTGTGCCAGGATACTAAGTGAATGAATGAGTAAATGAATGGGTAAATAAATAAATAAGCAGATTGATAGGTTTTTAGAGGTTTTTTTAACTGAAGTATAACATACAGAAAAGTGCATCTGTGCATACAGCGTACAGATCTGTGTATTTTCATAAGATGAACACACAGACTAAGAAGTGGAAAATTACGAGAACCCCGTCAACCCCATTAGGCCCTGTTTTAGTTATCTATTGCTGCATAACAAACCACCTCAAAACTCTGTGGCTTAAAACAAACACTGTTTATTTATTCTAATTCTTCTGTGGCTCAGGAATGTGGGCAGGTCTCAGCTGATCCGTTCTTCTGCTGTATCTAGTGTTGTTTGGGTAAATCAACCAGATGCATTCAGTTAGCAGCTAATCTCCACTGCTATACACACCCAAGAAGGCTTTGTGCAGATGTCTGGCGCCTCAGCGCTTCTCCATGTGGTCTCCCTTTCTCCTTGCAGGTCCTCATTATTCAGTGCACTAGCCTGAGCTTCATAACAGTATGCCAGCTATCTTCTCCATAGAGTGAAAAAGTGGAAGCTTCCAGGCCTCTGGCAGGCTCAGGATTGGCACAGTGTCCTCTCTGATGCATTCTACAGTCAGAGCAAGTCACAAAGTCAGCCCAGGGAAGGGGGCACCATGTGTGCACAGGAAATGGGGCAGTGATGATGGCCGTCTTTGGAGCTGGCTTTTCACATGTCCCCATCCCATTACTGCATATTCACAATTATAACCATTGTCCTCACTTCAAGTGCCATTGATTTGTTTTGCCTGTTTTGGAAATTTACAGATGTAATAATGTAGTATGTATAATATTAGTTATCTGTCGTTGTGTGACAAATTACTCCCTCAAACCTAGTAGTTTAATACAACATTCATTATCTCAGTTTTTGAGGGTCAGGAATTCAGGAGCTGCTTAGCTGGACAGTTCTGGCTTGGGGTCTTCCATAAGGTTGCAGTCAAGATGTCCATCAGAACCGGAGTCATCTGAAGGCTTACCTGGGGCTGGAAGAAATACTCTGAAAAGCTTAGCTCATATGGCTATTGGCTGGAGGGCTCAGTTCCTTGTTATGTGCACATCTTCCTAAGACTGCTGATAACATGGCAGCTGGTTGATCTCAGCATGAACCAATACAAGAGAGTGAGAAGAGGGATTTTCAGTGTCTTTTATGATCTAGTCTCCAATGTCTTGAACTGTCACTTGCACTTTCCTTCTATTTGCTAGTCTAGCCCACACTTAAGGGGAGAGGACTTAGGTCCTACTTTTTGAAGGGTATGCCAAATAATTATGTGGACCTGAAACCACCACAATATTTGTCTTGGTCCATTTTGTGCTACTATATCAGAATACCTGAGACTGGATAATTTATACAGAACACAAACATATTCTCTCATGGTTCTACAGTATGGGAAGTCCAAGATCAGTGTGCCAGTAGGTTCAGTCTCTGGTTCCAAGAGGAAACCTCATTGCTGCATCCTCCAGGGAAGCTGTTCTCATATGGCAGAAGAGCAGAAGATAGAGAGAGAATGCCAGCCCACTTCCACAAGCCCTTTCTATGGCAGCATCAATCCATTCACAAGGGTGGAGCCTCTATGACCTAAACAACTCCCATTAAGTCCCACCTCTCAGTACTGTTGCACTGGGGATTAACTTTCTAACATGTGAATTTTGGGGGACAAATTCAGACCACAGCAGTATTCTTGTTTTTTCCTTCACCGAACATTACTTTTGCAAGATTCATGCATGTTGTTTTATTTAGCTGTAGATTATTCACTTTTAATATGGCAACGGATTACATTGTATGTATGTATCATAATGTATCTGTTATATTGTAGGTGGACATTTGGATTGTTAAACATTTGGGGCCATTGTGAAAAGTGCTGCTATGAATAATCTCGTACTTATCTTTAGTAAAAATATATAGGCATCTCTTTTGAATATTTAATTTGGAATGAAATTGGCAATCATACAATATAACAATTGTATATATTCAGGTTTAAAAGATAGAGTCAAACACTTTTCCAAATTGATGGTAACAGTTTATGTTCCCATGAGCAGTGTATGAGTGTTCCAGTTGATCTACATTCATGATGTTTGTCTTTTTTATTTTAGCCATTTCAATGGATGTGTATTGGTATACTATTGTGGTGCTAATTTCCCATTCTCAATTGACAAGTGAAATGGACCACATTTCACATGCTTCTTAGCCATTTGGATATCTTTTTTGTGAAGTGCCTGTTCAAGGTGTTTGCCCATTTTTCAATTGGGTTTTTTTTCTTATTGATTTGTAGACATTCTTTGCATATTCTGGAAATGAGTCCTTGCACAGATATGTGTATTGCATTTATCCTCTCCCACTCTGTAGCTTGCTTTCTCATTCTTTTAACAGCGTCTTTTGATTTAACAGAAGTTTTAAATTTTAATGCAGCCCAAATGAATCAGTCTCTCATTGATTTTTAGAACTTTGTGTATAATTTTAAAATATATTTTTTCTACCTGCAAATCATAAAAATATTGTAGGTTGTCTTCTGGAAGCTTTATCTTTAAAATTGATATATACAATCCATTGAAAAACTTTTTTTTAAATGGTGGGAGACAAGGGTATAATCAATATTCTTCTTCTTTTTTGACATATACATATCCAATTGACCCCACACCATTTACTGAAAAACTCTTTCTTTTCTCATTGCATAACAGAATCACAAATTAGGCCTCTCTATATGCGTGGATCTGGTTCTGAACTATGTTCTTTTCCATTGGTCTATTTGTCTATTTTTGTGACAATACCATCTGTCTTAATTAATATAATTTCATAATATGATTTAGTATCAGGGAATATAAGTCCCCCAACAGAGTTCTTCTCCTTTAGAATTTACTTTAGTTATTCTTGGCCATTTGCATTTCCATATATATTTTAGATTCAGCTTGTCAGTGTTCACAAAAGGTGTATTGGAATTTTAATTGAGATTATCGTAAATATACATCAGTTTGGGACAGATGACATCTTTTCAACATTGAGATTTCCAGCTTATAAAGTTGGTATATCTCTCCATATTTTTAGTTCTTACTTAATGTATCTAAGTATGATTTAAAAATTTTAGTGTAGATATTTTTCATAGTTTTAAAATACTCTTAGCATTCAAAGTCTTGTGATGTCCTTATAAATGGTAATTTAAAAAATCCCATTTTCTATTACTTTTTTCTCATACATGGAAATACAATTGACTTTTGTATATATACTTTATATCTAACTATATTGCAAAGTCCATTTATTCTAATAGTTTGTGTTGATTCATTTGTTTATTCCCAATATGTGTATTTCTAACTCTCATGCAGTTATTTTTTCTTGACTTAATTTACTAGCCAGAAATTCTCGTACAAAGTTAATGAAATAACAGTAGTGGGCACCTTTATCTTGTTTCTAATCTCAAGAAAGAAATTTTAATAATTCATTATTAAATATGCCTTTTTTGTGTTTTTTAAAGGGAATCTTTATAAGACTAAGAGAATACCTCATATTACTAGTTTGCTAATAATATTTTTCATAAATGAGTGTTGAATTTTCAAAAACTCTTAAAAACAGCTTGAGATATAATTCATATACCATACAATTCATCTATTAAAATTTTTTAAAATTAAAAAATTATGATCAATAAAATCGACTTTTTCTTTTGGTATGCAGTCTTATGAATTTCAACACATTTATAGATTAATATAAAAAATACTACTGCAAATGGCAACAAAAGCCAAAATAGACAAATGGGATCTAATTAAACTAAAGAGCTTCCTCACGGCAAAAGAAACTACCATCAGAGTGAACAGGCAACCTACAGAATGGGAGAAAATTTTCGTAATCTACCCATCTGACAAAGGTCTAATATCCAGAATCTACAAAGAACTTAAATTTACAAGGAAAAAACATACAACCCCATCAAAAAATGGGCAAAGGAGATGAACAGACACTTCTCAAAAGAAGGCATTTATGCAGGCAACAGACACGTGAAAAAATGCTCATCATCACTGGTTATCAGAGAAATGCAAATCAAAACCACAATGAGATACCATCTCATGCCAGTTAGAATGGCGATCATTAAAAAGTCAGGAAACAACAGATGCTGGAGAGGTTGTGGAGAAATAGGAACGCTTTTACACTGTTGGTGGGAGTGTAAATTAGTTCAACCATTGTGGAAGACAGTGTGGCGATTCCTCAAGGATCTAGAACTAGAAATACCATTTGACCCAGCCATCCCATTACTAGGTATATACCCAAAGGATTACAAATCATGCTACTATAAAAACACATGCACATGTATGTTTATTGCGGCACTATTCACAATAGCAAAGACTTGGAACCAACCCAAATGTCCATCAATGATAGACTGGATTAAGAAAATGTGGCACATATGCACCATGGAATACTATGCAGCCATAAAAAAGGATGAGTTCATGTCCTTTGCAGGGACATGGATGAAGCTGGAAACCATCATTCTCAGCAAACTATCACAAGGACAGAAAACCAAACATCGCATGTTCTCACTCATAGGTGGGAATTGAACAGTGAGAATACTTGGACAGAGGGTGGGGAACATCACACACTGGGGCCTGTTGGTGGGTGGGGGGCTGGGAGAGGGATAGCATTAGGAGAAATACCTAATGTAAGTGACGAGTTGATGGGTGCAGCAAACCACTATTGCACACGTATACCTATGTAACAAGCCTGCATGTTGTGCACATGTACCCTAGAAATTAAAGTATATATTTTAAAAAACTATTCTTGCAATAAACATACAAAACAGTGCTAACACCTCAAAGACTCCTATTCCTTTTTCCCAATATTTTTCTACTCCCCTGTTAGTTTAGCCAAAATGCAAAGAAAATGGGGAGTCAATTTTCATCTTTTATTTCAAAAGTTGAGGTGAATATATAAGATAAATAGGATTCATGAAGAGGACCCAAAGGGCCAATTTTCTTGCTCTAGACAAGAAAAAATCTTTCACTGGACACTAGCCGGGGAGAATCAGAGGGAGAAACACAGAGTTTGCTACTAGTGTGGAACGGTGAAGTGGGCATGTTCCTTGTCTTCCCTCCCCACCCTGAGCAGCTGGTAAATACCACTGGGGTGAGAGGGGAGTGGGGGAGGATGCAGCCACCAGAGAAGCCTGAGTCCCACTGCTTTGCTGGGCCCAGGGAAGCAGCGAAGGCCTAGTCCTCCATCCATGAATGGTGCAGTGACTGGAGGGTAGATGGGGTGCAGCGGCCAGAGGGTAGATGGGGTGCAGTGGCCGGAGGGTAGATGGGGTGCCGTGTGAGTCCGGGCAGAGCAGATCTGAGAATGCCCCACAGGGGTTCATTTATGAAGCCCCAGAACACTGGAAAAGAATCCCCCAAACCTCTGGAGTCCCTGAAAGATTAAGTTGCCAGATAAAACTCAGGGTGTCCTGTATTCTTATCTGTTAAATCTGGCAACCCTACTGAAAGAGGGATGGAGATGGAGATGGCTACTGATTGAAGAGTCCTGGAGGCTGGGGTGAGAAGGCATCACATTGACCTTGTTGAAACTTACTGGCAGCCCAGATGCCCCTGAAGATGTCTCATCAGTGCTAGCAGAAATCAATGCCAATGATCGGTGACTAGAGGGAATGAGGACATCATAAAAGTTGTCAATTGGACAGATGACACCAAGGACCCCTCCCCTCCCTCCTCCTTTGCTTGACCCAATATAAACCCTCCTCCCTGAATTTAGATGCTACTCTGAGGAGAAAGGGCAGTGAGGGGTCCTCGAATCAACTGGGCTTAACCTGAACTCTCTAAAGTTACATTCATGCCACTGGTGGATGGAGCTTAAGATAGAAATTAAGTTCAAGTAAGAAAAATTAAAAGTTATGTTTTCACATGCCTGCACTTTGGTTTGAGAAGTCGGCATCTGGAGTCAGGGGGATAATTTAATTTTTCGTAAGAAGGATTATGGATTCCTCAGTAGATGATAATCTCTTTTAGGGTAAGGTCGTTATTACCTCTCTACCTCCAGTTTGTAGCTCAGTGTCTGCACACGTAGGTGCTTTGTCTCTCCAAAAATTCTTCTATATTTATTTTGCTGCCTGTCTGTACCTGCTCCCTACTGAATGTGAGCTCCCTGAGGGCAGGAACCTGCTCTGCCTCCTGCTTAGCTAGACCTGTAGAACTTTGCCAATCTTTCTTTACCTACCAAATCTGATCATTCCACATAGAGCATTCGAGTCAAAGCTTTGAACTGGAGTACACACTCGGGCTCCAGTTTGCTCTATAACCATCTTATAGTTGGAAAATCTTGTCCCCTCTTCAGAAGCCCTGGCTTTTTCACCTCAGCAATTGTGGGTGGGGTGTTTTCTGTGTGCCAGGCAATGCCAGGTATGGGGAAAACAAAGAGGAGTCCATCTTTATCTCAAAAGGGCTTCCTCTCACCAGGAGCCTGAAAGGTAGGTGCCAACAAGACAGCACAGTAACACACCAGGGTCCTGGTGTGTTCTTGCTACAGGAGGGAGCTGCCTGTTGTGCCAGAGAAAGCGAGGCAGGCTTCCTGGAGGAAAGCCATGTGAGCTGGGCCTTGGTATTTGAGTAGAATTTCTCCGGCTGCACTGGGGGGTGGTGGGTGGGGGGAGATGGAGAACCAGAGGAGGGAACAGCATGTGGCAGGCCACAGAGGCAAACTTGTTTTGGGAGCGACGAGCAATTCAGAACGACTGGACCCTCTGGCTCAAGGATGGAGATCTAAGTTACCTAATATCTAGGGTGAATTTCTCATTTGTGTTTTGAAGTCTTAGATAAAGGTTCTTATCTTTCATTTCTTTCCCTAATTAAATAATTACAGCATTATTGCTGCTTTCATTATTTTAACTCGATTGAAGCCTCTGTAGATTCATAATAATTTCAAATTTTCTAAAGATAATTTATCTGCCCTGTGCAGAGAGCATCTCTGTTGGGAAGCACTGGAGGTCAGGACCTGCCCTAGACAGGAAAGGCAGAAGTTGCGTGTGACCTTAGGAAGCTCTGTTAATGCTCTGAGGCCATGCAGATCCAAATGCGCTGGAACAGCTGATCATGACGGCGTCTCAGAGCTCCTGAGAGCAGCAAATGCTTCTGAGGGCAGCAGAAAGTCTCCAGGACCCTGGGAAATTCCTGCCTGATCTTAGAAGCAAGGCCCTTCACTCTGGCTCTCCAGAGCCCCTGTGTGAGGAGACAGGCCCACCAGGACACACAAGGGAGAGTTGAATTGCTCGCCACTCCCAAAACAAGCTTGCCTCTGTGGCCTGGCACATGCTGTTCCCTCCTCTGATTCTCCATCTTCCACCACCCACCACCCCCTAGTGCAGCTGGGGAAATTCTACTCAAATACCAAGTCCCAGCTCATATGGCTTTCCTCCAGGAAGCCTGCCTCGCTTTCCCTGGCAGGAAAGTGCAGATTCCTGGGCCTCGCCCCACTCCTTGGAATCACAGTCTCTGGGGTGTTGGCGGAGGAGCTCAGAATCTGTATTTTAGCATCGGAGAAGGGAAGCCCTGTGGGGGGAAATAGCAGCCGCTAGGGCCAGGTCCTGCAGGACAGCTGAATGTTGGCCTTTCAGGGGAGCCTGAAGGTGATGGAGGGGAAGGCAAAGCCTTCATGGGCACCAGGGTTGCCTTCTGGGGGGTAGGGTCAAGGGAGGGTGCCCACTTCATTCTCCTTTTCTCTTACCTCCATCCCCCAGCTGGCCCTGTGTGCTGGGCACGCAGGTCTGAGCTCAGGCTGTCTGGGGTTGAGTCCCTGCCCCACCACTCATGACCCACATAACTCTGAGAAAATCTTTGAAAAGCCCTGAGCCTCAGTTTTCCTACCTGTAGAGTAGAGATTGTATCTGAATGAGTCGGCAGCACTCCATCAGGATTTGAGTCCCTGTGTCATTTGTTCCTTTGAGAGATCGCCCCTCTTCCTGTTTCTACGCTCTGTGCCCTAAGACAAGGGCATGGGTGGGAAAACAAGAGCAGAGGTGCTGAAAAGATGAGAATGTTCTTCTGGCTTCTGCACACGCTTCTCAGACAGTTCTCCTCTGTTCCAAGGCTGGCTGAGACTGGACAGCCAGTGAGAATGGACAGACGTCTTGTCCAGAAGATATTTGCACACAGAGCTGTGCTGTGCTTGGTCCCAGCACACCAGGGACCTTGTTCCTTGACACTCCTCATCCGGCACTCTGTAGCCTCCAAATCTCCTGGAAGATGTTGAGGCTCTCGGGCCCCTGGGCCTCTATACCTGCCAAAGTCTCCCCACCTTATTCCCCCGCAGCCTTTTCCACACCTCCTACCTGCATTTCCGTGACCCAGTCTGGTTAACTCCAATATTTCCTTTCCATTTTTGATAACATTGCCTCCAAGAAGTCTTCTTGGCTGACACCTCCCCATATTCAAGCTATGAATCCCTTTTCTGTTGGCGTGGGGGTGTCTGGTCTTCCCTGCTGATGCCTTTAACACAGAGATCATCATGGTTGGCTCCTTTTTTGTTTCTCTCTTTAAATTGTAAGCTCTGGCCAGGAGAGTTTCCTTTCTTCCTTCCTTCCTTCCTTCCTTCCTTCCTTCCTTCCTTCCTTCCTTCCTTCCTTCCTTCTTTCTTTCTTTCTTTCTTTCTTTCCTTCTTGCTTTCTTTCTTTCTTTCTTTTTTTCTTTCTTTCTGATGGAGTCTTACTCTTTTGCCCACGGTGGAGCGCAGCGGCGCCATCTCAGCTCACTGCAATTTCCACTTCCCAGGTTCAAGCAATTCTCGTGCCTCAGCCTCCTGAGTAGCTGGGATTACAGGCATGCACCACCGCACTCAGCTAACTTTTGTATCTTTAGCAGAGACAGGGTTTCACCATGTTGGCCAGGCTGGTCTTGAACTCCTGGCCTCAAGTGGTCCGCCTGCCTTGGCCTCCCAAAGTGCTGGGATTACAGGCGTGAGCAACCACGCCCAGCCATTTTTTCTTATTGTCGTAAAATACACATAAATGTTACCATTTTAGCCATTTAAAAGTGTACAGTTCAGTGGCACTTAGCACATTGACAATATTGTCCAACTATCACCTCTATGTAGTTGCCGAACATTCTCAGCACCCAAAACAAAACCCTGTACTTCTTAGCAGTCACCTTCGCCCAACCTCCATAGTCTTCTCCTCAGCCCCTGGCAATACCAATCTACTTTCTGTCTCAATGGATTTGCCTATTCTGAATATTACATATACATGGAATCAGACAATATGAGGTCTTTGGTATCTGGCTTCTTTCACTTAGCTTGTTATGAAGCTTCATCCATGGTGCAGCCTGTGTCAGGACTTTATTTTTTTCTATGGCCAAAGAATATCCCGTGATATGCCTGTGCCACATTTTATTTATCTACTCTTCTGTTGATGGGCATCTAGGCTGACTATTGTGAATAATACTGCTATCAACATTCATGTACACGTTTTTATTTGCATACCTGTTTCCAATTCTTTTGGGTATATACTTAGAAATTGAACTGCTGGGTCCCATGGTAATTCTTTCTATGTTTAACTTGTCTAGGAACCACCAAAATGTTTTCCGTGGCAGCTGCACCATTTTCCATTCCTACTATTCATATCCTTGTCAACACTTGTTATTTTCTTGTTCTTTTCTAACAAAACCAAAATGATAACCATCCTAATTAGCAGATGGGACTCATTTTTGTCTTCCCAGTTGTATTCCAAGGTTCCAGGACAGCATCTGGTGGGAAGTAGGAGTTCAGGAAGAACCTGCTTATGGAATGAATTCGCCGCACTTGGTCCAAGAGAGGCCACCTCCTGCTCCATCAGACTTTCTGTGTTTCTGTGGGTGACACTGAGGAGGGTGGACTCCTTCTCTCCTTATCCCCACAGAGTTCCAAAAGCCCACTCTGGTTCCCACGGGCAGGGACTGTTCCTACTGGGTTCTACCTCCTGGGTGTCTTCTTCCTGAGTCACCTCCTGCCGTCACCAAGTGGCACCGACCACATGGAATCTAAACCTAGGAAAGGTTCTTGGGGTTCCAACCTGCCTGCAGCCTTGGTAAGCTCTGGCTCAAGGCACCACAAGAATTACAATCTGCTTTTTATTTTTTTCCACAATTCTCTTATTGCCACCCATTGTCACTCTGGCTCTCTGGGTGCTTTTTATCCTCTTAAAATGCTGCTCACAAGAGGCAAGTCATTGCCTTGGAGGGCTGCTCTTTCATGTTAAATCATCCAAAAGCAGCTGGAATATTGATAGGTGTTGTTGTAGAAGCCTAGAACAGGACACGGTGTTTTTTTTTTTTTCATGCCTGTTTTGGAGACAGCCCTCCCTGGGAAGCCCTTACTTGGCAAACACGTGTCAGCCTCCTGCCCATGGTTCCTCCTCTTGGGACCAGGTCACAAACCCTGCATTGCACTGGTTCAGGTGTTTGCAAGCAACGGAAACTGACATCAGCTGGAATGAAATAAAGGGATTTGCTAGGAGGGGGTGGGGCAGCACATGTAGGGATGGAAAGCCGAAAACCTTGGGCTCAGAGGGTGTGCTCTGCCCAGCTGGGAGCAGGAGTGAATGGTGGCCTCTGCAGGGCACCAGCCTGGGAGAAAGCAATGCCAGCTGGCTGAGCAGAAAGGCCGGGGGCTTTGGCTGGTGATCCCACCACCACTACACTCTGTGTTGGAGGGCTAAGTGCCAAAGGCCAAGTGTGGCCGCTGTTTCAGAAGAAGGGTAGCAGAGGCAGGCAAGTAGGTAGGTGCACCTGCTGTCTTCTATGAATTTCAGGAGGGAGTCAGGATTCTTTGGCATTTAGGCTTCCGGAATGAATTCTATTAAGATATCCAGCAAGAAAGGATTTAAGATCACGGTTCAGTGTTTCTCTAAATGTGCTCCATGGATGCACGTTGCACCAGAATCTCATGTGAAGCTTGTTGAAAGTGCAGATTCCTGGGCCTCGCCCCGCTCCTTGGAATCAGAATTTCTGGGGTGTTGGCGGAGGAGCTCAGAATCTGTATTTTAGCATATTTCGTCGGTGATCTGTCTGTGAACTCAGTTGTGGCCCTAGTTTGCCCTTCAAGCCTCTTGATTTCAAAGCAATGTGTTGGCTGCTCTCTGCCTCCATGAACTTCATATTCCAGGACTCCCGAGGTGTGTAGCAAACTGCATCCAATGACGAGGAGTGTTGAAGCCTGAAATATGTATTGGGAGAGGAGAGGATCTAAAAAGGGAAGAAGCACTTCTGCAAGCAATAGGGCAGGTCTTTATGGTGGCAAAAACATTTCTCTCCATTGGTGGCAAAAGCTGAAATGTGTCATTTTTGGACTTTGGTAAAAATGGAGACTTGTCTAGTAGGCAATAAATAATAATACATAGCATTTATTGAGTGCTTAATCCTGGCATTTTATTCTGGCAACTCTGAAACATAGATGCTTGCTTCCTACCACCCCTGGGTTTATAAGGCAGGAAACAAAGGCACAGAGACACCCAGGAACTTGCCCACAGCTGGCGGTGGCAGAGCTGGAGGGAGTCCAGGTGATCTGGTGGCGGGGCCAGCCTCCTGACCCCGTTGACACAATTTTTACAGACGGTGAAAGATCTGCCAATGTGGGTACTGTGGGTGTGTTCTTGTGTTTTTGTTCAATTCCATTCTGTCCTATTACGGCCGCATTCATAAGGAATCTAGAAAGAGCCAGGCACTGGGAAAACAAAGGGGATCAAGACACTGTCCTTGCCTTCAAAGTGTTGGTTCTGGGGAGGGCTACAGAAAAACCCATAATGCTGATAGAACAATATAACACTTGGGTGCTCTCAGCCAGGGGCTCTTTCTGCATAGCCTGGAGCGATGGGTGAAACAGGAAAGGAATCAAGGAGGGCTCCAAGGTGGAGGTGACCATCAAGCTGGGCCTGAATTGGTGAATAGGTGATTAGCAGGTAGACAGATTAGAATAAGAGTGGGGAGGAAAAGCCAGACATGGAAGCCCGAGTGGCCCAGTGGGCATTGAATGGGACAGGATGGAGAATAGTTGGGTGGCAAGGGGATCAGAGATGAGGTGGGAAAGTTAGGCGGGTTACAAAAAGTCCTGGGTGCATTCCTACTCTTTGTTCGTTATCTCATGTATTAGTTTTCTATGACTGCTGTAACCAATTACCACAATTTAGTGGCTCAAGAAATACAATTTTATGATCTACCAATCTGGCTGTCAGAAGTCTGAGATGGGTTTCCTGGGGTGGAGATCAAGGTGTTGGCAGGGCTGTGTCCTTCCGGAGGCTCAAGGAGAGAATCTCTTTTCTTGCCCTACCCGGCTTCTAGAGGCTGCTGACTTCCTTGGCGGAGGGCCCCCTCCATGCTCTTCAATGCCACAACTTTGAGTTGCTTTTGGGTTGAGTCCTTTTCACACTGTCTCTCTCTGATTCTCTCTTCTACTTCTAAGGACCCTTAAGAGTACATTGGGCCACTGAAATAATGCAGGATAGTTTCCTATTTTAAGTTCAGCTGATTAGTAACATTAATTCGTCTGCAACTTCAGTTCCCCTTTGCCGTGTCACATAGGATATCCACAGGTTCTGGGGATTAGGACATGAGCAACTCTGGGGGCCATCATTCTGCCCTTGCATCTTCTAATCACTGAAGGCTTTTAAAATATGGAGCAACAGAGTCAGATCAGAGTTTCTGAAAGGTGATCTTGGGAGCAGGTTTACCAACAGAACCACAGAATTCCTTTTTCTGCCCCCATGGTAGACAAGACATCATTCATTTTTCTATATTCTTATTTTAATGTCACTTTATGACATTTTATAGAGAAATGTGGAATGGCAAATTTAGAGGTTCACATTTTGATGGTTATTCAACTGTGTTTTCTCTACATTTTATTTATATCTTGCCTCAGCCCACAGAGAGTTTGATGTAACTTCCAAAAATGCAAGAAATGCAAGCTGCAGGAAGAGCAGTTGAGGAAAACAAGAAAAGGAAAATTTTAAGAAGGAAAAAAAAATGAAGTTATAGAGGGCTAGTTCACTGCTAATGGAAGCGAGATTCATTAGTGTGGTTCCAAACTTCCTAGCTCACAAAGCAGAGAGGGAAAAAGACAGTACGATAAATACGGGTGTACAGCTGAGTTGTTTAGGAGATGCCTAGCCTTTTCTATGGCTGACACCTGAGAAGAATTTCTGCTTCAGGTGCTCACAAAGCAACAGTGTTGGCTGTTGCAAACTTTGTCCTTGAAAGCAGCTCTGCTGGAGACAGAAATGACCTTGTATAAAAGCCAGTCTCTCATTGAAGTATCCTTCAATGCTAGCAGATGACCCAATACCAAAGCATATTTCAGTGAAAGATCCCACAAAGGGGGTGGGTGGCATTGAGGGGGTAGTGGACATTTTGGTTATTGCCCCAAACTTAGTGACTTAGTATAACCAGTCCAATTTATGATCTCTACCAATTCTGTGGGTTGGACTGGGCTCAGCCAGGCAGTGGCGAGGTGGTGTCATCCATGGGCTCAACTGGATGTGGAGCATGCAGCATGGCTCCCTCCCACACCACTGTCAGCTGTGGGCTGGGGTTCCATGCCTTGATTCTCATCACACAGCAGCAGGGTTCCAAGAGGACCATCCTCTTGGATGTGAAGGGAAAGGCATAGGTGTTTTAAGGCTCAGCCTCAGAAATTTTACATCATTTCCACCACATTCCATTGGTAAGAACACATTGTGAGGTTAGTCCAGATTCAAGAGAATGGTGAAATGGCGTTGTTGTCTGGGGTAAATACCTGAGATTCGTTGCCTCGCACCATGGAAAAGTAGGACATGGACACACAAAGGGTGAGGCTCAGAGTGGAAGTTTAATAGGCAAAGAGAAGAGCAGGGCTCTCTGTAGCAGAGAAGGGTCCCAGAAAAATGGGTTGCTGCTTCCGTGGTGAAATGCAGCAAGTTTTATAGATTAGCTTGAGGAGGTGGTGTCTGATTTACATAGGGCATGAAAGATTGTTTGGACAAGGTGTGCCATTTGCATAAGGCGCAAAAAATTGGTTAGAACTAGGTGTGTCATTTGCATAGTGCGTGAAAATCTGGCTACCCCACCCTAATCTTTTATTATGCACATGGATTCTCTACCTGGCTGGCACCATGTTGCCTATTCTCTTACTTTACACATGGTTACAAAGAAAAGGGAAGATGGAGCCTCCATGTTGAACATACCTGGTCCCCAGGTAGCCCTTTTCTATTGGCACAGCTGCCAGCATTCACCTGTGCAAACTTCCAGTTTGCTTGTCTATGTCTGCAGCTTGATTTTTCAGGCTGCTCTTTGTTAGAAAAGAAATGATTTTGGGGGCTGCTTTTCGTTAAAAGGGAAATTTCGCCAAGGACTCTATTGCCCTTCCTATCTGCCTAAATAATTACTTTCTAGCTCCTATATCAATGGGAAATTGACTCCACCTCTTGACAGGAGAAATAGAAAAGAATAGGTGGCTGCCATGAATCCATCACAGGAGGCAGGACAATGGCCAAGTGTGCAGCTCCCTGACAAGCTGGCATGATCCAGGGGTAAAATTGGGAAAAGCTTGAGAACTGGATAGGCAGCCTTGGTGTATCTTTTCAGCAATCCCCGTAAGCATCAGCCACTGCAAATGGTCCTCTTGATAGAGATCAGTGAGTGGAGAGGGCAAGGTTTGTTTCCTGCCCAGGATATGGTGGATGTTATTTTATACTGCAAATTAAGGGAAGAGTTGTATATTTCAAGAGCCAAGCTGAAGACGAGTTTTCTTCTATTCTGTATTTTGTATTATTCAATAACGAATTTCAGTTTAGTGGGCCATAGGATGTTCCCAATCTAACAAAACTGGCTCTGGTTAATCATGGACTTGCCTAGCGATATCTGTGGTGTCTCTGCATGGGGTTAACTTGGCTAAACTGAAGTTATGTTTTTTAGACTCTTCCTTCCTGTATGGCCCCAAGTGAAAGTTGGTGAAGAGATACTTCTGTGAGATCTGAAGGTTATAATGAGAAGTCTGTCTCCATGTTTTGATGTGTCTCCATGTTTTGATGTTTGACTGCTGACAGCTCTAAGCCTCGTTCCTCCCTCTTCTTTTTGATCCCCGTAGCTGGACAAGCTGATGGAAAAGCCCACTTCTCTTTCCCTTTAGTGCAGGAAATTCAAACCACACAAGCCTTTGCCTGTGCTATAAAAGGAGCTCCCCGCTGGCCCCACCCCCTAACCACATAAAACCCCCGATCGGGGAAGAGGTTCCCCGATCCCTCAAGCCATGTCAGGCCTGCTGGGGAGGCCTGCCTACTCCCCCCAGAGAGCTCAATTATGTGAGCAATAAACTTTTTCATACCAGCTTGTTGTGTGTGCATCATCAGTCTCCACATTGGAACCAAGCTTTGAGTGGGGGTCTGTCTCTCTTGGCGGGCAGCTGTGACAGAGATGGAAATGAAGCTGCCAGTAGGACTCTTTAAAGACTGTCCTGGTTAGAGGCTGTGAGGTTCCAGCAGAGTTCAGCTGATTTCTGCCCTCCTCTGCTCTGTATCAAGCTCTTGACTGGTGGCCCTACTGATGGATGCAAACTCAGTGCAAAGGCTGCAGCTTTCCGTGACCTTCTCTGCACACTCTGGAGTTTTTCTTAGGAGCTGGGGAATGACTCTTCTCTGATCTACCAACTTCCCCTCGGAACTTTATTTCTTCAGCTTTTCTCACAATTGTGTAAAGCCTCATCCTATAAATCCCTTAATCCAAAATACTCAAAATGTTTCTGCTCCTTTGATTAAAACTTGACTGATAAAATAACTCTTCAGGCATTACTTTTTTTTTTTTTTTTTTTTGAGACAGAGTCTCGCTCTGTTACCCAGGCTGGAGTGCAGTGATGTGATCTCGGCTCACTGCAACCTCCTCCTCCTGGGTTCAAGCAATTCTTCTGCCTCAGCCTCCCAAGTAGCTGGGACTACAGGTGCCTGCCACCACGCCCGGCTGATTTTTGTATTTTTAGTAGAGATGGGGTTTCACCATGTTGGCCAGGCTTGTCTTGAATTCCTGACCTCAAATAATCCACTTGTCTTGGCCTCCCGAAGTGCTAGGATTACAGACGTGAGCCACTGTGCCCGGCCTCAGACACTACTTTTAAGATTGGCTACAGACAGCACCAGTGTGTGCTTGATGGAACTGAATTGGAGTCCAGAGAGGTAAAGTAAGAAGTCCCGGACCACATGGAGAACATTGGCCAGTAAACTCCAGGTCTTCTGACTCAGCTTTCTTCCACACCACACTGGGTGTCTCGTGGATGCCTCGTGTGTGCCAGATGCTGTGAGAGGATTTATGTAGGATTCCAAAAGGAAGACATATTCCCTGATTTCCAAAAGCTCACCCCTCTGTTGCATTATTGCATATGGTTAGTAGATGAAAATGACAACTATTACTGCACACGTGCATGCACCCCCCCACACACACACAGACACCACTTCTCAGTTTACTAACATTTGTCACACCCAGTATCTCAGTATGTCACAGGCTAAGTGACCAGAGAATGGATAATTGATATTATGGCGGACCAGGAAGTGGTACATTCTTACTCAGTGGGTTAATGTGCAGGGGTTAGGAAGGGAATGTTAGTGTGTGACCTGCCTTTAATTATTCTCCTGGGCTTATGCACTGGGTGTATTATAACCAGTTAGTATTCAGTTCCCTAGATCATCCTGAGCAACCAGCCATGTGCAGGGTACCATGTTTCACTGGTGGAAGTGAGCTTAGAGCAATGATCCCCAACCTTTTTGGCACCAGGGACTGGTTTCATGGAAGACAATTTTTCCATGGATCAGGGTAGGGGGATGGTTTTGGGATGATTCAAATGCATTACACTTATTGTGTACTTTATTTATATCATTATTACATTGTAATATATAATGAAATAATTCTACAACTGATCATAATATAGAATCAGTGGAAACCCTGAGCGTGTTTTCCTGCAACTAGATTGTCCCACCTCGAGGTGATAGGAGACAGTGACAGATCATCAGGCATTAGATTCTTATAAGGAGAGGGCAGCCTAGATCCCCTGCATGCTCAGTTAACAGTAGGGTTTGTGCTCCTATGAGAATCTAATGCCACTGCTGATTTGACAGGAGGCGGAGCTCAGGTGGTAATGTGAGCGACAGGGAGTGACCGCAAATGCAGATAAAGCTTTGTTCACTTACCCACCACTCACCTCCTGCTGTGCGGCCTGGTTCCTAATGGGCCACAAACTGGTACTGGTCCGTGGCTGGGGAGTCAGGGACTCATGGCTTAGAGGATGAGACTGGCAGTCTGAATCATGTTTTTGAGGGAAGCTCTTGTTCCTTCCAGTGATGACAAGTTCTCTGGTAACTCTTTAGTTTGAATAATTTCAGACTTTAAAGTAAAAGAAAACGATACAAAAATTATCCAATACCTCCTTACCCAGATTCACCAATTGTTTACATTTTATTCTCATTTGATTTATCATTACCTATCTATTAACAATATTTTTCTGAGCCATATGAAAGTAAGTTGGAGACATCACTCCCTTTTACCCCTAAATTCTTCAGTGTGTATTTTCTAAGAGCAAGACATTCTCTTACATTATCACAGTACTATTAACAAATTCAGGACACTTGCCATTGATATAATACTATTATCTAAACCACAGTCCATATTTATCATTCCTTCAATGTCCTTTGTAGTTTTTTCCCCAAGGCCTGGACCCAGTTCTGGACCACTCTTGCATTCAGTTTTCATGTCTCTTTAGTCTCCCTTAATCTGAAGCAGTCTCTTGTCCTTTTTATCATTTCCTTGACCTTAGATATTTTCAAGTTATTTTATGGACTTTCTCAGTTGAGGTTTGTTTGATGTTTTCCCACGTTCATATTCAGATTCAGCAGTTTTAGCAGAAATACACAAGAAACAGTACTCTGTCTTTCATAGCACATAATATCAGAAGGCATGTGATATTTGTTTGTCTCAATATGTGCGACGTTAAGTTTGATCACTTGGCAAAGGTAGAATCTGCCAACTTTCTCTATGTAAACTTACCATTTTCCTTTGAAATTAATAGGCAATGTAAAGGGAGATACCTTGAGACTATGTAAATATCCTGTACCACCTGCAACTTTTATCCACTAGTTTTAGCACTCATTGATGATTTTCTAACCCCCCTAAGGCCTTTATATTTATTAGTTGGCACTTGGCAGAAGGGAAAAGCTTTTCTTTTTTTCCTTGCTTACTGTATGTATTCATCTACTTGTTTACGGACTCATGTATTCTTATTTTATTTGATGAGTTACTAACCATTACTAATATTATAAATTTTGGTGCTCAAATTGTCACAGACTTAGTCACTGAAAGCTCTGTGTGGCTCCTATGTCCTCTTGATATGTCCCCATCATTCTTTGAGCAATTTCTTGCTTTCTGGTACAATATGATGCCACAGTCTTATTTGTATTTTACTTGTCCCATCCCTGAGATCAGCCTAGGATTCTTTGTTCTTTTTAGTGAAGAATGGTATTTAGAAGCCAAAATCTAAACAGCAGATATGCTCGTTGCTACTGGTGTGTCACTGATTCTAGATCTTCTCAGTGGACAGAGCTAAGAAATGCATGCATGCATATACATAAACATACAAATACATATACTTCGAGCACATATGTATGCCAATATGTTTATTTTTATAGATATTCTGTGTGTGTATATATGTGTATTTGTGCATAGACACACATGCGTGCACACACACACACATACATGAATACATGCGTATATGCATCAGTGCATAATGACCACTCCAATTCCAATCTAGCACCATGGGGTACACCCTGATTTTGCCCCTTTCCCTGTCTGTGACCTTTTTTCCGATTGTTAGATGCCTGGCTCTGTGTAACCTACAGCATCTTGTTCATCTCCTAGCTCTTTGCTAAATTTCGCAGGCTTATTCTGTGTATGCTGAGTCCAGCTGTTGCTAAAGAACCAGAGGCGAGCTCCCACTTCCTCTCTCCTTGCATGTTCCCCACAACTTCCAATTGTCTTGGCAACCCCAAACTTCTTAGCCCTGCAGGGTTTGGACTTCACTTCCCATATTGAACTCTGGAAATTGCTCCTAGAAAATGTGCAGCTTACCTGGTATGTTTCTTGTCTCTCATGGGTTACTCTCCTGCATTGCCTCTTGTCTACTGTCTCAAAACAGTTGCCACATACATTTTGCTCAGTGTCGTGGCTAGCTGTTATCTTAGTCTGTAACAAAACTGCTATAACAAAATACTGTAAATGGCATGGCTTAAACAATATAATTTTATTTCTTGCAGCTCTGGAAGCTAGAAAGTCTAAGATCAAGATATTAGCAAGATAGGTTTTATTTTTCAGCCTCTTTTCTTGACTTGTAGGTGGTGACCTCTTGTTTGTGTATGTGTGTGGAGGGAAGCAAGCCCTGTGGTATCTGTTCTTCTAAGGGCACTTATCCTATCCATCAGGGCCCCACCCTCAGAAACTCATCTAATGCTAATCACCTCCCAAAGGTCTCATCTCCAAATACCATCACATTAGCGATTAAGGCTATGAGTTTTGAGGTTGGGACACAAACGTTTAGTCCATAACACCTATTTATAGCAAGGAGGTACATCTGACACCAGTTACTCTGTCATGGCCAGACAAGGTAGTCTCTGCTTAGTTTTTATTTTACTCCAAAACACCGTATTTAAATTGTAGTGTTGGCCGGGCACGGTGGCTCACACCTGTAATCCCAGCACTTTGGGAGGCCAAGGCAGGCGGATCACGAGGTCAGGAGATCGAGACCATCCTGGCTAACACGGTGAAACCCCGTCTCTACTAAAAATACAAAAAAAAAATAGCCGGGCGTGGTGGTGGGCGCCTGTAGTCCCAGCTACTCGGGAGGCTGAGGCGGGAGAATAGCGTGAACCCGGGAGGCGGAGCTTGCAGTGAGCCGAGATCACACCACTGTGCTCCAGCCTGGGCAACAGAGCGAGACTCCGTCTCAAAAAAAAAAAAACTTGTAGTGTCGTGTGCTTTGAGTTCAGTCACATCCACAGCCTGCTAAAAGTGCTGGTGGGAAAGATAGAACACAGCATGATTTCAGACTTCAAGGCAAGAGAAAAACCAATTTTGTATTCTAGAAAATAGAATAAACTCATTTCTTTTAGCATCTTATTGAGCCTTCAGGCATTGATATTTACACGTTTTATCAATTTGGGATATCACTTGGAGAAGAACTTCATTAGCAATCCCAAATCATCTGTGGCCTTCTCACATGATTTGTTTCTGTGTATCTTGGACACTGATATTTCTGTATTTGTATGTGTGTTTGCTGTAGTTAATTTTTTCTGATTTATAAAAATACTACATATCACTTTTTGCAAAATTTGCAAAATTATATGACAGAATAAAGAAGAAACTTGTATCATTGGTAATATCATTTAAAGATAACTACTGATGTCCCTTTGAATTTCCCAATGTGTTTAAAACAAGCATGGCTTGCTTTCAAAAAAGTCGATTATTTTAACATCTCAATATACACATGTATTGTTGAAGATGAGAGTGGAAAGGACCTTGAAAGAGATCTCAGTCAACAATTTTGTAGCTGGGTAAACTGAGGTTCAGCAAGTGCACCTGGTCAGGAATGCCTAGATCTTTGCATTATATCTGTATTTCACACATTGTGCCACTTCTGTAACACCTCTTCAATATTATCAGAGTCATAGATCACTAGTCCTTTTTCCTAATAAACGAGCATCTTACCACTAAACTTCAAACATTTGCCCTAGTGCTGCCCCCAGTGCTATTGCTATCAGTCACCTCACCTTATGCGTGATGTTACTTTGTAACAATAACAAGTACCATTGCCCAATATACAGAGCAAGGCAATACACCAAGACACTGGGTTGCAGCAGAGAAACAGGTTTATCTGTGAACCCCGAATATCTGAGACTGGTCTCCGTTAATTTGGAAAGTTTATTTTGCCAAGGTTGAGGACGCATACCTGTGACACAGCCTTAGAAGGGCCTGATGACATGTGCCCAAGGAGGTCAGAGCATAGTTTTGTTTTACACATTTTAGGGAGACGTGAGACATCAGTCATCATACGCAAGATGAACATTGGTTCTGTCTGGAAAGGCAGGATGACTGGAAGCAGGATGACTGGAAGTGGAGAGGGGGCTTCCAGGTCATAGGTAGGTAAGAGACAAATGTCTGCATTCTTTCGAGTTTCTGATTAGCCTCTCCAAAGGAGGCCATCAGATATACATTTATTTCAGTGAGAGAGGGGTGACTTTGAATAGAATGGGAGGCAGGTTTGCCCTAAGCAGTTCTCAGCTTGACTCTTCCCTTTAGCTGAGTGATTTTGGGGCCCCAAATGTATTTTTTTTCACAAATCATAGGACCACCAAACAAGGAGACAGGAGGAAACCTCAAATCCATCTTCCTGAGGAGGCATGTAAACCAGACAACTCCATCTTAAATAGGAGCTAGGTAAAATGAACTGAGGCCTACTGGGCTGCATTCCCAGATGGTTAAGGCATTCTAAGTCACTGGATGAGATAAGTGTTTGCACAAGATACAGGTCATAAAGACGTCGCTGATAAAACAGGTTGCAGCAAAGAAGCTGGCTAAAACCCACCAAAACCGAGATGGCAATGAGAGTGACCTCTGGTCATCCTCTGCTACCCTCCCCACCAGCGCCATGACGGTTTACAAATGCCATGGCAACATCAGGAAGTGACCCCATATCATCTAAAAAAGGAGACATGAATTATCCACCCCTGGTTTAACATATCATTAAGAAATAATCATAAAAATGGACAACCAGCAGCCCTCGGGGCTGCTCCATGGAGTAGCTATTCTTTTATTCCTTTACTTTCCTAATAAACTTGCTTTCACTTTACTCTGTGGACTCGCCCTGAATTCTTTATTGTGTGAGATCCAAGAACTCTCTCTTGGGGTCTGGATCGGGACCCCTTTCCTGTAATACCTGGATCTCTCCCCGAGAGCAGTGGGTCTCAAAGTGAGGTTTCCAGACCAGCAGCACAAGAGGCACCAGAGAACTTTTAGAAATGCAACTTATGGCCGGGCACGGTGGCTCACGCCTATGATCCTAGCACTTTAGGTGGGTGGATCACCGGAGGTCAGGAGTTTGAGACTAGCCTGGCCAACACGGTGAAACCCTGTCTCTACTAAAAATACAAAAATTAGCTGGGCATGGTGGTACGTGCCTATAGTCCCAACTACTCAGGAGGCTGAGGCAGAAGAATTGCTTGAATCCAGGAGGTGAAGTTGCAGTGAGCCAAGATTGCATCGCTGCACTCCAGCCTGGGTGACAGAGCGAGACTCCGTCTCAAAAAAAAAAAAAAAAGGAAAAAAAAAGAGAGAGAGAGAAATGCAACTTATTAGGCTCCACCCTCACCTACAGAGTGGAGACCCTGGGGTGGGCCAGCCGGCTGAGCTGTGACAAGCCAGCCAGGGATTCTGATGCAAGCTATTGAGAACCCGGTCTTTATCTTAATATAATTATTCAGGGGTGTGGCCTGAGCTTTGGCAGGTGCTTCTAAAGCTTTTCAGGTGATTCTAATGTGTAGCCCAGCCTGAGAATTATTGCTCTTGAGCCACTTGCTGCTTACAGGTCTTGCATCTCCAGCAAACTGGCCTCCTGCAGGCTGCTCTTCATCTGAATAATGGCTTTTTCTATTGTTTATGGCAGATTTCTCTTCATCTTTCTAATCTGTATTATAAAAGAGTAGAAATGTAATTTCCCCGGTTAGCTTATATTTTACATGAAAAATGGCTACTTTGAATCAGACAAAAGGGAAGATATCTTTCAAAGGGTAACGGCCCCTGTTTAGTCAAGTTGCAGCTTTCTTTTTTTCATTGTAAGGGGAGTGAATAATTCATATTCATTTCTCCTAAATTGGTTTTCTTCGGGGTATCTCCCCCCACGTGTATGGAAACAGTCTGGTGGGTGAAATAGAAGCAGTCAGCCGGGTCTCGAGACCCTCCAGATCACTTTTTTCACAGTATGATTGAGAATCGGGACATTCGCACAGCTTTACGGGATATCTGGAAATCAAAGAAGAAATTCTAGGAAGGCAGAGGCTTCCAGCAATGTCCTCACTATGTGTGAAGTGCAGCACCATTTTGCATCTGAAACATTTCATGACCTACTGGTTGGTGTAAGGCAGGCTTCGTCAGTGTCAGCACTATTGATGTGTAGGGCCGGATATTATTTGTGGTGGGGGCCATACAGTGCATTGTAAGGTATTAGCTGCATCCTGGCCTGTAGCCACCAGAGGCCCATTGTGCCTCCAAGTTGTGACAACCATATATCCCTCCAGACATTGTCAAATGGGGGGTGGGGAAAAGGGGTGGCAAAATTGTGTCCAGTTGTAAACCACTGGCCTCAGGTGACAGAGGTTGTGGTCGCACCAACTTGCTCTCACTGCCCCTGGATCAGTGGGTGTCTGGACTGGCTGTGGGCCTCCGTGCTCCTCCTCAGAGCGGTCCCTGTGTCAGCTGCTCCCACCCCACATAGAGAGGCAGCTGGCAGGTCCTCCTCTCTATGACCCCTTGCAGGTCCTGGGTGTGGAGTCAGGTGTCTTCAAGAACAGAGGCAGTGGGTCTGAGGGTAGGGTGGGGTGGAGCATGCCTCTGGAAAGATCCTGCCATAACCAAATACCACCCCAGCAGGTACAGTGGCCTGGCTGGCAAGCTTCTTTGCTTCTCTGGCCTCCTGCCTGCTGGCCCTGCTGGCTCTGCCCTCACAGCGGTCCCCAGGTTCTGGTTTCTAAACCCAATCTTGCTCCTACTCTGCATCACTGCCTGTTTGACCTTGTATCTGGTCACAGCAGCTCCCCACTTCTGGCATCAGGGCTGGCAGCTCCTGGGCACTCTGCCCTGCTAAACCACTGGAACCAGGTGACCTCTGACTGTGAAGGACAGCCAGGCCATCTCAACACACTGAGTGGACTTGGATTCTCAGGCTCCAGACACTGCCTCTTGAGACAGCACTCTGGCTTTGCTAGTTGGAAAGTGCACTGGCAGCCTGGGGTTTGTTCTTGATCCACGGATTTGTTCCTGTTTGTGTAGTACTAAAGTCATTGAAACTAGCTGAGTGTAACACAGTGATTTTTTAATGTCTCCTTATCACATTTTTACATGTGTTTATTGCTTAGTTCCTGAGGGATGTATTTTTTCCCCTTTCATATAAATACTTGTGTTGCCTCTTTTTGAAGGGAGTTTCCTTTTATTAGACTCAGCGGTTTAATGGAATCAACTCTTCAGTGCTCAAAACTATTTCAAAAAGCGTAAGCCTCTTTTGTTCCCATCCTTGCCCTCCAGATGATTCTGATTCTATTAGACCAAGAGCCGCCAGCCTCCACCTGTAAGTTCAGTACAGAGAACATGCTTTCAATAGATCGCACAGGTTATTTCATGGATGTCTATTAGAGGAGGATCACAGTCTCTTTTGGATATTTTACATCTAGAAGAAAAAGCATTTCCCAGTAGGAATTCATACCCATTATATGGTCCGGGGCTTCCCCACATCCTTCCTCCTTACAGAAGTGAGGTGGCATCCGGTACTGCTGAGGCTCTGCTTTGAAAACCCCTGGTGGGTTCACTCTGGAGGATAAACAAGAGCCCCCACTGTTCACATCCAAAATCTTTGGGGGAACCATAGCTCTATAGGATTAGATATCTGTGAAGGTGGAATTCTGTCAAGGGTTTCCCAAAAGGTGACCACACTGACCTGTTGGAGAAGCTGGCTGGCACCTCCTCCCTTACCCTCTGGAGAGAGCAGCTCTCGTGTCCTGCAGGAATAAAGTGAGCAAGGGGGAAGCGGGGTAGGTGGCCCCTCCGGATCTGGCTGTATGCTCTCTTCTCAGAAAGATTAGGACATTTGGATTAGAGCATTCCCAAGCTCTATTTGCTTTTGATAAGAAGATTTGGCTTATTTATTTATTTATTTATTTATTTATTTGAATGCAGGTGAGAACTTAAGGCAAAGGCAGGCAAATGAATAGTGTTGAGACCGTTTCCTGTGGCCCCAAGGGGGATAAAAACAAAGTCAGTACGAGGCTTTCCCTGCCTCCTTGTCTAGACTCGGGATGGCAACAGATTGAGTTCTTTCTGTGCCAGTTCTGGCTCACTGGCTGTGTCTGCCTGGGTAAGTGATTGAGGATTCTGAGGCTGCATCCAGAGCCAGCAGAACCTAAGTCTTGATTGGCTCAGAAGGGCTCCATGGGCCCTGAAAGAAAAGTGGTAGAGTGGGCGGGTGAGGCAAGCACAGAAATAACCCCAGGACACGATAAACTGAACGTGCTCAGAAGAAGACTGGCAGCATATCACATGCTTGGGCGAGAAATTTTTCCTTGGGTTTGGGGAATAAGGAGGGGCTTCATTTAGAACAAAACTTTATCTTTTACCTCCTATTTTTGTGTGAGTGGTTTGCGTTATGGTGTTAATGCATCTGTAATCTTTAGTAATTTTGAATTTCCCAAAGATACGATAACAGGCAGTTCTGTTTCTACCAGGCATCCATGTTTGAGAAGTCTAAAGGGAGAAGTTGCACAGTGAGGAAAGCACATGGCTTATTGAGCAGATCTGCGTCCAATGTGCCAGGTGGAAGAATGGCCAAGGGCTCCATTGGTTCACACCTGTGTGGTCTGCGTGGTGGTGTATTGGACCGATGACCCCATCGGCACACTTGCAGAGCCTAGTGCCTACCCCTGACCAATGACTGCCCTTGCTCAGATTTAGTTTGCTTCTCTGGGTTCTGGGTTCTGGACCTTTTAAATTCATCTGCTGCTGTATTGCTGGGCACATTTCAAAGCTTCCTGGATGAATAAAAGTGCATTAAATGCAGCATTGCATCTGGTCCAGGTGATCTGTTTTCTTAGTGATGTTCTCAAATCTGTGAAAGAATTCAAAATCACCTCCTAAATTCTTGGCAGTTATTAAACAGCAGTCTTTAAAATGAGCAGGAAGACATTGATACAGGATGAGAAAGTTCTTCTCTGAGTTATTCCTCCTTTTGTTCTTCCTCAGGCTGGAAGTACAGGATTGATTAACACAGCTCTGTGTGGGCTGAACCCTGAGCCACCTCCCCAGCTGTGAAGTGGGACTCATCCCAAGGGTCTTGCCAGTGACTGGCTGGGCTCATCACTCAGATGCCTAGATAGGACCAGCTTCCCAGTGGTCCCTGACTACCTGGCTGTTAGCTGTGATGATGGCTAAAAGCAGTTAATCAGATGGTCATAACATTATTGGCTTGTGAAATCCTTCCTTTCTCAGAGCTTCCAGGGTTTGTATCTTGTGTGTTTGGTTTGATTACACTTGGAATACCAACTGTATTTTAACCAGCTATTAAACACAAATTATTTCTAAATAATCCTCATAGCAAATGACTGTAAGATATATATAGCAAAGTTATAAGAATTGTTCTTTACAGTTTCCTAGCATGCATGTTACAGTGAGAGTCTCAGCTGATTCCTGTGGCTTGACGAAGACTCTCTCCTTGGCCAAACTTTGATTGGGCTCTCTGACCTCTCCTTCTGACCAGGCCTTGAGCTTAGCCCCTGTCCTGTCCTTTACCTGCCCAGCCCAGCCTTAGTAAGGCTCTCACTACCCTTGATATCTGATCAAGTTTCTCATCACCCAACTTTGAGGTCTAAGTCCTTGGCCTGCCTTTAACAAGAATCCTGCTAGGTGAGTTTAGCAAGAACCCCCTGATCCTTGATATTCTTCTGAGTAATTTTCCATCCACTGAACCCCATGCTTCCCCACCCTTTACCCTGCTTCTTGTCTGTCAAGCCCCTTTGTCCTTATATTTGAAGTTGAGCCCACTCTCTTCCCTATTGCATAGAGATGACTTCTGTTGCAGTGGTCTTGAATAAAGTCTTCCTTATCTTTTTGTCAAGTGTCAGAATAAGTTTCTATTTAACAGGCTACTCTCTAAGGTGAATAAGGCAAACATTAGTCCTATTTCACTGAAAAGAAACTGAGGCTTTCATTGTTCTGTTCCATACAACAGATGACATTGCTGAGACCTGATTTCTGGTTGGCGGAGTCACTTTTAGCTTTGCAGACTACACAATCTTCCCTTATTCCTTCAAGCCAGAAATCAGCATTTCCTTGCTTGAATTTACTGCAGGAAACTTGGCTAGAGATGTGCAGGGGAAAGGGGCCAATCACAACAAGGGTGGTGAGGGCAGAGCAGGGAAGGAGAAGTATACGTCTTTGACCTCTGGGCCCCCCAGTGACCAGGTTTCCCTGAGCTGCAGGTGAAGCCATGGCTCCTCAACCCATTTCTGCTTCTCGTCCTGGAAGTAATCCCTAGAATGGGATCCTTTACACCCAGACAGTGTCCACTTAGAATTAATAGAAAGGGTATCCCTAATTCCCTATGTGGCTTTGAGTATTTTGCTTGACTCTTTTATATTTTGGTTTTCTCTTGCATTCAATATAGGAGGCAGCCAGCTCTAAGACTAATTCCAATTATAAAATTAGTGAGTCCAATATTCAAGACCACTTATTTTGGAAAAGGGAGTAAAAGGTATAGGGAGGGCAGATAACCCAGTCACGAACAGAATTGAAATCAGGAGCCCAGCTCCCGGTGTCCTTGTTCTTTCCTCTCTACCCATCTGGATCAGCATCCTGTGGGCTAACCACAGATCTGACTCAGTACCACTGAGGAACAGCTGCATTTGGCCCTTCTAGAGCATGAGGTCAGGAATGAGGAGTCTAAACATCAGAAAGAAGGTTGGCTCCCATGCTTGTGCTCTGCATAGCATTATGCATGCATATCCCATAGGCTAAAATGCACTTACCAATGAACAAAGCTAAGATTAACAGGGTGCTAACCGGATTACAGGGGAGGATGGGAGGTGGAGCAAGGAAGAATGCACCTCTGGATTCCATGTTTAGCTGAATCTCTTCCTTGTGTTCTGTTTACAGACGCTTGGGGTACTGTCTTCAATTCAACAAGAGAATCAATCTTTGTTGCTGGCTTGCAACAGAGTCTAACAGGCTTCTTTTCTTATTGTCTGGACCTCTTGGGCACTCTCCTGGGTCTTCCATGGAAAACATGTAAATCTTACAGCTGCCATCATCACAATCATTGTCATATCACCTTATGACTGTGTGTGCCTTATGTGTGTAACCCAACAGAATGTGTGCCCCTTGAAAGAGGAACATTGACAAAGCTCTGTCTTTGGATCCCTGGTGATCAGCCCCCGGGGCAGTGCTTTGTGGAGAGTTGTTGAATGTGCTATTGAATTTCCTGAACAAAAGTCCTGATCCTGGGTGGGAAGAGCACAGTTGGAATGCCAGCTCTCCTGGTGATGAGTGTTGTGGCCACAGTGTAGAAAGAGGAGGGCTACATGAGTGCTATACCCCTACCAGCTGTGTGAGTGTGGTCTAGTAGCCTGACTTCTTTGAGACATAGCTTCTGTACCTGCCCCAGGACTCTCATGAGAATTGAATGAATGATTTTTTGCAATAGTTTTAATGGAACATCTCATGTGAACCGATGGGCTTTGATGGAGTGAGTTGCCCCAGTAGAGGTTTAGAGGGTGTGTTCTCCCAGGTCAGATGGACTTGAGTCCACGTCCTGGCTGTGCCTCTACCCAGGTGGGTGACCCTGAGCACATCACTCCCTTTTCTGTGCCTCACTTTATCCTTTTATAGCATAGGGGGGAGCCATAGCATCAACCTGTGGGGTCGTTGTGAAGATGAAATGTGCTGGTCCTCTACACTAAGCCCTCTCTCTACACTGTGCCTGGCCACTGGAACACCCAGTAGGTGTTAGTTAGAATGTTGTGCCTTCAAATTTATGTTCTGGGTACTTTTTTTGAAACTTCAGTCTGATTTTCCATGTCCCTGTCTTAGCAATGACAGAAGTAATTTTAAAACATTTTCCTAAAGTAGTTTTTGTTTTGTTTTGTTTTTTTAGCAACTTAAAATAGCAAACATTTATTATCTTATAGTTTCTTTGGGTCAAGAATCTGGGCACAGCTTAGTTGGTTTTTTTTTTTTTTTCTTTTGAGACGGAGTCTCACTCTGTCACCCAGGCTAGAGTCCAGTGGTGTGATCTCGGCTCACTGCAACCTCTGCCTCCCAGGTTCAAGCAATTCTCCTGTCTCTGCCTCCCGAGTAGCTGGAATTACAGGCACATGCCACCACATCGGGCTAATTTTTGTATTTTTAGTAGAGATGGGGTTTCACAATGTTGGCCAGGCTGGTCTCAAACTCCTGACCTCAGGTGATTCATCCACCTTGGTCTCCCAAAGTGCTGGGATTATAGGCATGAGCCACCATGCCTGGCCCTTAGTTGGGTTTTCTCTGGCTCAAATTATCTCTTAAAGTTTTAGTCAAGCTATCAGCAAAGGTTAGGGTTTTCATCCAAAGCCTTGGATGGGTGAGTGTCCTTTTCCACACTCATTCATGTGGCTGTTACTAGGGTCCAGTTTCTTGCTGGCTGTTGATCACAGGACTCCCTCAGTTCCTTGCCACATGGACCTCTCCAAAAGGTAGCTCACAATGTGGCATCTGGCTTCCCTCAAAGCAAGAAAGCAAGAAAAAATTCAAGATGGAAGTCTTTTTGTAACCTACTATTAGAAGTGACATCCCATTACTTATACTGTATTCCTTTTTCTTTTTATTTTCTTTTATTTTTGACTAGCTCTCTTATAACTTTATTTTATTTTTATTTTTTATTTTTTTGACTACCTCCCTTATAACTTTTTTATTTTTTTATTTTTTTCCATAGATTATTGAGGTACAGGTGGTAGGTTGTATTTGGTTACATGACTAAGTTCTTTTCTTTTTGTTGTTGTTGTTGTTGTTGAGACAGAGTTTCGCTCTTGTCACCCAGGCTGGAGAGCAATGGTGCAATCTCAGCTCACTGCAACCTCCCCAGGTTCAAGCGATTCTCCTGCCTCAGACTCCCAAGTAGCTGGGGTTACAGGTGTCTACCACCATACCCAGCTAATTTTTTGTATTTTTATAGAGATGGGGTTTCACCATGTTGGCCAGGCTGGTCTCGAGCTCCTGACCTCAGGTGATCCACCCGCCTTGGCCTCCCAAAGTGGTGGGATTACAGGCCTGAGCCACTGCGCCCAGCTAAGTTCTTTAGTGGTGATTTGTGAGATTTTGGTGCACCCATCACCCGAGCAGTATACCCTGCACCCTATTTGTAGTCTTTTTTCCCTCACCCCCTCCCACTCTTCCCCCCAAGTCCCCAAGTCCATTGTATCATTCTTATACCTTTGCATCCTCATAGCTTAGCTCCCACATATCAGTGAGAACATGTGGTGTTTGGTTTCCAATTCTTGAGTTACTTCACTAACATTAATAGTCTCCAGTCTCATCCAGGTTGCTGCAAATGCCGTTAATTCATTCCTTTTTATGGCTGAGTAGTATTCCGTTGTATATATATACAACAGTTCCTTTATCCACTCATTAATTGATGGACATTTGGGTTGGTTCTATGATTTTGCAATTGCGAACTGTGCTGCTATAAACATGCGTGTGCAAGTTCCTTTCTTGTATAATGACTTCTTTTCCTCAGGGTAGATACCCAGTGATGGGATTGCTGGATCAAATGGTAGTTCTACTTTTAATTCTCTAAGGAATCTCCACACTGTTTTCCATAGTGGCTGTACTAGTTTACATTCCACCAGCAGTGTAGAAGTGTTCCCTGATCACCGCATCCACACCAACATCTGCTGTTTTTTGATTTTTTTGATTATGGCCATCCTTGCAGGAGAAAGGTGGTATTGTATCGTGGTTTTGATTTGCATTTCCCTGATCACTAGTGATGTTGAGCATTTTTTCATATGTTTGTTGGCCATTTGTATATCTTCTTTTGAGAACTGTCTATTCCTAAAATCTTTTTTAATGAAGAGTAATGCATATTCATTACAGAAAAGAAATGAAGAGCAAGTTGTCTATAGTGCCACCCTACAAACAGACCATTGTTATTATTTTAGCATACTCCATTTAAACAGCTTTCTCTGTGTGTACAAGTTTATATTACATGTTTTCATTTAGACATTTCAGTTTTTAAAAAAATATTCTAATTAGCACCTTTGACAGTTTAAAAAATGTGTTTTTCATCATTTCACATTATTTCCTTCAGATCTTTCTTTATCAGGTTACTGGTGAATCCTTAGCTGTGGATGGTGGAGGCAGTTTTGTTCTGGGCCCTTTTGCATCCACGTTAATCTTCATGAGTTTTTCTACTCCTAATGTACTAATCAGCTTCAGTCCATGCTTCTTGATTTCAGAATACTTGCTTATTTTTTATATGCTAATTCCAGAGAGTTCTCAGTTAAGTGGTTCCAAATTCATTCTTGAATCTATAAAAGTTTTCTAACTCAGATCCATAGGCATTATAAATGTATTCCTATTTTTCTAGCTCTACATATTCCATTTTAATACTTTAGCTATTGTGCAACTGTTGGAAATTTAGGAAGTGTGGTTTCCTTTTTGATAACACTTTCTTCAAGATAATTTCCTGCAACTTTCCTGGGATGGGGAGAAATTGAATATACCGCTTTGGTTTTTGAAGAAAGAATATCTCTGTTGGACTGGAAGATGCCTGGAAGATTCTCCCTAATTACTCAAAAGTTTCTTTATCTCTGTTTTCCCCCTTTTCTTCAGTTTTCCATTTTCCATTTCATCCTACCTAAAGTATATGCGGTAACAAATTCTTTGTTCCTGGGATTTGCTGCATTTTGGTGCTCAGTGTTTTACAAGTACTGTGGAACATCTATAAGAGAAAATAGAGACATTTATTGAGCTCCTTCCTTGCATGATTCTCAGCACTTCCTCGAGGTGTTTAAAATGTAATCTTTACCCCAGACGTCTAAGGTAGACATTATCCTCCCATTTTATTAGTAATAAATTAAACCTCACTGGTGTATGCAGAGGAAGAGTCTGGATGGAGAACCCAGTTGGTTCTGATTCCTTGATGAGTTCTTGCATTTTTGTCAGATTGAATCTTTAAACTATCCTTGGATTCCTTGAGCCAATGGGTTCCTCTCTTTGTCCAGCCTGGTTTACGTGGGTTTCTGTCATTTGTAACCTGAGGAATCCTGACTAAGATGTACTTGTTTAATCTTCCATTAGGCTGTAAGCTTCTTGAGATTAGCTACTGGGTCCACACTTATTCTTTGATCCTCAGGAGAAGGAAGGGGAATATTTTTTATTTAGACAGGGTCTCACTCTGTCACCCTGACTGTTGTGCAGTGGTGCAATCATGGCTCACTGCAGCTTCAAACTCCTGGACTAAAGTGATCCTCTTTTTGTTAGTCCATTTTCATGCTGCAGATAAAGACATACCCAAGACTGAGCAATTTACAAAAGAAAGAGGTGTAATTGGACTTACAGTTCCACGTGGCTGCGGAAGCCTCACAATCATGGCAGAAAGTAAGGAGTAGCAAGTCACATGATACTTGGATGGCGGCAGCCAGAAAATGAGAGATAACTTGCAGGGGAACTCCTTTTTTTAAAACCATCAGATCTCGTGAGACTTATTCAGTATCATGAAAACAGCACGGGAGAGACTTGCCCTCATTATTCAATTTTCTCCCACCGGGTCCCTCCCACAACATGTGGGAATTCAAGATGAGATTTGGGTGGGGACACAGCCAAACCATATCACTCTTGCCTCGGCCTCCCGAGTAGCTGGGACCACAGATGTACACCACCACACCTGAAATTTAAAGATTTTTTTTTGTACAGATGGGGTCTTGCCATGTTGCTCAGGCTGGTCCTGAACTCCTGGGCTCAAACAATCCTCCTGCCTTGACCTCCCAAAGTGCTGGGATTATAGGTGTGACCCACCATGGCTGGCCTGAAGGGAAACATTTTTCTGAAACAAAAATGCGAATAGATTCATTGCAAATTAAACAGAATATTTGATGTGAGGATTACCTTGTAAATTTGGGCCATATGGTCCTTTCATATAAAGTTCCTTTGAACTTTAAAATTCTGTTAATTAGAACTGAGGCATGAGTGCACTAAGATTTGGAAATTCCCATCATGAGGACTTGGGCTTTTTCATAGAAGACAATTGGCAGTGTGTCACTAAAGGCTTCTCCAGAGGCCATTCATGAACAGCTGGTAAATTAGAAAGAAAGAAAAAAAGAAGGCAGAGTGAGTAAAGCTGACGGCCTGGGAGAAGTTTCTAGTGTCAAGAAAGATGAGTGGATAAGAGGCCACTGGATGTTTGTGCTTCACTGTCTAAAGCATCATCCAATGTATCACTGATGCACACAGTCATACTAGCCAGTGTGACTGCCTAAGTAATGCAGGATTTATAGTTAGAATAAAAGAGTATTTTTGGATTCTAACTATAGTAACTGCAGGTGAGCTTGGGTAAGGTGCTCTGGCATCTTCCTCTCCCCTTTCATTATTGCTGCCAAACTGCTTTTTTCTGCTCTCTCTGCTGCCCAGACTCAGATCACACCCATGCACATGGTTCTGTCTTGGTTGGCCCAAAACGGCAGGCTTCAGTCTATATTTCCTTCCTGACTGGTCTCTCAGGGCTAATTGACTGAGTCTCCCTGTCTTTGAGAGACAAAGCTATTTTGATTACCAAGCCACTTTGAGAGAATTTGATTGGCTAGGCTTGAATTGAACTTTTACCCCTGATCCAATTATCTCACAAGAAAGATCATGTGATTTAAGGGCCACTCCTATGGAGAGGCAAGCTGTCAGTTAGCTAGAACCTGCCTAAGAAAATATTGCCACAATTTAAACTTGGAGCTACCTTTGCAGGTAATTTATATATATATATATATATATATATTTTTTTTTTTTTTTTTTTTTTTTTTGAGACAGAGTCTCAGTTTGTCACCCAGGCTGGAGTGCAGTGTCGCAATCTCGGCTTACTGCAACCTCTGCCTCCCGGGTTCAAGCAATTCTTTTCCTCAGCCTCCCAAGTAGCTGGGATTACAGGCGCCCGCTGCTGCACCTGGCTAATTTTTGTATTTTTAGTAGAGACAGAGTTTCACCATGTTGGCCAGGCCGGTCTTGAACTCCTGACCTTGTGGTCCACCTGCCTCAACCTCCCAAAGTGCTGGGATTACAGGCGTGAGCCACCACGCCCGGCCACAAGTAATTAATATTTCTGTAAGCATTATTAATTGTAGAAAACAACTTACTACCAGTTTGTTGAGGAAAAAAAAAAACCATCCTTTTATGCATTTCCAGCATGACCCAAACTGTAGTATTTTTGACTTACAGTGAGTTTTGCAGGAGACATCTGCTGTGCATGACAAGGCAGCCTTGAGCTTCATGTTTAAGTCCTGTCTTGTCTGTAATGGCTTACAAGCCTGTCAGGTGGCAGTATTTTATGCAAATGATAACTCCCTGTTACAAGGTTGTATATATTTTTAATTTAACACATGTGAATGTTCACGTAATTCTTGAAAGAAATGAGGTGAAAGAGCAACAGCAAGATAAATGACACCAGGATATATGCGCTGGAGAAGAATACGCTGCGGTTAGTTCAGTGACTTTCTACATAGTAACTTGATTGATAGAACAAAAGCAGAACAAATGCAGGACAAGACAAGAGAAAATAAAAATGGGGCTTAAGCCTATTAATTAGATTAAAGATCACAGTGTTGGAAGAAGCATCCTGTGAACACAATTGGCTGAGATATAAGAAAACATTAAAATGTTCCTTGTATCTACTAATAGAGAGACTGGTGAGATATAAAATGAGGCAGCTATGGGAAATTGAGTGAGAGTAATAGAGATGCTTGAAATCATGGTGTTTGTTTCTTTCCTTTGCCCCAAGTAAATGCACAGAATCTAATTTCTCCCTACCATTATTTGTCTCTTGTGGCTGGACTTGGGTTCATGTGTAGACAGAAGTGGTGTTGAAATCAGAAGGATGAATAATGACCAGAGTATAAAGGGTGGTTTATGTAAGCCTCATGGCCACCACAAAGCAAAAGCCTATAGTAGATACATAAAAAGATAAATGGTAAGGAATCAAAGGATACCACTATAGAAAATTATTTAATCACAAAGGAAGACAGAAAGAGAGGAAGACAGAAACAAAGGATCTACAAAAAACCAGAAAAATATAAACGAAAAGGCAATAGTAAGTCTTTTTTTTTTTTTTTTGAGACAGAATCTCACTCTGCCACCCAGGCTGGAGTGCAGTGGTGCAACCTCGGCTCACTGCAAGCTCCGCCCCCTGGGCTCACACCATTCTCCTGCCTCAGCCTCTCAAGTAGCTGGGAATACAGGTGCCCACCACTACGCCCAGCTAATTTTTTGTATATTTAGTAGAGACGGGGTTTCACCATGTTAGCCAGAATGGTCTCGATCTCCTGACCTCACGATCCGCCCGCCTCGGCCTCCCAAAGTGCTGGGATTACAGGCGTGATCCACCGCACCCAGCCAAGTCTTTAACAATAATTATCTCAAATATAAGTGAATTAAATTTTCCAATTACAAGATATAGAGTGGCTGAATGGATAGGTTAAAAGAAAGACACGACTATATGCTGCCTACAAGAGACTCACTTTCACTTCATTTTTAAGGTTACTCATAGATTGGAAGTGAAGGGATGGAAAAAGATAACTCCATTCAAATAGAAACCAAGAAAGATCAGGAGTGGCTATATTTATATTAGATAAAACAGACTTTAAGCAAAACACCATAAAAACAGACAAAGAAGGTCACTATATAGTAATAATGTGGCTAATTCATCAAGAAGATATAACAGTTGTGTGTGTGTGTATGTGTGTGTGTATGCACCTAATGGGAATATATATATATATGCACAAGAGCACCTAAATATATAAATAGATCAGAAGGGAGAGATAGACTACAACACAATAATAGTACAGGACTTTAATACCCTATTTTCAAGAATGGACAGATCATTCAGAGAGAAAAATCAATGAGGAAACATTGGACTTTAATTACATTTTAAGCCAAATGGACCTAACAGACATATGCAACATTACACCTAACAGCATCAGAATACACATTCTTCTCAAGTACACACAGAACACTTTTCAGGATAGATTATATGTTAGCCCGTGAAACAAGTCTTAACAAATTTTAAAAGATTGAAGTCATATCAAATATCTTTTCTGACAACAATAGTACGAAACTAGAAATTAATAATGGGAGGAATTTTGGAAAATTTACAAATATATGGAAATTAAACAACATACTTCTGAACAACCAATGGATTAAAATAGAAATTAAAAATGAAAATTAAATATATCTTGAGACAAACAGAAATGGAAACAGCATACCAAAACTTACGAGATACGGCAAAAGCAATTCTAACGAGGAAGGTTGTAGCAATGAAAACCTACATCAAAAAAGAAAGATCTCAGATAAACCAACCTAACGTTATACCTCAAGGAAGTAGGAAAAAAATAAGCCCAAAGTTAGTAGAAGAAAGAAAATAATAAAGATTAGAGCAGAAATAAATAAAAGAGACTAAACAAACAATAGAAAAGATCAATAAAACCAAGAGTTAATATTTTGAAAAGATAAACACAACAGACAAAACTTGAGCTAGGCAAAGAAAAAAAGAGAGAAGACTCAAATAAATAAAACCAGAAAAGAAAGAGGAGACATTACAACTGATACCACAGAAACACAAAGAATCATAAGGTACTACTATAAACAGTTACATGCCAACAAATTGAGTAACCTAAAATAAATGGATAAATTCCAAGAAACATGCCACTTACCACAACAGAATCATGAAGAAATAGAAAATCAGAGTGGACCAGTAACAAGAAAAGAGATTGAATTAGTGATAAAAAAGTCTCCTATCAAAGAAAATCCCAGGAACTGATGGTTTTACTGCTGAATTCTACAAAACATTTAAGGAAAAACTGATGCCAGTCCTTCTGAAACTCTTCCAAAAAATTGAAGAAGAGAGAGTACTTACAAACGCATTTTGTGAGGCTAGCATTACCCTGATGTCAAAGCCAGACAAGGACACTACAATAAAAAAAAACTACAGGCCAATATCTCTGATGTACATAGCTGCAAAAATCCTAAACAAAATATTAACAAGCTGAATTCAATAGCACATTAGAAGGATCATTCACCATGGTCAAGTGGGATTTATCCCTGAGATGTAAGTGAAACCACCTTTGCAAAAATTATAACTAAGGAAATTATGACAGTGAAAGAGATCAGAGCTAATAGACTCCATCTTGCTTCTAACCTTTAAGCTGTCCTTGTTCATTCCTGGACATAGGCAAAACTAACTTTGGGAAGGAATTCAGTTTATGGTTTGACTCTGAAACAAAATTGATAATAGCCCTTTCCTGAAAAGACTCCCTTCTTGCCTGGGAACCAGTCTGCCTTTGCAGCACTAACACATTAGCTACAAGATTAGAAATTATGGTTCAGGGGTCATGCAGCCTCTGGCTCCTAAGATCAGTGCTTGAGATATTTTGTAGACTCTGCACTGGATAGATCAGTGGACACCACCCAGACCAGTAATCTGGCCCAACCAGTTCTGCCATCCCACCCAGGAACAGAAGACAGCAAGAAAACCTCACTTTGACCCCCTTTGATTCCATCTCCCACCTGACCAATCAGCCCTTCTTACTTCCCAAGCCCCTACCCACCAAATTATCTTTAAAAACTCTGATCTCCAAATGCTCAGGGAGACTGATTTGAGTAATAAAAAAACTCCCATCTCCCGCACAGCCAGCTCTGCATTAATTACTCTTTCTTCATTGCAATTCCTCTGTCTTGATAAATCAGCTCTGTCTAGGCAGCGGGCAAGATGAACTCATTGGGCAGCTACATAAATATGGTTTAACATAGGGAAATCAATAAATATGATATACCACATTAACAGAATAAAGGACAAAAACCATACAGTCATCTGAATAGATGCATAAAATCACTTGACAAAATTTAACAACTTTTCATGATAAGAACTCTCAATAAATTAGGTATAAAAAGAATGTACTTCCACAAAATAAAGATAATATATGATAAGCCCACAGCTAATGATATGGACAGGAGGCAGGGAAATACTGGGCAGAGAAGTGAGGGTCCCTGGTGAAGCCCCACCCTCAAGCCTGGACCTGCAGACCAAGTGAGAAATGCATAACTGTTTTCCTGCCCGAATGTTGCCTTTTCCAAAACCACTCTGCCCCACCCTGCCCCACCCTTCCCAGCCCCACATCCTGTACCCATAAAATCCCCAGGCTCCACTGGGCAGTGGGCAGAGAGAAGCAGCTTGACTTCAGAGGGACAGCTTGACAGTGGGACTTCAGAGAAGAGTTCAGCTGGGGACGACTGAACTCCAGGAGGAGACTACCTTCCCACTACATCCCCTTTCCAGCTCCCATCCCACTGAGAGCCACTTCCACTGCTCAGTAACATTCTCCACATTCACCACCCTTCAATTTACCTGTGTGACCTGATTTTTGCTAGATGCTGGACAAGACAAGAACTTGCATACCAAGGGGGTGAGTGCAAAAGGCTGTCACACTGACCCTCCACTGAGCTGTTAAACATGTAAGCCATACAGTGTGCCAAAGCTGAAAAAGCACACTGTAACACACACCCTCTGGGGCTTTGAAGGTTGCAGGTATCCCCCAGATGCTGCTGCAGGGCCGCAAAGAGTTCTACTCCTCCTGGCACCCAGAAGCACTTGTCCTGGCCCTTGCACCTGCTCACCTGGATGCTCCCCCTCCCATGAGGGGTTGAGAACTGTGGGCTGAGTAAATGAGCCAACCCCTTTGCGAGTCCCACAAAAGGGTCAAGGGAACTATGTTGTTTCACTAACATCATCCTATTCACCATTGGAGCAAACCTTTTTCTCTAAGATCAGGAACAAGACAGGGATGCCCATTTTCACCACTTCTATTCAACATAGTACTGAAGTCCTAGCCAGAGCACTCAGGTATGAGAAAGAAACAAAAGGCATCCAAATAAGAAAGGAAGAAGTTAAATTGTTTCTGTTTGCAGATGACATGATCTTAAATATAGGACAATCCTGAAGACTCTACCAAAACTGTTAGATTAATTACATTCTGTAAACTTGCAGGACACAAAAATCAACATACAAAAATCAGTAGTGTTTCTCTACCAATGAAGTGACCAAAAAAAAAAAAATCAAGAAAATAATCTCATCTACAATAATTAACAAAAATACCCTCAAATCTCTAAGCCAAAAGGAGAAGTCAAGCTGGGAACTGCTTAGGGCAAACCTTCCTCTCATTCCATTGAAAGTCATCCCTCTGAGGCTCATCTGAGACAAATGCATATCTGATTGCTCCCTCTCCCCTACTGTTTATGTAAAAATGCAGATTCGCTGAGCCAGACTAAATTGTGTATTCAGTGGAAGGCTGGTCAAGGACTCAGAAGAATTCAACCTTTTGTCTCTTATCTTCTTCTAACCTAGAAGCCCCCACTTCAAGTTGTCCTGCCTTACTGGACCAAACCAATGCACATCTTACACATACTAATTGATGTCTCGTGTCTCCCTAAAATGTATAGAAGCAAACTATACCCCCAACCACCTTGGGCTTCCTGAGGCTGTGTCACAGATGTATCCTGAACCTTGGCCAAATAAACTTTCTAAATTGACTGAGATCTGTCTCAGACATTTTGTGTTCACAGAACTCACTGGCTTCTGAGAGAAAATGGAGAGCACAGGCCAACACATCACTCCATGCTCTGCTGAAAATAATTCCACCTGAGAGAAGTCCATGGAGAGTTCCCTGGTCTATCAAATCCAGCAAGAAAAAAAACAGGACCCAAATCAAATAGCCAGTGTATAATTAGGATGCTTTTGGTGCAAATAATAAATTCAAACTGAATTCTAAAAGAGTTTGGGATTCATTTGCATGTGGAACTGGAATCCAGTAGTAAGGCAGACCTCAGGGATGCTTTGATTTGGCTGCTCCAAAATCAAGAACCTGATTGCCTTCTGTGTATTCACTCCGGCTTCCCTGCTGTCAGCTGTGTTCTCTGGAGAGGATGGCTATAGAAGTTCTGGACTTCGCAGCTACTGAGCAAAGTATCTCCCAGATCAAAGAAGAGCATCTTCCTTGGAAGCCTCAGCAAATTCCCCTCCCTCCAAGGTGGGGCTGGACCTCATCCAAGATAGAGGCTTGTCAGTGGCTGGTGTGGGACCCTGCTGAGGGACAGTGGAAAGGATGGTTGACAGCTACACTCGGCACTGTCCTGGAAAAGCGTGACACAAGTTCCTTCTGAGTGGGGCTGTAGGAAGGTCTACCACAGTGAGGTGTCTAATGGCAGACTCTAATCCTGGTAGAGAGAGAGCCCATGCAGGCAAGGCTGGCCCCAGGCAGTGGTATTAGCCACAGTGGCTGTGCCAGGCTCAGCTGCCCGCAGTTCTGCAGAGTGACAAGCAGTCCCAGGAACAGGGGGAAAAGGCTCTAAAAGAAGCCATGATCTTTTTTGAAGAAAGGGAAGGGGATCTGGGAGCCAGTGCTGGTGTGAGGTCCTGTGGTGGGCTGTTTCTAGACCCCTGCATGGCCTTCCCAGTGCAGGGTTGATGGCCTGGTGGACCACGGGCCCTAACTTCACTGCCTACTTGTGGTCATTAGCACATCTTGGATGATGACACTCCCGAACCTGCCACCACCCTCCCCACGGTAAGGAGGAGACGATTCCAATTCTGGGGGCATCCCCCGGCTCTCCACAAAAGCCTATCCACCAGGACGGGGGCTCCACATTCCTTTCTATCACTCATCCCCATCAGAAAGGAACTTTTAGGGCACTCCTGATGATGGCCCATTTATTTGTCTATGAAGTATGACCACAAGCCATTGTACTCATAAGTTCTATACAGATACTGTAAAAGATGAGATAAAAGTAAGTATAAATAAAAATTGTAGTATTTTCCTTCATCACTCCTGTGGACAACAGTGGTTGTGCAAGTGCCAGACGAGCCCTGGGGACAATTGCCCAGAGCCACAAGACTTGGAGAGCCTTGAGATCCAGGACTGTGGTTTTTATTTATATAATTCATTTTAAATTATTTTTATTGTGATATAATGCACATAACATACAATTTACTATTTTAACCGTTTTTAAGTGTACTGCTAGTGGCATTAAGTACATTCACATTGTGGTGCAAACATCACCTCCATCCATCTCCAGGATTTTCCATCTTCCCAAATCGAGACTCTGTACCCATAAAACAGTAACTGTCCATTTCCCCTTAGACCCAGCTCTGGCAACCCCCATTCTGCTTTCTGTCTCTGTGCATTTGACTACACTAGATCCCTCATGTAAGTGGAATCATACGGTATTTGTCCTTTTGTGTCTGGCTTCTTTCACTAATGTCTTCATGGTTTATCCATGTTGCAGCATGGGTCAGAATTTCCTTTCTTGTGAAGGCTAAATCCTATTTCATTGTGTGTGTATGCCACATACGCATATATTTTGTTTATCCATTCAGCTATCAATAGACACTTTGGTCGCTTCCACCTTTTTTTTTTTTTTTTTTTTTTTTTTTTTTGAGACAGTCTTGCTCTGTCGCCCAGGCTGGAGTGCAGTGGTGTGATCTTGGCTCACTGCAAGCTCCACCTCCCGGGTTCACGCCATTCTCCTGCCTCAGCCTCCAGAGTAGCTGGGACTACAGGCGCCCACCACCACACCCAGCTAATTTTTGTATTTTTAGTAGAGACAGGGTTTCACCATGTTGGTCAGGATGATCTCGATCTCCTGACCTCGTGATCTGCCCGCCTCGGCCTCCCAAAGTCCTGGGATTACAGGCGTGAGCCACCACGCCCAGTGGAAATTTCTATTTGTAAATGACTGAGGAACTGCCATGCTGTCTTCCACAGCGGCTGCAGCATTTTACCTTCCCAGCAGCAGTGCACAATCCGGGGCCATGTGGAAGTTCAGCTTGCACATCTGGGGCCTAGAACTGTGCCTGGCATCTGGAGGGTGCTCAGAAAATGGCGGTGGAGTGAATACATGAGTGAGGAGTACTCGGGAGCTTCAGAAGGCTCTCTGAAGTTCCGGTGGGGTCAGGGAGTGAACCATGCTGGCCTCTGCAGGGATAATGCAGTGGCGTGGGCCCAACAGTTTGGACGCGGATCAGCAGGAAGCTCCACTGAGTGCTTCCCTGGGGGCGGGGTGGGGGGTGTTGGGCACTAGACCTGGAATAATTTGTTTTCCAGCTAAGGTGCCAAAAGGGCTGCCCCCTTCCTCAGAGGACCCCAGCTATAACTTGTATAAAACTATTTTAGCCCTGGCGAGTGGCTGACGGTATAGATTCTTCTTTACTTATTAAGCAAACGAACAAACAAAAAAATTCAGACTTTCTATTTTCATCCTTTTAAAAAGGGCACTTGGCTGGTCCAGCCCTGTATTCCTCATCTCATTTCAGTTCTCCTGCAGAAGGCTGTTTTCTTTGCTTAAAAATAGGGCCGTCATCCTATTTGAATGCTCACTGCAGGGTGAGGAGCACAGAGAAGCCCTCAGCCAATGCAGACGGAGGATCTGGGAAAGAGAAGCTGGGACGAGAAAATGCCCTGGAAACCCGAGCAGGGTGTGCTTTGTGATCAGCCGGGCAGGGACGAGAAATCAAATCTGAGGCCCAATTCCCGTGCATGATGGGCTGGCTGGGAACACAGTCCAGGCAGTGCAGCTGAGAATGAAGAGCTAGAACCCCGGGGGACACATGAGAGGGGAAGGAGCAGAGTCACACAGTAAGGTGGCCTCAGCCAGGCCCAGGGTGTCCAGGCACAGGAAGTGGGGAATGGGGATAGTGTGCACTCCACACAGACTAGGACAGACTTGTCTGGCAGGCCTCACGCTCCTGGTCTGTTTGCAATGCTGCTGCAGTTTCTTTGTCCGCCTCAGTAAGTGGAGGCCTCCCAGACAGCTGCCAGAGGGGCTGGGGAGGCTGGTCCACCAGGCGATCAAGGGCTGATCACTCACTTCGGCATCCTTCCTGGTTTCCGAGCGGGTGGTGAGATGAACTCAAATGCAGCACAGAAACAGAATCCTGCTCTGGAGTGACGTGCATTTTGCTGAATTATATCCAAAGGGTTAAATAGAAGCCTATTGAACCAATGCAGGGGGAATCCAGTAAGTGTGGAGCAGTGATCAATTCAACCAACATTGCCTGCATTCTGCCTTGTGGCAGGACGGGGCTCGGGCAAAGACTCAACATACCCGTGCTTGTGAGCTATAGAGAAGGAGCAGGAGAGGGGAGCTCACTGTGAAGGAGTCAGCTCCTTTTGCTCCTGCCTGCCCACTAGAGCAAATTCAGCTTTGCCCTGCACTTAGCTGCCTGCTTTCCCTGGGTCTGAACACAATAGGAGATAGCCTGATGCTCTTTTGGCATGTGTTTAAAAACCCCTCAGTGTTATTTCGGGCCTATATCCCCTTTGATGACAGCTTGGAAGCAGAGGGGAGCCTATGGCATTGCATTCTCTATGACCTGCCTCCATGCCTGAGTGCCTGAGTGTTGGCCCTACTGGGGAAAGAGCTGACCCTCAGGACAGAAAGCAGGCGGACCATGCAGAGTTCCTGGGCCACTGAGTCACACCAGGTCCTCTAAATGCTACTTAACTCAGTGTTCCATGATAAGGCTGATTCATGGACTCAGGCAGGATCCTTACACACAGGAACTGTTATTTATTCGGAAATGTGGATGGATTCATTTTTGTGAAACCACACTTAACAAATGTTTATTGAGATTCTGTTATGAGCAAGACATGGAGGCAGCCACTTAGGAGGACCTGTGCAGATCCTGTTAGTCGTTCCAAGAAAAGAGGAGGGCACCACCAAAGCCCCTAGGGAACTCGAATTCAAGTCAGGGGTGGGACAGGCCACTCGATAGGGGTGAGGTGGTGGGAGACATCATGGGTGAGTTGAAATTGGGCTCAGCCTGTCTTCCCCTGACAGCAGAGCCTGAGAAAACCCTTGCAGCTGTAGTTGACTGGGAAGTGTATCCAGGAAGAGGAGTGAGTGAGGAACCAGGAGCATGAAGCTGGGAAACTGGAAAGACCAAAGCGAGGAGTGCTGAACCCCCAGGGTGACCAGTCCTCCCTCCAAGGGCCCCTCAGATGAGCCGTAGGAAGAGCATCTCAGGTGTGTCCTCTGGGGATCCATCACACCCCATCCCCCAGTGGCCAAGGTGGCCCTGCTGGTGGCGCTACACAAAGCTGGCCAAAGCCTGCACAGAGCGAGCCAGAGATGGGGAGGAGGAGATTGGATGGGGCCACAAGAGAAGTCCCATTCTGTATTGAAGGGCTAACCCAAACCCACTCATTTCCAAATATTGCTAAGGACATCTAATCCCTGCAGGCCCTTCTTTTAGGGCCCATACCCCCTCTGCTTCAGTACCCATATTCTTAATACCCTGGTAGAACGCTGTTGTTCATTTATGTTTTAGGTGGTCAAATGTGGGAAGGAAAGGAGAGATAGAGGGAGGGAGCAAGAGAAGGAGGGAGGCAGGAGCAAATATGGAACGCCACAACCATCATACATGAGACCATGTCCTGCTCTCTGAAAGTTTTCATCCTGGGGTAACGGAGAGACCAGAGAAAACCAGAGTCAATCCATACGTCAGAGTAAGAAGTAACATGAAACCAGACCGAGCAGTGTAGGGGACTCACAGGGGGAGTTTGGCCAGGAAAGGTCTTTGGGAAGATACATCTGAGTTGGGAGCTGAGTGAAGGAGAGAGCGAAGCAGAGGTTCAGGGAAGGGAGACCAGGTAGGAGTGTGATTGGCAAGACCCAAGGGCAAGTTCAACACTCAATGTTCCTGGAATTATCTGGGTAAGTCCCTGCCCTCCAACTCTTCTGGAATGTTCCATGAGGGCAGCATCATGCTGTCTCCTTCCTGGTCATAGTCCTATCTTATCCTGGTGCCTAGAATTTGGTAGTGCTTATCGAATGGGTGAACATGTGAACTTGCTCATCCTTGTGCCAGGCACAGTTCCTTGAATAGGTGTCCTGCTCTCCTGGGCATACCAAACCCAAAATGTGTGCATTTGCTGGTTACATGCTAATGAGCTGGCTCTGTCTTTGAGGCTTTCTTTCCTGTTTTATTTGGGACTTTATAGGGTTGTGGATCTTAGAGGTCATGGGGAGGGGTCAAGGGGCTGATGGAAGAGGTTCTGCCCTTCAGTCTGAGCCCTGGCTCTAGATTGACCAGCAGGCACATCAGAGGAACCTCACCTCCTCATCTGCAAAATGAGGATAATACTTGCATCTTCACACTAAACAAGGAAATACACATGAAAGATCTAAGAAAAGGGTGGAAAGTGAAGGAGAGGTGAGATGTGGCTATCAGAAATCCTGGGAGCCAACCAGTGCTTCTTAAACCCACCTGCTCCACCCACTCATCTGGAAATTCTGATTCAGGGCCAGTGGGCCCTGGGAGTACAGCTTTTCAGAAGCATCTGGTGATTCTGTTGCATAGGTAGGTTTGGTAAACCTTGGTAAACCAGGTTTGACTACTCTGCTGAGGTCAAAGCTGATGGTCACTGTAGAGCTGACTCACCACCTCACCAGCTGGTCTCATTTCAGGGAGGGACTAATTATTTCTGTCAAGAGCTAAATAGTAAATATTTCAGGCTTTGGAGGCCATACAGCCTGTGTTGCGACTGTTCCGCTCTGCCATCCTATGAAAGTGAAGGTACCATTGACATGTACACAAATGGGCATGGTCATGTGCCAATAAAACTTTATTGACAAAAAATGGTCAGTGGGCCACATTTGATCTGCAGGCCATGATTTGCAGGCCCCTGGTCTCATTCACTGCTAGACAGCTGGGATTGGTAGAAAGTTCTTACTTATATTCATACGAAATGTTCCAAAAGGTAAATTATACTGGGCCTATTTCATTTTCAGAAAACACATGGATTATTAGATATCTTTATGTATAGATGTGCTTGTATGTATGTGTCTGTGTATGTGTGTATATATATACATATATACACATAAATATAAATATAAATATACGTATGTATGTATATATATTTTTAACATATATTTACTTTTATTTCCCTTTATCTCCCTTCTCACCTTCTATAACAGGGACTGTTAAGGACATAATTACCTATGAGGAAGTGGTTTTATAATAATGCTTGGGAAATCAGGGTTCTGCTGACACCTGTTATTGGTCTTGGTGTGTAGGGATGATCCAATTAGCCACGTGTCCCATCCCCCCACCCCCGCCACTAATGCTGAAGATAATCTCAGGTTTATCACCTTGGTATTAAGTAAGTGGGTCCTCTGGGGCTCAAGGAATGCCCTGCTCTGACCAAGACAGGACTGCCTGGCATGGGCCATGCAGGGTCAGGTGGACAGGTGGGGCTATGCAGGCCATTTTCTTTCATTCAGCCCCAGGGGAGGAACCAGAGTGGCCAGGCCTCTGGGGCTTCCTCATGCAGGTGCCCACCTCACCATACTGTGGGTGAGGGTCTGGTTGCTACTCAAGCAGTTTGTCCCCACTTACTGTCCCCATGGGAGGGAGGGACCAGGTTTTGGTGAGTCCAGGAGGCTGGTGGTGGCTGTATTATCTGCTGCTGTTAGGCCTGCTGTTTCCCTTGGGGCTTGGGTATTTTGCTGATAAATACTATATTTCAAAAATTTGCTCAGCACAACTCATTGAAAAATTAATTCATCCAAGCAAAAAATACCTGGCTGAGAGTGACAGTGAATATGTTCGTGCCAAGTAAAGTAGAAAAAGTGGCATGTCCACCCTCAGGCTACAGCAAGAGGCCCCTGTCCTTTGCTCCCACAGCTTGACCTGCAGAAAGGAGCTGCCCTTTGTGCATTGACGGGAGAACACATGGCCGTCTTTCAGGGAGGGCAGGGGCAGGTGCCAGGCACTCTAGGTTTTCCTTTAGGGTAAAATTGCCACAGGACACAAACAGCAAATTGCATTTGACGTTTTCTTAAAACTTCACCCATATCTTTGCCTTCACCTCCTGCTTGCAAACATATATGCTTTAAAAGCAAACATCATTTCTAACAAAGTCATTGATTTTCTTTATTCAAAATCAGTTGAGACATGGGAAGGAAACTATGACAATACCATTTGTTATTTTCAAATAGCTTACTCTTCCCAATGAGTTTAAAGGAGGGATATGTGATTTATCCCTAACTGCGGTTGCTTTGGTTTTCAGTGGTGTTAGAAATGGCTTTGAATATTTAATTGAAGTAGTTGGCACAGAGCTGAACACCCTGTGGGTGCTAAATAAATGATGATTGATGGCTTGCAAAAGCGGGAAGAAAATGAATATTGTGGATAAATGTGACAATATTGGTTGTGCTTCTGTTCCAGTTTTCTCTGTGTTTTGCCACTTCCCCTCGGAAAGTTGGGAGGGAATATGAAATTATCACCTGGTCCAAACATTGTATAAAGAAGAAGAAAAAAGTTTTCCATTTACAGAAAAGAAAAATGAATGCATATAGGATAATTGACACCTTTTATTTTCATTCGCCCATTGAACAACTATTTATAGAGCATCTGTAACTTGATCACTGAAAGGATTACTCTTCTTCCATCACATCAATGTGTAGCTGAAAATTTTATTTATTTATTTTTTATTTTTTATTTATTTATTTTTTTATTATTATACTTTAAGTTTTAGGGTACATGTGCACATTGTGCAGGTTAGTTACATATGTATACATGTGCCATGCTGGCGTGCTGCACCCACTAACTCGTCATCTAGCATTAGGTATATCTCCCAGTGCTATCCCTCCCCCCTCCCCCCACCCCACAACAGTCCCCAGAGTGTGATGTTCCCCTTCCTGTGTCCATGTGATCTCATTGTTCAATTCCCACCTATGAGTGAGAATATGTGGTGTTTGGTTTTTTGTTCTTGCGATAGTTTACTGAGAATGATGATTTCCAATTTCATCCATGTCCCTACAAAGGACATGAACTCATCATTTTTTATGGCTGCATAGTATTCCATGGTGTATATGTGCCACATTTTCTTAATCCAGTCTATCATTGTTGGACATTTGGGTTGGTTCCAAGTCTTTGCTATTGTGAATAATGCCGCAATAAACATACATGTGCATGTGTCTTTATAGCAGCATGATTTATAGTCCTTTGGGTATATATCCAGTAATGGGATGGCTGGGTCAAATGGTATTTCTAGTTCTAGATCCCTGAGGAATCGCCACACTGACTTCCACAATGGTTGAACTAGTTTACAGTCCCACCAACAGTGTAAAAGTGTTCCTATTTCTCCACATCCTCTCCAGCACCTGTTGTTTCCTAACTTTTTAATGATTGCCATTCTAACTGGTGTGAGATGGTATCTCATCGTGGTTTTGATTTGCATTTCTCTGATGGCCAGTGATGGTGAGCATTTTTTCATGTATTTTTTGGCTGCATAAATATCTTCTTTTGAGAAGTGTCTGTTCATGTCCTTTGCCCACTTTTTGATGGGGTTGTTTGTTTTTTTCTTGTAAATTAGTTTGAGTTCATTGTAGATTCTGGATATTAGCCCTTTGTCAGATGAGTAGGTTGTGAAAATTTTCTCCCATTTTGTAGGTTGCCTGTTCACTCTGATGGTAGTTTCTTTTGCTGTGCAGAAGCTCTTTAGTTTAATTAGATCCCATTTGTCAATTTTGGCTTTTGTTGCCATTGCTTTTGGTGTTTTAGACATGAAGTCCTTGCCCATGCCTATGTCCTGAATGGTAATGCCTAGGTTTTCTTGTAGGGTTTTTATGGTTTTAGGTCTAACGTTTAAGTCTTTAATCCATCATGAATTGCTTTTTGTATAAGGTGTAAGGAAGGGATCCAGTTTCAGCTTTGTACATATGGCTAGCCAGTTTTCCCAGCACCATTTATTAAATAGGGAATCCTTTCCCCATTGTTTGTTTTTCTCAGGTTTGTCAAAGATCAGATAGTTGTAGATATGCGGCGTTATTTCTGAGGGCTCTGTTCTGTTCCATTGATCTATATCTCTGTTTTGGTACCAGTACCATGCTGTTTTGGTTACTGTAGCCTTGTAGTATAGTTTGAAGTCAGGTAGTGTGATGCCTCCAGCTTTGTTCTTTTGGCTTAGGATTGACTTAGCTATGTGGGCTCTTTTCTGGTTCCATATGAACTTTAAAGTAGTTTTTTCCAATTCTGTGAAGAAAGGCATTGGTAGCTTGATGGGGATGGCATTGAATCTGTAAATTACCTTGGGCAGTATGGCCATTTTCACGATATTGATTCTTCCTACCCATGAGCATGGAATGTTCTTCCATTTGTTTGTATCCTCTTTTATTTCCTTGAGCAGTGGTTTGTAGTTCTCCTTGAAGAGGTCCTTCACATCCCTTGTAAGTTGGATTCCTAGGTATTTTATTCTCTTTGAAGCAATTGTGAATGGGAGTTCACTCATGATTTGGCTCTCTGTCTGTTGTTGGTGTATAGGAATGCTTGTGATTTTTGCACATTGATTTTGTATCCTGAGACTTTGCTGAAGTTGCTTATCAGCTTAAGGAGATTTTGGGCTGAGACAATGGGGTTTTCTAGATATACAATCATGTCATCTGCAAAGAGGGACAATTTGACTTCCTCTTTTCCTAATTGAATACCCTTTATTTCCTTCTCCTGCCTAATTGCCCTGGCCAGAACTTCCAACACTATGTTGAATAGGAGTGGTGAGAGACGGCATCCCTGTCTTGTGCCAGTTTTCAAAGGGAATGCTTCCAGTTTTTGCCCACTCAGTATGATATTGGCTGTGGGTTTGTCATAGATAGCTCTTATTATTTGAAATATGTCCCATCAATACCTAATTTATTGAGAATTTTTAGCATGAAGGGTTTTTGAATTTTGTCAAAGGCCGTTTCTGCATCTATTGAGATAATCATGTGGTTTTCGTCTTTGGCTCTGTTTATATGCTGGATTACATTTATTGATTTGCGTATATTGAACCAGCCTTGCATCCCAGGGATGAAGCCCATTTGATCATGGTGGATAAGCTTTTTGATGTGCTGCTGGATTCGTTTTGCCAGTATTTTATTGAGGATTTTTGCATCAATGTTCATCAAGGATATTGGTCTAAAATTCTCTTTTTTGGTTGTGTCTCTCCCTGGCTTTGGTATCAGAATGATGCTGGCCTCATAAAATGAGTTAGGGAGGATTCCCTCTTTTTCTATTGATTGGAATAGTTTCAGAAGGAATGGTACCAGTTCCTCCTGGTACCTCTGGTAGAATTCGGCTGTGAATCCATCTGGTCCTGGGACTCTTTTTGGTTGGTAAGCTATTGATTATTGCCACAATTTCAGATCCTGTTATTGGTCTATTCAGAGATTCAACTTCTTCCTGGTTTAGTCTTGGGAGGGTGTATGTGTCCAGGAATTTATCCATTTCTTCTAGATTTTCTAGTTTATTTGCGTAGAGGTGTTTGTAATATTCTCTGATGGTAGTTTGTATTTCTGTGGGATCGGTGATGATATCCCCTTTATCATTTTTTATTGCGTCTATTTGATTCTTCTCTCTTTTTTTCTTTATTAGTCTTGCTAGTAGTCTATCAATTTTGTTGATCCTTTCAAAAAACCAGCTTCTGGATTCATTAATTTTTTGAAGGGTTTTTTGTGTCTCTATTTCCTTCAGTTCTGCTCTGATTTTAGTTATTTCTTGCCTTCTGCTAGCTTTTGAATGTGTTTGCTCTTGCTTTTCTAGTTCTTTTAATTGTGATGTTAGGGTGTCAATTTTAGATCTTTCCTGCTTTCTCTTGTGGGCATTTAGTGCTATAAATTTCCCTCTACACACTGCTTTGAATGCATCCCAGAGATTCTGGTATGTTGTGTCTTTGTTCTCGTTGGTTTCAAAGAACATCTTTATTTCTGCCTTCATTTCGTTATGTACCCAGTAGTCATTCAGGAGCAGGTTGTTCAGTTTCCATGTAGTTGAGTGGTTTTGAGTGAGATTCTTAATCCTGAGTTCTAGTTTGATTGCACTGTGGTCTGAGAGATAGTTTGTTGTAATTTCTGTTCTTTTACATTTGCTGAGGAGAGCTTTACTTCCAAGTATGTGGTCAATTTTGGAATAGGTGTGGTGTGGTGCTGAAAAAAATGTATATTCTGTTGATTTGGGGTGGAGAGTTCTGTAGATGTCTATTAGGTCCACTTGGTGCAGAGCTGAGTTCAATTCCTGGGTATCCTTGTTGACTTTCTGTCTCGATCTGTCTAATGTTGACAGTGGGGTGTTAAAGTCTCCCATTATTAATGTGTGGGAGTCTAAGTCTCTTTGTAGGTCACTCAGGACTTGCTTTATGAATCTGGGTGCTCCTGTATTGGGTGCATATATATTTAGGATAGTTAGCTCTTCTTGTTGAATTGATCCCTTTACCATTATGTAATGGCCTTCTTTGTCTCTTTTGATCTTTGTTGGTTTAAAGTCTGTTTTATCAGAGACTAGGATTGCAACCCCTGCCTTTTTTTGTTTTCCATTGGCTTGGTAGATCTTCCTCCATCCTTTTATTTTGAGCCTATGTGTGTCTCTGCCCGTGAGATGGGTTTCCTGAATACAGCACACTGATGGGTCTTGACTCTTTATGCAGTTTGCCAGTCTGTGTCTTTTAATTGGAGCATTTAGTCCCTTTACATTTAAAGTTAATAGTGTTATGTGTGAATTTGATCCTGTCATTATGATGTTAGCTGGTTATTTTGCTCGTTAGTCAATGCAGTTTCTTCCTAGTCTCGATGGTCGTTACGTTTTGGCATGATTTTGCAGCGGCTGGTACCGGTTGTTCCTTTCCATGTTTAGCGCTTCCTTCAGGAGCTCTTTTAGGGCAGGCCTGGTGGTGACAAAATCTCTCAGCATTTGCTTGTCTGTAAAGTATTTTATTTCTCCTTCACTTATGAAGCTTAGTTTGGCTGGATATGAAACTCTGGGTTGAAAATTCTTTTCTTTAAGAATGTTGAATATTGGCCCCCACTCTCTTCTGGCTTGTAGGGTTTCTGCCCAGAGATCCGCTATTAGTCTGATGGGCTTCCCTTTGAGGGTAACCCGACCTTTCTCTCTGGCTGCCCTTAACATTTTTTCCTTCATTTCAACTTTGGTGAATCTGACAATTATGTGTCTTGGAGTTGCTCTTCTCGAGGAGTATCTTTGTGGCGTTCTCTGTATTTCCTGAATCTGAACGTTGGCCTGCCTTGCTAGATTGGGGAAATTCTCCTGGATAATATCCTGCAGAGTGTTTTCCAACTTGGTTCTATTCTCTCCATCACTTTCAGGTACACCAATCAGATGTAGATTTGGTCTTTTCACATTGTCCCATATTTCTTGGAGGCTTTGCTCGTTTCTTTTTATTCTTTTTTCTCTAAACTTTCCTTCTCGCTTCATTTCATTCATTTCATCTTCCATTGCTGATACCCTTTCTTCCAGTTGATCGCATTGGCTCCTGAGGCTTCTGCAATCTTCACATAATTCTCGAGCCTTGGTTTTCAGCTCCATCAGCTCCTTTAAGCACTTCTCTGTATTGGTTATTCTAGTTATACATTCTTCTAAATTTTTTTCAAAGTTTTCAACTTCTTTGCCTTTGGTTTGAATGTCCTCCCGTAGCTCAGAGTAATTTGATCGTCTGAAGCCTTCTTCTCTCAGCTCGTCAAAGTCATTCTCCATCCAGCTTTGTTCCGTTGCTGGTGAGGAGCTGCATTCCTTTGGAGGAGGAGAGGCGCTCTGATTTTTAGAGTTTCCAGTTTTTCTGTTCTGTTTTTTCCCCATCTTTGTGGTTTTATCTACTTTTGGTCTTTGATGATGGTGATGTACAGATGGTTTTTTGGTGTGGATGTCCTTTCTGTTTGTTAGTTTTCCTTCTAACAGACAGGACCCTCAGCTGTTGGAGTACCCTGCAGTGTGAGGTGTCAGTGTGCCCCTGCTGGGGGGTGCCTCCCAGTTAGGCTGCTCGGGGGTCAGGGGTCAGGGACCCACGTGAGGAGGCAGTCTGCCCGTTCTCAGATCTCCAGCTGCGTACTGGGAGAACCACTGCTCTCTTCAAAGCTGTCAGACCGGGACATTTAAGTCTGCAGAGGTTACTGCTGTCTTCTTGTTTGTCTGTGCCCTGCCCCCAGAGGTGGAGCCTACAGAGGCAGGCAGGCCTCCTTGAGCTGTGGTGGGCTCCACCCAGTTCGAACTTCCTCGCTGCTTTGTTTACCTAAGCAAGCCTAGGCAATGGTGGGCGCCCCTGCCTTGCAGTTTGATCTCAGACTGCTGTGCTAGCAATCAGCGAGACTCCGTGGGGTAGGACCCTCTGAGCCAGGTGCGGGATATAATCTCGTGGTGCTCCGTTTTTTAAGCCCGTTGGAAAAGCGCAGTATTCGGGTGGGAGTGACCTGATTCTCCAGGTGCTGTCCGTCACCCCTTTCTTTGATTAGGAAAGGGAACTCCCTGACCCCTTGCGCTTCCTGAGTGAGGCAATGCCTCGCCCTGCTTCAGCTCGGGCATGGTGCGCGCACCCACTTACCTGCACCCACTGTCTGGCACTCCCTAGTGAGATGAACCCGGTACCTCAGATGGAAATGCAGAAATCACCCGTCTTCTGCGTCGCTCAGGCTGGGAGCTGTAGACCGGAGCTGTTCCTATTCGGCCATCTTGGCTCCTCCCCCTCGTAGCTGAAAAATTTAACAAGGGAATGGAATTCATCAAGCAAACTTGCATCCTCTTCCTAATTTGATTAAAAGGTCAAAGATTCCTTAGTTGGCCATATTATTCTCAGTTCTTTTGTTTTATTCTAGCAACCCGGCGGGTGGGGACTAACAAGAGGAAAAATACATTGCATCGGTCCTATGTTACACAGCCCTGTAAATTTCACACATCTGTTTTAGAAGGATGATTGCATGGATGCGCTTGCAGCAAGCATTGTGCCTTGGAGAAAGGAGAAAAACTTCAGCACCCACCTGATGAGTAAAGCGCCCATAAATAAAAATGTCATTTCTCCCGTAAGGGAAACTAAATTATGAATTCAGAAATTCATAGTCATCTGTTTTTATTGTTGCCTAATGCTTTTTAGATCTGCACAGGCCCTTCAGAAAATCAACTCCGAAATTCTGCATAATTAGGATATCTTTCATAGTCCTAAATGCTAATCCCATTGGAGAACAGATTAAGAATTCACAGGCATGATTTTTGGCATCAGGTACCTGCAGTTTCTTTTCTTTTTGAATAATTCATTATTTAAATACTTCAGTGCATATTGTATACAGCCCTGCATATTGTCTCAGGGGCAAGGGAGAGGTAAGAGATTAATATCCCATATAGTTCAACACTAAACACATTTGAGGCTCATTTATGTTGATTTGATATCATTGGATTGCAATTGCTAACAATGTTAACAGTTTTAGTCACCCCAGGGACCAATTTAGGGAAATTAAATAGGATATTCTGCAGGACATTAATAAGGTCAGAGATCTAACTTTTATAGTAGTTGACTGAGTTATTTCCTTTAAGAAAAAAACCACAAAAGATTCAGGAAATCATTTTCCATAAACAGTGCTGATTATTTGCAGTAAATATGGCTTCAGTTAGTGCTTTTCCATTCTTGGCTGTGAATGCTTTATGACAAAATGTATGAACAGTATGTAGAAAGTGATGTCCTATGGCTGACTTTTGTCCATGCAATGCTAACTGTGGGGGGTTCAGCAGTAAAGCAGCCATCAGTCAAGACTTGATGCCATACCCCTTCTCCCATGAAGGTTTCTTAGTGTCCTCACCACGCAGATGCTCTCATAGGAAACATTCATTGTGCTTTGAGTAACTGCTTGTCAAGGCATCCGTCCCATTGCTGAACAGTGAACTCCCTTTCATCTCTGTATCATCAGTGCCTTGCACAGTAACTGGCTCAGAAGCACTTCACCTCTGCTTCTTTGATAAATGAATGAATTTTCAAAGATTAACATAAACTCTGTTGGTTGCAAATAACAGGACCTAAGTCAAACAGCTTAAGCCTAAAGGGGAGAGTATTGTAAAGATACTATAGTCACATTGATTCCACATGCAGAATGTGGGCCGGGTAGAACCCAGGGTTCAAGAACTATCCACATGCTCCCATTTCTGGCTTCTGCCTCTCTCTGTGACAGCTCCTTGCCAGAAGTGCTTGCAGTGTTCCAGCCCACAGCCTCAGCTACCCACTCTTGCTCAGTTCCAGGATCAAGATTCTCCAGAACAGACTTTTTCTGATTGGCCTTATGTGAGCCAGGTGTTTCTCCAAGAGTCTTAGTCAGCTCAGGCTGCCACGACAAAATACCATAGACTGGGAGGCTTAAAAAGCAGACATGTATTCTTTCGCAGTTTTTCGAGCTGGAAATCTGAGATCAGGGTGTCAGCTGGACTAGGTCCCCATGAGAGCTCTCCTTCTGGCTTGCAATCAGCCACCCTCTCACTGTGTCCCCATATGTCCTCTCCTCTATGCTCATGAGGAGGGGGTGGGGGAGAGAAAGAGATCTCTGTTCCTCTTCTCATGAGGCCACTAGTCTTATCATGAGGGTCTACCCTCATGACCTAATTTAACCCTCATTACTTTCCAAAGGCCCCATGATCAAGCACCATCACATTAGGAGTTAGGGCTTCTTCATATGAATTGGAGGATACCCAAATATTTAGATCAAAACAAAAGGCTCTGATTGGCCCTATTTGGGCCAGGTGCCCACCCCTGGGCCAGTCAATGGTCAGTCAGTGAGGTCAGAGGCATGGCCAGCTTCTATGGGCACCATATGGGAGGCTTCGGGATGGATGTGGAGGAAGAGTTCCCAGAAGAGCGGGACTCTTGGCAAACCAAAAAGCGTTCAGTGTCCTTGGCAATATGTGTGAATGTGGTGGCATGGTGGTGCCTAATACCACCATTCTTTTGTGACTGTAAATGTGACTGACTTTCTGTCCTTTGGATGAGAACTAGCTTAGTTTGTGCTTGTGTCTGGCACTTCTTCCTTCAGTTGTTTTTGCTAGCATCTAGCATTAAAAATCTATACTTGTATAGTTTTAAAAATATATACTTTATAAAACAGTTTCACACACAACAACCACCTAACGCAATGTTCACAGCTGTCTGCTCCGGGGATGCTAACTCTATTTCCCATTTGAGGAGATCAAGGCTGGCCACCTGCCCCAGTTCTGGGCAGCATTACATGGCAGAGGAAGTCTTGGAGATAGGGTCTTAGGATGGCCAGTTGAGTTCCAGCTTCTCCTTAACAATCTTCCTTCTTTGGTATTAAAATGATGTGTCTGGCAATTTAGAGTCTTTGCCCTTTGGGAGTGATGACAGCTGGTGTCTGTCAGGCAGGTGCCCGGTGCCAGGCTCTGTCCCAAGCCCTTTACTAGTGCCAGCTGCTTCAGTCTCCACAGCAGCCCATCAAAGAAGGCACTATTGTTATCCTCTTAAATGGATGGGGAAACTGAAGCAAGGGTAGTGTGTAGTTCGCCCAAGGCTGCAAGGCAAGCACTGTGAACATCAGCAGGAACCACGTTTTCTTACTTGGAGGCTGTGCTTCAAGAGGGCACAGTGGCTGGACTGTGGAGGTTGTGGCCCTGCTGGAGGGTGAGGAGCAACAGTTCTGAGGGCAGATGGAAGGACATCAGCTCATTCTTCTGCACCCAGCCCCACCTCAGTGACCCAGACAGGAAGGCCTTTCCCAGGGAGGGTGGAACTGCTCTCTGCTGAGCTGTGTCTGCACATGGTCAAAATTGACACACTCTAGAACCCAGGGGTGTCAGAGAAGCTAGGGGGCTTGTGGTTAAAGGGAACTTAAGCCAGAAGGGAGGAGTCTTGTCCACAATCACCTGCTAGTTTGTCTTAGGGCCTAGGTGCAAACCCATCTCCAATTGTCCATCCAGTGCTCTTTCCAGCCCTTGGACCTCTCAGTCAAGGTTCTCTCCCTCTGGGCCTCAATTTTCTCCTCCATATAATGAGGAATTCAATCTGACAATCCCAAGTCTTCTGTCCATCCCTATTGACCAAGAATCCCAGAGACCTGCCTAAGGCCACATTACTGCTTCCTCTTGTTGGCCATACTGGCCAGTTAAGATCCAGCCACCAGCTGTGGTCAAGGGAGAGAGAAAACTCACCCATAGCCTTAATGATCTTTGGAATCTCCATAATCACCACAGGCTGGCTGTGCTTGTGACAAGTGCTCACACTAGCAGTCAGCCAACCATCAGCAAACCTCTCCATGCTGGTCTCGGAGTAGCTGATGACCAGTCCTGGTCTCGGGGTAGCTGATGACCAGTCCTGGTCTCGGGGTAGCTGATGACCAGTCCTGGTCTCGGGGTAGCTGATGACCAGTCCTGTTCTCGGGGTAGCTGATGACCAGTCCTGGTCTCGGGGTAGCTGATGACCAGTCCTGGTCTCGGGGTAGCTGATGACCAGTCCTGGTCTCGGGGTAGCTGATGACCAGTCCTGGTCTCGGGGTAGCTGATGACCAGTCCTGGTCTCGGGGTAGCTGATGACCAGTCCTGGTCTCGGGGTAGCTGATGACCAGTCCTGGTCTCGGGGTAGCTGATGACCAGTCCTGGTCTCGGGGTAGCTGATGACCAGTCCTGGTCTCGGGGTAGCTGATGACCAGTCCTGGTCTCGGGGTAGCTGATGACCAGTCCTGGTCTCGGGGTAGCTGATGACCAGTCCTGGTCTCGGGGTAGCTGATGACCAGTCCTGCTGGCCTCAGCATTGTCCAAGGTCCTTTAATGTGTGTAGTGGTGGAAGAAAAGACTTTATTATTTGTTATCTGCCTTGCGGGGTCTCCTGGACAGGAGCAGATAGACACAAATGGGAGCTGGTTTAAATGGCGTTTTTGGGGACACAGGGAATGACCTTCCCTGTGCCCAAACATGAAGCAGATCCCCTCTTTCCTTGGTGTCCCTGTTCAATTTTCATGTTTTTATTGCTCAAATGTCTCCCATGGCTTTCTTTATCACATTGCTTCCAAATCCAAGATGGCGCTCCATGGTGTAGCTCCCTGGGAGTTTCCAGCATGACTGTCAGGTTTGAGTCAGCCATGGATGCCATCAGTTGGGTGTTGACACTCTCTTTGACATCCTTGGGAGAGCCCCAGGCAGACCCGGGCTGTGTTCTGTTTAAGGAACCATGAACTCCACTTCACTGTGTGATCTTGAGCCAGCATTTAGTCTCTGTAGGTCTTCTACTTTAACACTCAAATGAGAATGTTGGCCTAAATGATCTCTAAAGTCTTTTCTGTCTCCTCCTTCATTGTAGTTCCCATCTTCAATACTTCCATTGCTCCGAAGGTGGAAGTTCAGCATTTTAGCCCCCAAGTCCTAGCCCTGCTGAGTGTGACATGCAAAGCTTCGACCCACAGCAGGAAGTCTCACAGTTCTGGGCTAGGACTGCAGCTCTGTTTTCAGGAAAGTTATCTGGAGGCTCTTCTTCCTTTAGCCTCTCCCATGGCTTTCAATGTGGGGCAGGTGAGTTAATTATTCAAGGGGGTGTCTCTGCCAAGAGAAAGTCACCTGTGGAGAAGAGTTCTGTGTCTGGACTTGGAGCACAGCCACGATGCTGTCATCTGCTTCCTCTTGGCACACACCCTTGATCCAAGGCTTGCCATTTTCACTTCTAAATTACTAGGTTAATAGAAATGGCATCAAAACATTAAATAAAGTGAGGCATATACCATGGATCTGCAATTCTAATTGACTTGAAATTTAGAATCTGATAATTATTAGCATTGTGTTAATCTCCGTTATCATATGTGTAGCGAACACTGTGCAAAATAATTTGGGTAGAGAACGCGCAACTGTACTTTCAAAATGATGCCTAACGTGACTCTATTCTGTGTTGTTGTTTCACTGTTTTGCTCACCAGATCCTAACAATAACCCTGTGAGTGGCAGATGGGGTATTTTCCTTCCAGTCTTCCTCCTGGTAAACTGAGACTCAGGGTGGTGAGGGAACTTCCCATGGTTGACCCAGGACCAGAGCCCCCTTCTAGGCGAGTGGACTCCACCCCCAGCCCCCACGTGATGCGCTGTTTTTCCGATGCCCTCTTGCAGCTGTTGCTGCTTCTGCGCTGGGAGTTCTCTTTTTCACTTGAATGTTTTCTTCTCCAGGGCTGAGGACGCTCTTTGTATTGGTAGGCAGCCTGCACTTGTTCCTTTCAGTCCTGGCAAGTAAAAGCAGGAATTCTAAAAAGCAACGATTATTCCTCCTAGTTCCTTTGTACAGAGCCCTGTAAATAATTTATTTGGATTTGAGGGGGTAGAGACTGACAAACATATTGAATCTCTCAGTAACTGGGTGAATTCTGTGTTCAAAACTTCAATGCAGTGGAAAGAGAAATACTTCTTTGAAATCAGAGAAGACTTTGAGTGACCCGAGAGCTCAGGCGTGAGGCTGGAAACAGACCACAACAAGAAGTTTTTTTTTTTTTTTTTTTTTTTTTGGCACGTAAAGGTCACCCCTGAGGTTCCCACATCCACATCCTTCACAAATGTAGCTGGGATATTGAGACAACTAGCTCTGGAGTTGGAAAACACTGGGACAGGTCCGAGCTGGGGCACTGCCCAAGTCCCTCCTGTTGCACTCAATACCTGGGTTAAACAAAGAAAATTGTGTTTGCCAGTCTCACTAGCTAAAGTCACAAGATACTGAGTCTCATGCAGCACTCTGGAATTCCTACAAAAACTCATCCGCAGGGGTATGCTGCCCGCTACACAGAAACGGCCGTGCATCGGACTTTCCAGATAAAAACATTTAGTACAGAGTTGAAAAACCATGTGATGGTCATGGATTTTGTGAAGAGTAACTGGTTTCCCTCCCAGAGAAGAGCCAAAGTTTGTATCATCCATATGTGTCAAGGCTTGAAGACGGCTGAGCAGACAGCCAGCAGATATGAGGTATGGCTGAGCCTGGGTGGGTGAGTGGGTACACGCTTGACTCAGAGAGAGATGGACGTGTTGCTCATCAGACAGTTCAGGTGTTTTATCTGGTCTAATAAATTAATCATTTGTGTTTGTAGACTTCCCTAAGGGATTTGGAAAAGCCTTCTTCATTTCTGAATTTATTTTAGTTTTTGAAATATGGGGGAGGGGGAAAGTATATCGGATGAAGTTAATTTACGATGACACATGTCTGCATTTACAAACTTTATTGGTGCTCCAAAGACTACTGAGTTGGGTAATTTGTATCCATGTTTAGAAACTACAGCATGTTTCTGTGAGTTAAATATTCTTAGCTCTGTATGTTTGCAATCACCTGTCTTTAAAAGCAAATTCCTACTTGTTTCCTGTTGCGTTTTGTAGGAGAATATGTATGACGTGCCTTCATCGAGTTAAAATAGAATGATTCAAGTTAGGCCAGTAAGAATGATCTTTTATTTTTGAGAGCAAGCTCTAATTTTCAAGCAGAGACAACTTTGTAAAAAAAAAAAAAAAGACAGAGAGTGAGAGAACTTTGGAGATTTAAAATGTCAAAGTGAGATAAACACATTACTCTGAAACATATTTGTATTCTGCAACTAGTATCAGCCACAAGCAGTTATCTTTTCAGAAAGTAAACACGCATGAAATCTGATCGGCTGTTTATTGTACATGGAATAAATTATGAACGACATTGTAATTGACTCCCATATAGCTCATTTACCCATCTCTTTTGATAGATGTAACATGCAAATTGCTAATGCCTTATGAAAAGGTAACCTTTCTGAATATTGATGCTGTTATTAGGAAAGCCTTCCCATGAATACTGGCAAATACGCCAGGTCTTTGTTCCCCAGGCTGGGCAGAAGGAAGCCAGCACAGTGTGGAAGGAACAGGTTTTTCAAGGTTCAAGGCTGGCTTCTTCCAGTTCCAGCCCTGGGAGTGTGAATTTCCATGTTCACAACAGAGATGTAAAGGCCACAGAAATAATGGTGCTAATTAAATTCAGTAATAGTTGTTCATTACTTCATTGCCCAATCAACTGGAGCAAAAGGTGTGCAATTAGAATATAATTGAAAGAAATCAGAGATGTCATTATTCACAAGTAATTAATCAGATGGGGACAGAATTTTATCATTGCATAATTTTCACTGAGGTTATTTTCCAGTCCTCCAGAGAGAGAAAAACTTGTTGAATTACATTATTATGCATTGTTCATAGCTTCATTTTAAACCCTATGTAGCAAATGGTAGATCTGGCATTCTCGTTTTCTTCGTATATAAAACTTCACTGATTCCTATAGCCACACTGATTAAAACAATATGAAAAAAGTACACCTTTTTAGGAGGTTACAAAAAACTTCAAATATATGACAGTCACAGCTACATTTTTTTCAGGGCCCAATACGCTGCTACTATTGACAGCCAACAACCGAGCCACTAATGTTAAAATGAATGCCAGATCCAAGCCCCCACCCACAATCAGTCTGATGGGCTGGATGGGCCTCACTGTGTCCATGACTCCCCAAGTTGTCCAGGAAGGGCCTGCCTCCTCAGCTCTAGGGCGGGCCAAGTTTGAAAACCATCAGATGGGATTTGCACCCCCTGTCCCTCTGAACTTCAAGGTCTGCTCTTGACTTTTGGTAGCAAACATTTCCGATTTTAAAATATTCCTCATCCATTAAACTATTCTTCATGTTATTCCTACCATGACATCTCAGCATTATTTAGATTAGGAAATTTAGGAAGAAGGAAACTTCCTTGCTCAATTTCCCAAGCTGAACTGCTGAGAGACCCCAATTAGCACTTCTGGGTTCTGCCTTTGGACTTGGCCCAGTGACTCCTTCTCTTCTATCAGCTCCAAGGCCATTGGTTAACCTGCCCTGGGCTTTGACCACAAAGTACTCAATGGGCTGACAAATGAGCAGGGTCTCTGGGATGAACTCTCAATGCACAAAGGTGCTAGATTAAAGAAACTGGCTGGTTATCTGGCAAAAGTGAGTTTTGGAGATTTTATTTCTGTAAAAACCTTATGGATTTCAAGTTCTTCCCATGAGGTCCTGCAAATCTGCTTGATTTTAGTGTAAAACCTACAGACTCAAATTTTTCCAAAACCATGGTCTTAGTCCTGAGCTGTCTTAATGGTTGGAGAAGCCACCTCTCACCAGCTGAACTGCAGCCCAGGGATGATCCAGCCACACGCATACCTTTACATAGACTTCCTTCTGATAGGAACAAGGAGCAGAGCCTGCTGCACTGAAAGTTACCAGGATTGGGAGCAGGTGGTGGTGAGGGGTGCTGAAGGTCCCTGGGTTCATATTTTCAAAGACTTGATGTCTGCACACTCTAAAAATGCCCCAAACTCTGAGAAATACAGTTTGTTAAGGGCATGTCTCCCCCTGCGTATGTTTTTGATGAATTTCAGACATCAATGTAGCCATAACTGGAGGATGGGATGAGCCTATATTGGAGCTCTGCCTTCTGTCCGCATGGCAAGCAGGGACACTTTCTGAGACTCTCTATGCAGCAGAGCTTGCGTGGTTTTGCCAGCTTGGGAAGGGAAACCTCATAGAATTCAGTGATGTGCTCATATCTCCTATGGTGTGAATGTAAGTGAGCATCTCCTGATTGATTGTGGAGACCTTTCTGATGGTAGGTGCAGGCTGAGATGCATCAGCTAAGGCTCACCCATCTGTCCTCTGACAGGCGACAGTTTCTAATGCCTTTAATCACTAAATGAGCCAAAGAAAGATTTTGTATTTGGAAATCACTATTTGGCCATGCCTCCTGATATTTTTCAAAATCTCCATCATCATTTCCATCTCCTTTTTCTATTCATTCTTTTAAAAAATTGGGTTTAGTCAGCTGGGTGTGGTGGCTCACGCCTGTAATCCCAGCACTTTGGGAGGCTGAGGTGGGTGGATCACGAGGTCAGGAGATCAAGACCATCCTGGCTAACACAGTGAAACCCTGTGTCTACTAAAAATACAAAAAATTAGCTGGGTGTGGTGGCAGGTGCCTGTAGTCCCAGCTACTCGGGAGGCTGAGGCAGGAGAATGGCATGAATCTGGGAGGCAGAGCTTGCAATGAGCCGAGATTGTGCCACTGCACTCCAGCCTGGGCGACAGAGCAACACTCTGTTTCCAAAGCAAAACAAAACAAAACAAACAAAAAAAAATTGGGTTTAGCCAGTAGTGCTGAATTCTGGCTGAGTAGAATCATAGTGAACTTTTTTTTTTTTGAGACAGGGTCTCACTCTGTCGCCCAGGCTGGAGTGCAGTGGCACGATCTTGGCTCACTGCAACCTCCGCCTCCCGGGTTCAAATGATTCTCCTGCCTCAGCCTCCTGAGTAGCTGGGATTACAAGCACCCGCCACCATGCCCGGCTAATTTTTTTTGTACTTTTAGTAGAGATGGGGTTTTACCATATTGGCCAGGCTGGTCTCGAACTCCTGACCTCATGATCCGCCCGCCTTGATCTCCCAAAGTGCTGGGATTACAGGTGTGAGCCACCGTGCCTGGCCTCATAGTGAACTTTTTAAAGAACTGCATATGCCTCTGGTGCAGCCATGGCCATTGTGACTCAGTGGGCCCAGAGCAGCGTGAAGGCATTGGCAATGACAAACAAGGAAGAACACTTACCAGGTGACTCCTTTCATCTCCCACACCCCTCCTCGTGCTCATGCTTTCCTCTACCTTCTTGAGCTGCTTTAAGGTCCTTGTCTCCTCATTTTATCAGCATCTGTTATTTCTGCATCATTTCTAGTGATTGATTTTCCTCCTGATTATGGGTCATGCTTCTTTGCACACTAGGTAATTTTAAAATTGAATTTTGGATATTGTGAATCTTACATTGTTTGGTGTTTGATTTTGTTAAGTTATTTGAAAACAGCTTGACCCTTTTGAGGCTTATTTTTTCGATTTGTTTGGGCTTGTTGAAATACCCTGGGGATATTTGGTAATGTCTGCAGACAGTTTGGTTGTGACAACCTTGGGGAAAATGCTACTGGTGGCTAATGGGTAGAGGCCAGAGATGCAGCTAATATTCTACAATGCACAGGGCAGTGCCACCTTCAACCCCGCAACAAAGAACTACCTAGCTGAAAATGTCCATGGTGTTGAGGCCTAGAAACCCTGATGTGGGCTAATTTAGTCCCAGTGTTACAACATGACCCTTCTGAGGACTCTACCTGATGTCTCATGTGTGACAAGGTGTTTGTACCTGGGCTGGCGGGAACCTAAATTGCTTCCAAATAGCTCCTGAATGATGTGACCTACCACTTTCTGGAAGTTCTTTTCTTGGTTTCAGGTATTTTTCTCTTGGGCAGGTGCAGATCAGTATTCAGGCAAAGACCTGGGAAGTTCCCTGCAGGCTGCTGGAATTCTCCTTTGCAGTTCTCCTCTTCCTAAATTCCAGCTACATTGGCCTCTCTAATTTCCGTCTCTACCTCCTCCACTCAGCAAAGACCCCAGGCTCAGCTGAGTTTCCCCTCCTAAGCTGCAGCCTGGACACTGCCTCCAGGTGGGGACAATTGTAGGACTCACCTCTCTTGTTTTCCTCCTCTCAGGGGTCATAGTGCTGCATTGCTTGTTGTTCAATATCTGGAAATCATTGTTTCCTAGCGGTTGTCTGGTTACTCTATCATGGCTGGAAGAAGAAGTCTCCCAGAGTGGTTTCAATATCCCACCATAGTTTGGAAACTTAGCTCTGGGCTTTGATGAATGTTTTCCAGTGGTTGGAGTACACCGTTCAGTCTTGTAAAATAAAAGCACTCAAGTTAAGTACTTGGGCTTCAAGAGAACTTGATTCAGGAAATAAAGAGGTCACTGAGACCAAACAGGAGGTAAAGCGAACATTTCCTTTCTTCTCACAGTTATCAAAAGGTGCAAAACAATTTTCCCTATTTCCAGACCAAGTTGAAGAGCTTAGCCAGATCAAAGCTTTTGGAGTCTCACCTTTCCCCCTGAAGTCCCGGCCTCCAAGCAGTATTTTTGCTGTGATGTGCTTATGGCTCTGACTGCAGTGAAGACTCTACCTCCAGCCTGAGGAGGGCTGAGAAAAGGCTGTTTCACAAAGGGCAATAAAGACTTCCATGAGCTCTGCCACTCTGCCAACAGGCTGGGAGCCCCTGCCTCACTCCTGTGCCTTGCCTGCTGTCTGGTGGGTGCTGGGGCTCCTCCTAGAAGCCTCAGCTCAGCCTCCACTGGCAATGGCTGATGGCCTCCATTCAAATGCAGACATGAGAAGTCCAAGAGCCAAGAGGGAAATGAAATGGCTGTACTTGGGTCTCAATGCTGCCCTGTCGCCATATTCTTCCAGCCCTCCCTGCACCTGTCAACTGGAGCTGCCTGTCAGAGGGCAAGGTCCTAAAGAGGTGTGAGGAGTTAGAGGTCTGAAGTCAGTTTTGTTGCATCAGGAGGCATATCTGAAATCTGGTGAGTGAGGTCTCCAATCTCGCTACAATGGACAGTATTTAATGAGAGGTCAAGTGTGAGCTGACCCAGGGCATTGGCAGCTAAGGCTTATAAGGTCTATCTGACATCATTTTGGTAAATTTCCACCAGGGAATTGGGAACTTGTGGGGAGACCATATCCACATTTCAGCCAAACTAAGGGAGAGAAGAGACGGCAGATGAAAGGTGGTGGTGTGGTTAAGAGAAAGAGCACCGGGTTGAGGCTGTCTGGGCTCTCACCAGCTAAGTGACCTTGGCAATTTTCTTCTCTTTGAGCCTAGTTTTCTCATCTGTGTTCATAGGAAAAATGATAATATCTGCCTTATAGCGTTGCTGGGGGCATTACAAGAGATAACCTATATAAAGGGTTAAGTCTTGGGGCTAGCATGGAGGCTGTACCCCGTGAAAGTGACACAGAGCCACGGCACCAAGAAGTGGCCCCTGGGTGCAGGCGAATTGTAACCAGTGATTTATGGGTGCTGCTGCTTTGTAAGCAGGTCTTGTTTAAATTGGGGCAAAACACTTCCTTTCCCTGCTTCCCCACACTCAGAGCGTCAGGTCACAGAGACTTATGACCTTCTATATTCTTGGCTCAGGGTAATCTCCATCCCCCAAGCAATTCAGAGATTAGTCATCAAATTGGCCAGGACCTGAATGCACAGTTTTCATTTAGAGCACGCCTACTCCTGGGGCCAGCTGCAAATTCCATCACGGACAAGAGACTCTTGAGAGTGTGAGTTCTTCCACACCTGATTCCCTCACGATAAAGCTAGGGCTAAGGTAGAAAGCATTAATGAGGCATTTTCGACATAAAATGGACCTCCCTAGGGGCAAGGATCTAAATGGGGTTTTACCATCTTATGGAAGATTGCATGGCCCTCACACCTTAGTGTACTTTAGAATCCTTAGAACTTTCTGAGAATTCAGACCCCTGGGTTCTGGGAGGGGTGGCATCCAGAAATCTATGTTTTTAAATAGGGTACTTGGTGGTTTTTTGCAGTTCTGAACCCATGATCTGCAAGTTCTAGACCAATATTTTCCAACCGCATGAACCCCAAAGGAAGTCACAAAAAAGCCAGCTGAATTGTCCATGTTAAGAAAACTGGTGTGTAGAAGGGCAGGGGGTGGGGGCAGATGTGAGTCAGAGAGGACAGTGTGGAAGCCAGGACCACTGCGTGCAAGGAGAGCTGAGAGACGGAGATGGAACAAAAGAGGCGGGTGTCAGCTGATTTCCTGAATTGCCTCATTGAAGCTCACCACAGCTGTGTGAGACACATGAGGCCTATTTTTCCAAAGAGAAAATTCTGTGAGGCCAGAGAGATGGTGCAGGCTGCACAGTGACACAGTTAGGAGCGGCGGAAGGAGGATTCCATCTATGTTACGTCTTCTTCTGCAGATTATACTTCTCACGTGGTGCTGGGTCGGGGGCAGCACATCTCCTGACAACAACAGCTAGAACCCAGGGAGGTTCAGAGCTAACTACAGAGAAAGTCAACTACACCAGGATCAAGTGATTAGGAGCAGTTATCATGCCCCTCTAAATCGGGTGCTCTTTCTCTTTCCTTCTGATTGAGACATTTGTCCCTCCGCAGCTTTCTCACTGATAACTTCCTTACAGTTCTGAGGACCACATGTGTTCTTACCACCCTCTGTTTTTGCCACTCTAGGTCCTCTTCCTCCTCTAGTGGAGCAGACAGATTAAAGAGGAAACACCTGGGCTGGCTCTTGTAACAAATATGTATTAAGGACCTACTGTGTGCCAGGAACTGTGGTAGGTGCCGGGGACACAGAGGACAAAGAGGCTTATCATCTGATCAAGGAGGCACCCATCCCAATGATGCCAGGCCAGGGTGTCTACCCAGATTGTGGATCCAGAGAACTCAGCAAGAATGCACGGAGGCACCCATCCCAATGATGCCAGGCCAGGGTGTCTACACAGATTGTGGATCCAGAGAACTCAGCAAGAATGCACGGAGGCACCCATCCCAATGATGCCAGGCCAGGGTGTCTACACAGATTGTGGATCCAGAGAACTCAGCAAGAATGCATGGAGGAGACCTCTGGGCACATTCTTTATGGAAGAGTGGGAGGTTTCCAGGCGTGGGGGGACAGAGAGAGTATAGGCAAATAGGGAAGGGGAGGACATTTTAGGCAGAAGGAATGGCAATTTCTGAACGGGGGCACAGGAAGGGAAAACCTAAACAGAACCCAGTAGTCTCTCTGAGCTGAGAAGACACAGGATGTGACTGTTATTTGCAAGGCACACTTCTTGAGAGGAAAAAAAACAGCTCCAGAAGTTTGCTTCAGGCCCTCTTAAGTCTGGCTGAAAATTAATCTGTGCTGTGTAGGGAGAAAGTCTCTATGACCAGACAGAGAAAACTGGCAAGGAAAGAACATCTTACTGGGGAGCTGTGAGATGAGCCTTTCTCAGCACTACCTCAGAGCCATGAATCATTCGGGTCCTTTACCACCTGGAATGTAGAGACCTCACTGAATACAGGGAAAATCACGTAGAGCCCCGAGGAGGGTCATGTCTTAGTAGTGCGGCTAAACTAGCCTCAGTAAAGGCTACCCTAGATCCACCCATAATAATTTTAAAACCAGTTGTTGAAATAATCAAGCCATTCCTCAAGTGGTTTAGCTGGCAAACAAAGTTCAACTTTTTTTTTTTTTAACAAGACTACAACAAAATCCAGCAAGCAATAATATAAAATTTACAATGTCTGTCATCCAATCAAAATTACTAAACATTCAAAGAATCCAGAGCATATGACTCATAACCAAGATAATACTGGTTAGTAAAAACAGATTCATTAATGATGCAAATGAGAGAATTAGCAAGCAATGATCTATTAAAAGGCTATTACAAATATTATAATTATATTGTTTGCCCTTTAAATTCAAGGATTTAAGAAAAGACATCACCATAATGGGGCAAGAAATAGATGATTTTTAAAAAAGAACTTCTTGATAAGAAAAAAATGACACTATCTAAAATGGAAATTTTACTGGGTGGGATTAACAGCAGATTGGATGCTGCAGAAGAAAAGATCAATGAACTTTCCAAAATGAAGACAAGAGAGAAAAAAAAAAAAAGAGAGAGAGAGCAAGAGTGAGATTCAGAGAGGGAGAGACAGCAAGAGAGAAAGAGCACTGTAAGATCTATCTGACATCATTTTGGTCAATTTCCATCAGGGAATTGGGAACTTGTGGGGAAACCATATCCACATTTCAGCCAAACCAAGGGAGAGAAGAGATGGCAGATGACAGGTGGTGGTGTGATTAAGAGAAAGAGCACTGGGTCGAGACTGTCTGGGTTCTTACTAGCTGAGTGACCTTGGCAATTTTCTTGTTCTCTTTGAGCCTAGTTTTCTCATCTGTATTCATATGAACAATGATAATATCTGCCTTATAGCGTTGCTGGGGGCATTAAAAGAGATAACCTATATAAAGGGTTGAGCCTTGGAATTGGCATGGAGGCTGTACCCCATGAAAATGAGTTGTTGTTGTTGTCCAAGTTTGAACATATGTTTTCCTGCCATCTCCAACTCTATCATAGAGCCATGGCACAAAGACGTGGCCCCTGGGTGCAGGCAAATTGTAACTAGTACTTTATGGATGCTGCTCCTGTGACCTGGAGGATGATATCAAGAAGCCCAACACACATATGATTAGATACACAGAAAGAATGTGGGGGAGGAGTGAGAAGAAAAAAGATTTGAAGAAATAATGGCTAAAAGTTTTCCAAGTTAATGACATTTGTGTCAAGCATACAATAGCAGAAGCCAGATTCTCAAGGTTGTCCCATGCCACGTTAAGTGTTTCCAAAATCATGGTCCACAGGGTTAACAGTAGGGGTTCTCCAGTCCAAGGGAAATGATCACCATGCACAAATTAACTGAAGCAGCTAGCTGCTGTACTTATGACTGAGATGATATCAATTTAAGGCAGGATCATGTATTGTGTCTGTTATGATTGGCTATTAGAAAAAGGAAAAAATCTGGCAGACACAATCTGTATTTGTTTTTTATTGCTGCCTAACAAATTATTACATACATAGCAGCTTAAAACAACACCATTGATTATTTGTAGATCAGAAGTCCTGGTGTAGGTTAGATGGCTTCTCTGATTAGGATGTCTTCAGGTTGAATCAAGGTGTCACCTGAGACTGTGATCTCTGAGGCTTTGGGATCCTCTTCCAAGATCACTGGTTCTTGGCAGAATTCAGTTCCTTGTGGCTACAGGGCTGAAGTCCCCATTTTCTTACTGGCTGTTAGCCAGAGACATTCTCAGCTTTTAGAGGACTGCTTCAGGTCCCTGTCTGAGGCTCTAGCCGTGGGCAGCTCACAATACGTTGTTTGCTTCTTCAAGGCCAGAAGGAGAATCTCTGCTACTTTGAATCTCTCTGACTTCTATAAAAGGCTCACCTGACTAGGTCAGGCCTGTCTGATATAATCTCCCTTTTGATTGACTCAATGTCAACTGATTAGTAGCCTTAATTATGTCAGTAAAACCCAACCCTTTTGCCATATAATGTAACTTAATCATGGATATGATAGCCCGTCATATTCATAGGATCTTTTCACCATCAAAGACAGGGGAACATGTAGGGCGTGTACACCAAGGGGAATCTTAAAAATCATCTGAGTATTTGGCCTGCCACACTATATTTTAAATTTTTGCATCTGTGGAGTAAAGGAAATAGAAGGAGCCCTTGGGATTGAAAGCACGTAGGTTGGAGTCTCTGTCTGGGAGCTCCATGAGGCAAAGTGCACATCATCTGCTCTAGCTCACCATGTGCCCCTGGCACCAGACCAGCACTCAGTAGACGTTTGTGGGATGCATTATGAACGAAGAAATGAATAAACAGAAGTGCATGCGGTATGTGTTAGATGAGCACCTGGGGCCAGGGTGCATGATGGTTGATTAGTCAGTGCATGTAAGAGATCTTCCTTGATTCAATACTTACATTAGTCTCTATTACAGATTCACTCATTTTTCAGTGATCACAGACAGACAGATGGACAAACAGGTAACAGCTCTAGTTTGTCCAAATGAAGCTAAAAATGAAGGTCACTTTGTATGATCAATGTTTTCATTAATCCAATTCCAAAAAGCAGAATTATTTAATTTCCTCTCTGTGAGTCTAATTTATATCTCTTCTCCATCTAGAAAGGACTTTGAGACAGCTCTAAAAATGAGTATCTTGGAAAATATCCCAAATTTAGGAATAATAACGTATTAGAGAAACCAATAGGGCCGAAGACAAATGGGAGAAATATTTTCTCAAAGTAAACAACACGTCGCTTGCTATTTTATGTCTAATGCAAGCAACCACCTCCCAGCAGAGTAGCCAGCAGCCAGGGGCAAGTGCATTGGCAACCAAGGGCCTATGTCAGGGCTCAGATGCCTCTGATTCAGCCCTCAATTTACAGAAAGTTCACAGATCCCCTTATTTTAGCCACAAATGCACTCAACTCCTCACTGATGCTTTCTGGAAACTGCCAGCTTCTCAGTGCATGGCTCTAGGTTGGCTGCCTCATATTGCGCTAGTTTTCAAGGCAGCCTGTTTGGTGGTGATGTCCTGGGTCAGCTGTGTGAAAGGGACTTGGCTATTGGATATGCAGAGAGGCTCAGAAGTGAATGGGAGATGCCGTGTGCTTATATCCTCACTGCTGATTGGAAGTAGGAAAGCTCTGTAGTTCCCAATGCGTGCAGCCACTGTGCTGGCTGTCAGATATACAGGAAAAGAAACCATGAAGACTCTGTGGAGTAGCTCCACAATAATGGCTATTTATTCAGGTTCAGCCTCTGCAATCTGGAGGAAGCTTGCGAAATGAAAATCTGATTCCCTTGTTTTAAAACTAGGGAAAGGGCTAGGAGCAATGGCTCACGCTTGTAATCTCAGCATTTTGGGAGGCTGAGGTGGGAGGATCATTTGAGCCCATTCAAGACTAGCCTGGGCAACATAGTGAGACCCCATTTCAATCAATCAATCAATCAATCAATCCATGAAAATCAAGGAAAATTGTCAGCAATGGTACTAAAATACAAATAATTTTCATTCTATTCTGTAGCCTGTCTCTTGACTTTTTTACAGTGTTTTAAATTTGCTATTTAATGGTGGTCTAAGTAAAAATTAAAATGTTAAATTATTATCACAAATTTTACTGTTCAGCTTTACATTGTGCAATGACAGTTTTAACACAAATACAAAAACCATTTAACTCACAGGTGGATTCACCTAAATGACAGAGTTCATGTTTTTTGTAGCTTATAGACGCATATATGTATTTCATTCAAACCAGAATAATGGAAGTGCTGCAAACAACAACTCAACTGTTTTTAATTTCATTGCTTCCTATAATTTTACCAATATTCTCTGCCCTTTGGCCTGCTGATGAGTGAGGAAAGACTACAAGGAAAGGAACTAGGGTTGCCCTGTCTTTCTTTTCCTTCTGTGTCATCACTTCAGCATAAGTGGCTGGCTATACAGGGAAGTAGCATGAGTAAGAGAGATTTTGATAGGGCTACTGATCACTCATGTTTTTCAGAACATCACTGCCTTCTGTCTGCCTTTGAAGTCAGTCTGGTTCCAATGGGAAGCGGGACCTCATGGCTGTCGGCATTTCAACGTCCTTGTTCTGGGACAGAATGCGCTCACCTTGTACTCACTGTGCATCTTCCTGAACTCCCACACCCAGACTTTGTAGGTTCACCCAAAGTCTGTGAATGAGGAGCACCTTATGTCAATGGGGTGGTGAGGGAGTGCATGTGCCTCCTCTGCCCCCAGCATGCCCCATAGTCCTGTTGGCTGCCACAAAACACAAGTTCAAAGACAAAGTATTGGTAGCTGGGCACAGTGGCTCATGCCTGTAATCCTAGCACATTGGGAGGCCGAGGCAGGCAGATCACCTGAGGCTGGGAGTTCAAGACCAGCCTGATCAACATGGAGAAACCCTGTCTCTACTAAAAATACAAAAATTAGCCAGGTGTGATGGCACAAGCCTGTAATCCCAGCTACTCGGGAGGCTGAGGCAGGAGAATCATTTGAACCCAGGAGGCAGAGGTTGCAATGAGCCGAGATGGGGCCACTGCACTCTAGCCTGGGCAACATGAGTGAAACTCTGTCTCAAAAAAAAAAAAGAAAAAAAAAAAGACAAAGTATTAAAATTTTCAAGATGGTGATATCAAAAGCACAGCCCCACAAAGGAAAAAAAATTGATCAATTGGACTTCATACAAATGGAATATTGGGTGCATTAAAGGACACTCAACAGAGTGAAAATGCAGCCCACCTTTGGATGAACTGTGAGGATATGATGCCAAATGAAATAATCCAACACAAAGGGACAAACGTTGTTGTACTCTGCTTATATGAAGAACCCGGAATTGTCAAATTCACAGAAACAGAATGTAAAATAGAGGCCCCCAGGGGCTGGGAGGAGGAGGAATGGGGAATTATCATTTAATAAGTACAGAGATGCTGTTCAGGATGATAAAAAGGTACTGGAGATGGTTAGTGGTGATGGTTGTACAAATTGTGAACGTGCTCAATTGTGAACTTGAAAATGATTTAAATGGTGAATTTTATGTAGTTTATATTTTACCACAATTAAAAAAAAACATTCAAAATAGTGACATTAAACTGAATGAATGGCACTTCTGAGTACTGGCCCCTATGCAGATTCACGGGTCTCACACCCATGAAACTGGCTCTGCACTTACCTGTGTTTACAGAACACAAAGTATGAATGCCTGGGATGGTTGTCAGTTATAGGTTCTTTTGTTGGACAGTGAGATCCCTGAGGTCAGGTGCATGTCCTGTTTCCCGAACTAGTTGTATGTTTGTTGAATTGAAATTCTAAGCTAAGTTGAAGCTTATTCACAATATATTTGTTAAAAATCAGCCTTATTAAGATATAACTTACATACATGATTACTCATACGTTTTTGAAGCATACAGTTCATTTTGTTGTGACAAATGGGTACAGTTGAACTCCAGTACCAAATCGTGACATAGGCCATTTCCACAAGCCGAAAAGTCTCCTGTGCCCTTTGCACTCAACGCACTTCCAAGCCCAGTCCCTGGCAGCCGCCCGTCTGCTCTCTAAAGCTATAGCGTTGCCTGTTCTGAAATGTCTTGTAGCTGAAATCCTGAAGTATGTAGTATTGTGTGGCCGTGATAAATTTCGGTTACAACTTCTAGCATCTTAATTAAAGAAATGATGTTCTACTGAGGCAGCAGAGGAGCAAGGGCTTGGCCTTGATCAGGTGACCTTGGATATGAATCCTGACTCTTCCATTCATTAACTCTTCAATTTTTCATGGACTCTTAGCTGCCTCAGTGTCAATTGCCTCACATGTAAAATGGAGTTACTAAGAGTACCTTCTTCTTGTGCTGCTTTGAGGCTTGAGTAAGCTGTGTATGAGAAGTACTTAGGGAAGCCCTTGGCTCATAATAAGAGCCCAAAAAGTTATTGATCACATTATTATTGATGTTATTATTAATAAGAATAACATTTCTTTGCCTTTAGAATGGGATTACAGTAGTACCTTCCTTTGGGAGTTGCCATGGAGATTACATAATGCCTGTGAAGCATTTAGAATGGTGCCTGGCCCTTGGTAAGCACTCCATGGTGTGGCTGCTACGATTTTTCTGTTATAAAGCTCTTAAGGACCAAATTTTGCTAGTGTTCAATAAGCAGAAGTTATCACTTCCCCTAATTCTGAGAAGGTGTGAAAGTCAGCCACGAAAAGGACTCCTTTCTGTCAGTCTGGCTGAAAAAAATCACAGAAAGCAACCACCAGTGGTAAAATATACCAAATCTGAAGGTCTTCTCCCCCCCAGGCCCAGGGCATGCATGTCATGGAAACAGGTGAGCCAGGGAGCTGGAAATGCCTTTGTTCTTCTTCTTTTTTTTTTTTGTTTTGTTTTGTTTTGTCTCTGTTGCTTTGAAAGAAGAAAAACAACAACTGAGTTAAAAGTTAAAGGGTCAAGTGGGCTATTGAATTCCCAGAACTCTCTGAGGTGTTCCAAAGTCAGAGTAACTTCAGTGTATTTGATTTCAAAGTATTTCAAACTGTTCAGGACTCTAATTGGGGGAAAGTAGGAAGCGGTGGTAAACAATTCCTGGGGAAGGACATTTCCACACAGAATGAGAAATGGACTCAGTTCTAGAATCATCAGCTCACATTGTCAAGTACAGCTCATTCTATTGCACTTTACTTTATTGTACTTTGCAGATATCACATACTTTACAAGTTGAAGGTTTGTGGCAATTGTATTGGTCAAGTCTATCTGTGCTGTTTTTCCAAAAGCATGTGCTCACTGGGTGTCTCTGTGTCACATTTTAGAAATTCTCACAATATTTCAAACTTTTTCATTATTATATCTGTTATGGTTATCTGTGATCAATGATCTTTCATATTACTATATATATATTTTTTTGAGACACAGTCTTGCTCTGTTGCCAGGCTGGAGTGCAGTGGAACGATCTCGGCCCACTGCCACCTCCGCCTCCTGGGTTCAAGCGATTCCCCTGCCTCAGCCTCCCTAGTAGCTGGGACTACAGGCACGTGCCACCATGCCCAGCTAATTTTTGTATTTTAGTAGAGACGGGGTTTCACCATGTTGACCAGGATGGTCTCGATCTCCTGACCTCATGATCCACCTGCCTCAGTCTCCCAAAGTGCTGGGATTACAGGTGTGAGCCACCGCGCCCGGCCTCATATTACTATTGTAAATGTCTTGAGGTGCCACAAATTGCACCCAGAAAACATACCAAACTTAATCAAGAAACTGCTCCAACAGCCCAGTTGTTCTCTCACCTCTCTCCCTCTCTTAAGCCCTACCTATTTCCTGAGCTACAAAAGTATGAAAATTAGGCTAATTAATAAGCCTCTGAGTGTTCAAGTGAACGCTCAAGTGGCCTCTGAGTGTTCAAGTGAAAGGAAGTGTTCACATCTCTTGCTTTAAATCAAAAGCTAGAAATGATTATGCCTAGAAATGATTAGTTTAGAAATGATTAAGCTTAGTGAGGAAGACATGTCAACAGCCCAGTCAGGCTGAAAGCTGCGCCTGTTGTACCAAAGAGTTAGCCAAGTTGTGAATGCAAAGGAAAAATTCTTGAAGGAAATTAAAAGTGCTACTCCAGTGAACACAGGAATGATAAGAAAGTAGAACAGCCTTATTGCTGATATGGAGAAAGTTTGAGTGGTCTGGATAGCAGATCAATCCAGCCACAACATTCCCCTAAGCCAAGGCCTAATCCAGCCATAATTCTATGAAGCCTGAGAGAGGTGAGGAAGATACAGAAAAAAAGTTTGAAGCTAGCAGAGGTTGGTTCATGAGGTTTAAAGAAATAAGCTGTCTCTATAACATCAAAGTGCACGGCGAAGCAGCAACCCTAATGTAGAAGCTGCTGCAAGTTATCCAGAAAATAACTGATGAAGGTGGCTAAACTAAACAACAGATTTTCAATGGAGACTAAACAGCCTTCTACTGGAAGACGATGCCTTCTAGGACTTTCATAGTTAGTGAGGTAAAGTCAATGCCTGGCTTCCACAGGACAGGCTGACTCTCTTGTTAGGGATAATGAAGCAGGTAACTTAAGTTGAAACCAATGCTCATTTCCCATTGTGAAGATCCTAGGACCCTTAAGAATAGTGCTAAATCTACTCTGTCTGTGCTCTATAAATGGAACAACAAAGCCTGGATCACAGCATATCTATTTACAGCATGGTTTATTGACTATTTTAAGCCCACTGTTAAGACCTGCTGCTTAGAAAAAAAAAGATTCCTTTCAAAATATTACCGCTCATTGACAATGTACCCAGTTACCCAAGAGCTCCGATGGAAATGTACAAGAAGATTAGTGTTGTTTTCATGCCTAACACAACATCCATTTTGCAGCCCATAGATCGAGAATTAATTTCGACATTCAAGCCTTATTATTTCAGAAATACATTTCCTAAGGCTATAGCTGCCATAGAGAGTGATTCTGCTGATGAATCTGAGCAAAGCAAACTGATAACCTTCTGGAAAAGATTCACCATTCTAGATGCCATTAGGAACATTCATGATCCGTGAAAGGAGGTCAAAATAGCACATTAACAGGAGTTTGGAAGAAGTTGATTCCAACCCTCATGGATGACTTTGAGGGGTTCGAGACTTCAGTGGAGGAAGTAACTAAAGATGTTGTAGAAATAGCAAGAGATCTTGAATTAGAAGTGGAGCCTGAAGATGTGACTGAATTGCTGTAATCTCATGATAAAACTTTAATGGATGAGAAGTCACTTCTTATGAAGGAACAAAGAAAATTGTTTCTTGAGATGGAACTATTCCTGGTGAAGATTCTGTGGACATTGTTGAAATGACAACAAACAACTTAGAATATTCTATAAATTTGTTGATAGAGCAGTGGTGAGGTTTGAGGGGATTGCCTCCAAAGTCGAAAGAAGTTCTACTGCGGGTGAAATGCCTCCAAACAACTTCACATGCTACAGAGAACTGTTTCGTGAAAGGAAGAGTCAATTGATGCAGCAAACTTCATTGTTGTCTCATTTTAAGGAATTGCTACAGCCACTGCAGCCTTCAGCAAACACCACCCTGATCAGCTGGCAGCTGTCAACACCAAGGCAAGACCCTCCACCAGAAAAAGATTGCAACTTGTTGAAGGCTCAAATGATTAGCATTTTTGTTTTAGCAGTAAGTAGTTTAAAATTAAGGTATGTACATTTTTTGACATAATACACCTTTAATAGAATATAATATAGTGTAAACAACATTTCTATGTCCTGGGAAGCCAAAAAATTCATGTGGTTTGCTTTATTGTGATAATCTGCTTTATTGTGGTGGTCTGCAACTGAACCCCCAATATCTCTGAGGTATGCCTGTAAAGAGAAAATGTTACAAATGATAAGAAACATAATAGAACATGCTGAAAGGAATACTTAAGTAATCTGGGGAAATCTACCTCTTTCATATACGAAATAGTTCAGCTAAATTTGACTTGGTAACTGGGTATTTAACATGCCTATATTTTGGAGTTATTCTCCCCTCATGGCTGATGTTTGCATAGAAATCTCCAGCCAAGTGCTTCATCCTTGCTGCTCTCGCTTATACCTGCAAACACACAGGGAGCTGAAGTCACCTGATGGGAAAATGAAGAGTGAACGCTCTGCAGACCACATCTCATTAGACAGCCAGGGGAGGCTGTCTTCCTCCATGCACCTCCAAGAGCAGAAATAGTAGGAATAATATATCCACTTTACATCCTGATTCATCTCATTTTCATATCAGAACCCCACCAGCCACCACCCTTGAAAACAAAAGTGAAGGAGAAATAAGGAGAGACAGATAGATTGAACTGCAGCATCCTCATTCAGATCCTAACAAGAGAACAATCCTACCATTTGCAATCAGATAAGGGATATTATCTCAGTAATAAAAGGCAATTGAGAATCTAAATGAAAAATCTAATGCTTTTCATGCTGATTTATTTTAGATTAGAAAAAGTTAAACCAGATGTAAACATGAAGAGATGAAGCATGAAGAGGGAATCATGGTAGAGCAATAAATCTCAGTTTTGAGTTATTATAGGTGCAGGGTTGCATTAACCAGAAAATACACTGTTGATCCATAAACTGATCTGACATTAATTATTGTTGCAGAAGAGTTCAGAAGATTGAATAAAAACATGCAATGCCGGCAAAGATCAATCTTGCATCTAGATTAGCGGTAGAGAGTACCTATCATACCATCCCCACTAGAGTCTGTGCTCACCAACCAATCATCAGTCCAACCTGGAACCATCCATCGCATGTGCTGTCTGCCTTCTGGTGGAGCCTCCTACATCCCTTGGAGGAGACATTCAGATGCTGAAAAGAGATAGTCCTCTTTCCTTTGGACTCCAATAATGTCTATCTTTATCTTAAAGAGAAGATGCAGCCAAAAATCCACCTTTGGTCTTTGCCTTCTTGGGATCCAAGTAGACTTGGGATGTCTCCTCTGTTTTCTCTGCAAACTACGCACATGTCCAGACAGGCAAAGTTAGTGGGGGAGGGCACTGGCAGCAGTGTTCTGTATAGACTCTGGGAAATTCTCAGCTGTTTTCTCCCATCTCTTCTTTCCTGCTCTGTATAACGTTTCTGTTCCTGTTCTGCTTGCTTAATGGAAAACCCTAACCCAGAAGCTGGCGATGAGTATTCATCAAATGTCCACAGTACTGATTGACAATCCTCCATCTCAAACTCTTGGAATCAGATGTGATTCAACAATAATTTTTTTTGGATTTTAAAAAGATAATATTGTGCAATAACTCCAGCAGGATCTGAGGTAGAACTCTGTAATTAAGCTTAATTAATAAAATGTATGAATTTTTACACTCAATGGAATAAATTAATATCATAAATAGCCTTAGGTTAGTTCAGGTAAGGTTTTGCTGTCAGAGTAGTTTGCTACAAACCCAGGGAGAAAAACTCTCGGAATACAGAGCTTTATGCATGTTAGCATTGCAGATTAGGATCCATAGTGAGTACTCAGGTATCTTGAAGGGAGAGTCAGGAAACAACAAAAACAGTAAAATATTTGCTCATTTGAGTCCAGCTGTGATGGCAGGATTTGGGAGAACAAGTGAGGTAATGTAGGAGTTGCTTTGTAAAGCATTTAGTCTTACATATATGGGAGGTTCTACTATTATTACACCTACAATGTTTAGTCAAAGCTCATGGGAGCACTGCTTCTGGCTGCGGATGGAATTCGTAGATCAATGTGATGTTGATGTTACCATTGTCTTAGCAGATACCAGGCTTGACCACAGAATTTCTGCAGGGTGGGTCTGGCAGGATTGTACCTGTGAAGTGGCAGGTGGCTGGGGGGTGGAAGGAAGGCTGGACCAGGGTCAGGAGGGCTGGTGTAGGTGACAGAGCCACCGTTTTCTTGTTCTTGGACACTTAGGTTTCTTATCCTTTCTGGGCCTGAGTTTTGTTATATATAACTTTAAAAATCTATGTGTCCTAGTCACCACCTTTCAGGGAATTTGGAGAATCAAAATGAAGTCATGTGAATATCAGAGCTTTGCCAGCTGGGGCATCCCACTCTATCAAGGAGTGTCATGATTTTCTTACGGTACTTGATCCTAATCATAGTTCTCTATTCCCTAGGACTGATTCTAATAGCATGGGTTCCAATGTGGGGTCCTTTACTAAATTACTAGGGGGGTGTGACTTTGGGCAAGTTACTTACCCTCTTTGTGCCTCACTTTCCAGCTCTGTAAAGTGGAAATAATAATGATCACGCCTCTGTGACAGAGTTGTTGGACGATCCTGTGAGGATTAATTGCCCTCAATGATAGCTCCTCACGTGACACCAGGCTTAAATCAGGCCTATGAGTCACTGGGAACAGAGGTGAAAAATGGTTCTTAAATCTTTTTTCCCATTGTGTGGCTTTGGTAAACTACCGTTTCCATTCACTAAATAACACCGTAATGTCTTCAGAGACTTAAGGGAGACACAGTCTTGAAAGGCCTGAGTTAGGAGTCACTTAATGATCACTCACGAAATAGCAAAGGCTGATCAGGCTCTCCCTCGGAGTAGTAAATAGTAAAAATTGGAGTCAACCTTTGGTTTATTGGGGAAAATATTTCCACTTGTAAAAAGAGTGCCACATAAATCCCAGGCACTGCAGGCCAGAGGCTGGCATCTCCTGTTAACTCCTGACCTTGATCGGGAACTCTGCCCTTTCCCTCCCTCTCCCCTCCCCTCCCCTGTTTTCCTCCCTCCCCACTCCCTCCCAAGCTCCCATTCTACCTTTTCCCTTACTACTTCCTTCCTTCCTTCCATCTTTTCTCCTCTCCTTTCTTCTGCAAACATCCACTGTGTTTCTCATTAACACCCACCATGGTGCTGGACACCAGAGATGTACAGGTAGGCCCTGCTCCCAGCAACCTCTGGGTCTCAGGGGGAGGCAGACCTGGTTGGGTGAGGAGGAATCCATTAGCAAGTGAGGCCAACAACTTTCTTCTCATGGGGGTTATGGTTGAGGGAAGATGCAGACATCGGTTGTAGATTCACATGCATCAGTGTGTATTTACAAACCAAGGCAAGTGCTCTGAAGGAAAAAGAATGCTTCTGCAGGAGCTTATGAATCAGAAACCTGACCTTGGTTTGAAGGCAATGTCAGGAGAGACACGCATGTGGGCAGGTCATATGAGCCAAGCTCCAGAAGGACCAGGAAGATGTGTTATGCAAATAGGACAATGCGTGCGAGGGCCCTGTGGTGGGTGAGCGTGTGACCAATCAAGGAGATGAGGGGAGCTCATAGAGTGTGTGACAGGAGAGAGATGCCCAGTGAGTGATGCCACAGAGATGAGCAGGGGCACCACCAGGGCCCTCATCATACTTTACCCTAATGGCAATGGAAAGTGTGGCTCTTCTGCATGAAAGGATTACAGGGAGAAACCAGCAGAAAGTAGAGTCCACGCCAAGTCTTTGCAGGATGTTGTGACTGGACTAAGACCTGGGGTCCAGCTGACGAAAGAAGTTCCTGAATCACCCCATCGCTGAAAATTCTTGAATCAATAGTGCACATAGCCTGTAGAACATGGTTCCGGGCTTTGGAGAAGCCAGGCATTTGCAGAACGCTGTGGGTCTTAGTTAATTTGCCATCCATTGTGAATTGCTGGGGGGGGGGGAGAGAGAGAGAGAGAGAGAGAGAGAGAGAGAGAGAGACAGAGACAGAGAGAGAGAGAGATATCATCTGTGATCCAAACCAAAGCACTTCAGTGTTTGTTACTTAATGGCAAGGCTGGGGCTCTTGACTAACAACTACGTGGTGCATCAGGAGCTTTTCAAGTGAAAATTAATTCTGTGTTGTCATATCCCAGGTTAACTAACTTGCTAGACTTGATAGAGTTACATTAAAAATATGCATAACAATCTTTCTTAAAAGAACCACACAAGACAACAACCCAGGAGAGAAGAAGCTTAAAATTTCCACTATGCCAGTTTCTCTCTGCATCCCTCCACCTCCAAGACAGCCTCCAGATCTACCTGATTGGTGTGAAGCAGTGGAGAGATAACTTGCTGCTTCTGACAGACTTAAGATTTAAATTATTTTCCAGCCCCATATACAATGTTACAGCATTTTTATTTCCTTCCCTGAAAGTTTTTATGCATTATCCAATATTTCCCATGGCGCGTCTACGCTAAGTCAGAGAAAAAGATATATAGAAGTATAATGGCTATATAAGTATTGCCAGATATAGTCAAATAGCCAAATAATGATACTTAGTGTCTTAGTCTTCTTTGTGCTGCTATAACAGACCATCTGAGACTTAGTAATTTATAAACAACAGAAACTTACTCCTCACAATTCTGGAGGCTGGGCAGTACAAGATCAAGGTACTTGCATCTGGTAAGAGCCTTCTTGCTTCTTCCTCCCTCCCTCCCTTCCTGTGCATTTTGAAATCCTCAAAAACATTCCTTTTATTCATTGCTAGAGGTAACCCAGGAGAAAATGGAAGTACATCCTTACTACAATCTGTAGTTCTTTCTTGGGAGAATGAAGAAATTCCAAGATGTTCCTGATTAAAAAAAAAACAAACATGGCAGAGGAGCAGAAGCGAGCAAGCCCACTCCTATAAGCCCTTTTAAAAACAGCAGCATTGATTCATCCATGAGGCAGAGTCCTCATGACTTAAACACCTCCCACTAGGCCCCACCCTCAACACTGTTGCACTGGAGATGAAGTTTCCAACACATGAATTTTGGGGGACACATTTAGACCATAGCACTTAGTAACAAAAACAACATTTGGAACACATTGGCTAAAAGCTAGCGTGTTGGGTCTAGCTGGCCCAATCTGATTCCTGGCTCCATCACATCCAGCTAGGTGACCTTGGCCTGTTACCAAACTGAAGGCTTAGCTTTCTGAGCTTTCACAGTGGAGCTAAAAGAAGCATACCTTTCTGAGAGGTGGGAGAATTCAATGAGAGGATGTATGTAAAGCACTGAGCATACATAACCAGTATATGTGAAGTCTCAATAATTTTCAGCACTTATTAGAATTAATAATCACATGGCTGATAGGTGGTGGCTGAGTTGAGCCATGGGGAGGGGCAGAGATGGTAGAAAATAACTCTCTGGCTCTCAGCCCAGGTTAGGTCCTTGTCCCACCCCATTCTGTCTCTTCCACTATGGGATCGGGGGGAAGCCAGACTTCTCCTTGGGATGGAAGAAGTGCTTGACTACAGATTCCCCTCTGCAACCCCAGAGCTGGTTGCCCAGATGCAGGGGATGAGAAGGGGCCGATAATGGGAACCGAACACCAAAAAGTTTAACTCAGCTTCGGGACTGGGACATGAACTGAGGCTCACAATTAGAGCCCAGCTCATGCTCTATGACTGTGTTGCCCCTTCAAGTCATGCCAAGCTGATGACAGGACCATCAGGACAGTTGCTCTCCAGCTTTGGGGCGAGGTCACAGGATACTCCAAGGGACGACAGGCAAACCCAGTATGGAATGAGATGTTCTGGAGTCTCACTAAAGTTAGAAATCAGAGCCAAAATCTCACCCTCAGCAAACTGCTTTGAGAATAAAATCACAAAAGAAATCTTTACCTTTTGGCAGAAAAAGTCAGCAAAACAGTCATACCTGAAGACAACAGAATAGTTTCCTATACATTCTGCTTGTTTTCACTGGGTCCTAAACGCCTGAAATTGAATGGCTCATAGCTAATCAATTTATCAATATTTATTGAATGTCTAGCTTCAGCCCAGCACCCATTCAGCACTGTGATGGGCCAGAAGAGAAATATTAGATGTGGTTCCTTGATCTGCTAACCAAATCCACGGCAAAATCAATGTTGGCTGAATTTTTCTAGTTTCCTTTCCTCCCTCCCTCTTTTCCTGTGCATTTTGAAATCCTCAAAAACCTTCCTTTTAGTCATTGATAGAGGTAACCCAGGAGAAAATGGAAGTAAGTCCTCATTACAATCTGTATCTGTTTCTCAGGAGAATTGAGAAATTCCAGGATGTTCCTGATTAAAAAAATAATGTACATTATTAAAGATTATATATCTGGCAAATCAAAATATGAAATTGGGAAATATTTCTGTTTGTTTTCTAGATCCACAGTCGACTCTTCTCATCCCCCAAAGATCATTCTGCCTGGGAAAGAAATGAAAGTCTTTCCAATGCAGGTAAAGGACTGGGGCCTGCCCAGGCAGGGTTCCCTTTCAAGCCTTTATTTACTCTCTCTCTCTCTCTCTTTTATTTTTATTAATAATGGAATGTACTTTTGAGCCTAGTTTTCCCCCAAACGTGAGATGATAGCTCAGTGGCTCTGCCAAGATTTGAAGCTGATTTGAATTTCTAAACAGCCAGGCAGTGAGGCTAAAGGATGCCACAGGCACAGCGGTGACTTCAGGGGTGCCTTTGGGACCTGAGCTCCCTGCAGAGCGTGGAGCATGTGGGTCAGGCCAGCATGCAGCAGGGCTCCATCAGGGATGAGTAATGGGACAAATATGAATATTCTCAGAACAAAGTGGATGCAATTTAAATATAGGCAGGATATGTGCATTCATAAATCTTTTTTATAAAGCTTCCATTCTTAGCCACTAAACTGTAAAAACGCTAGGTGAGATGGTTACAGTTCATAACTTTTATTAAGTTTGTTAACATAAATGATGTGAAAACCAGCTCCCCTGCCCCACTCTTTGTGAGCAAAATCCCACAGATTTAGTCCAATGTTCTGATGGAACTGTAATAAGACTACTGGGTTAATCGACTATTTCCATTCAGAGACTAACAAATTCAATTCTAAAAGAATGTTTTAATGTCACAATTTTATTTCTTAATCCTCATTTTAATTTTAATTTATAAATGTGGCAGATGAGCCACTATAGATGAAAAGTGCATGAGATTATGTGTGTGTTTGTATGTATGTGGATGTGGATATATATGCATGTATGTATACATGTACGCACACATAGACACATTTATATCTTCTCTCCACCACCTGCCTATAGCAAAGATATCAGGGACCTGAATTCCTTTCCAAAACTGACACTGTCAACCCAAGACAAAAACATTACTTGAAACAAGCTTTCATGTTTAATCCTTTCTGGTAGTCCCGAAGCATGGTTTACAGCTTGTTCTTTTTTTTTTTTTTTTTTTAGGCAGGGTCTCACTCTGTCACCCAGGCTGGAGTGCAGTGGTGCTATCATGACTCACTGCAGCTTTGAACTCCTGGGCTCAAGCGATCCTCCCACTTCAGCCTCCCAAGTAGCTGGGACTAGAGGCACGCACCACCATCCCTAGCTAGTTGTTTTGTTTGTTTGTTTGTTTGTTTGTTTGTTTGGTAGAGAGGGGATCTTGCCATGTTGCCTCGCCTGGTCTCAAACTCCTGGGCTCAAGCAACCTGCTCACCTCAGCCTCCCAAAGTGCTAGGATTGCTGGCATGAGCCACTGCACCCAGCCTCCAGCTTTTTTTTTTTTTTTTTTTTTATACTTTAAGTTTTAGGGTACATGTGCACAATGTGCAGGTTAGTTACATATGTATACATGTGCCATGCTGGTGCGCTGCACCCACTAACTCGTCATCTAGCATTAGGTATACCTCCCAATGCTATCCCTCCCCCCTCCTCCCACCCCACAACAGTCCCCAGAGTGTGATGTTCCCCTTCCTGTGTCCATGTGATCTCATTGTTCAATTCCCACCTATGAGTGAGAATATGCGGTGTTTGGTTTTTTGTTCTTGCGATAGTTTACTGAGAATGATAGTGACAGATATTTAGTTTGAACTCTTTGAAAACTTAGCCCAGAAATTGCCTGTAGTGAGAACATGAATCCATTTGCAGGCACTTCTTGTGGTCTGAACAGCAAAGGCAGGCTCCCAAAACCTGTCTGGTTACTTGCATCCCACAGGGAGTTTGGGGACACTGAGAAGAGTGCCATGTTTTCCTCAGAGCACTCAGAGGTGGCCGTGAGAACAACGAGGCCTGGTGACTTAAATGTGGATGCCTTGGTCCTCTTTATCTTAGGACCGGGCACTTCCACAGTGGATGCCTACTGGAGAGGGGCTGAGCACTTTAATGGCTTAGGAATCAAGCCCATGTTGGCCGGAGGCTAGAGGTTAACGGTGCAGGCTGCAGGGAAATTGTTCAGGCAACCCTGGGTTGGGAGGGAGACAGAGCTCTTGGCTTTGTATCTCTTTTTTTAGTCTGCCAATATGTGCTGATTATGGAATAACACTTGAAGGCAGTCCTAAACCTTGAGTATATTCTAGTAGAAGGCAAGGAGTCAGACCTAAATGGGTTTCACGCTTCCCAGCAGGGCTGATTCTCCAAGGCACCCTCTCATGTTTTCTGTGTCTTCCCGCAAGGTTGTTTCCATCTGTTTAAGAGAAATTGCACTGGGCACTTGTTTAAAACGGTAAGACAGATTTTACTGGAGTTCTGCAGTGGAGGAGGGAGCCTTCAGCGCAGGACTAAGCTCAGCTCTGAATACAGCAAGGGTAGATGGAGGTTTACGGCCGAAAGGCAGAGTGAGGAACTCAGCTGATGGAAAATTAAAAAGAGGAGCTTAGTATCTAAGGTGGGGGAAGGTGAACATGATTAGCCATCAAGGGTCGGGGGCATTCCCCCTAAACTGGCTTAGCAGGATTCTCTCCAATCGTGGGCTCAGAGGGATTCTCACTAATCCTAAAACTGGGCTTAAAACAGGCCAAGGGTGAGGCCTAGTCAAGAAGAGGGCCCAGAGGACCCTGGCTGAGGTTTGGTCAAGGAGGGAGTCCAGTTGCACCTTTTCTACAAAAGGAGGGCTAAGCAGCCACCTGTGCCCTCTGGGCTCTCCATGGCCGGCCTTTCTGCCTCGGGAAAGAACAGGGAGTTTAGCTCAGGACTAGAGCCCGTGTTTCCATGCTCATCAGAAGGGTCTGGGACCAGGATGAAGTCTTTCTTAGCCCTCTCAGTGGCTTTGGGAAACCCAGAGAACAGAGTTTTAGGTCAAACTCTGGGTTTGGAGACCAGAAACCCACTATTGTAGACAAAGGGAAACTGTTGTAAGGAAACCAGTGAACTTCATGGGAAGATGAGGCACTGGGGTGTAGAAAGACAGGAACCAAGGTTGCTACTTGGGCCCTGGCAGCAAGAGCGTGCGGACCCTTACCTGGAACTGCTGGGTCAGGCGCCATGCTGACCCGACCATCAGTCAGGAGGCAAGGTCAGATATTAGATGTACAACTTCCAGAGGCCCAATCCTGGGGGTGATGAGCTAGTGGGGCAATGTTCTAGAAGGAATCCGTGGGCCAGGCATGTATCTCAAAAGGCATAAGTAGGCCCGTAGAATCTCCAGCTTGGGAGGGGCCACAGAGGTCCTTCTGTCTAGCTTCTCTGAGATGTCTGATGTTTTAAACCCCTCTTCATCATCCCCATGCAGGAATGGGGAAGACCCTGTGGAGTGGGCTGGCCACATAGTAAACTCCAGGGACAGGGGACTCACTCTGTTTTAAGGCAGCCCATGGTGTGCTCACACAGCAGGGATTTTTAGAAAGCTTTTCAATGGCATTAAGCCAAAATAAATCAGCCTTCTCACCTATTTTTAATCTGTATTTATTAGGTAGGCAAAGAGGAACAATGAAGTATTTTGAAGTTGCTGGAATACACTATCTGATCCAAGTGCTAGGAAGACAACTCTGTTGTGATATTCCAGGTGGCGGGTAATGTGGGTTTAGGTGGAGCAGTGGCTATGGTGGCTAGAACTTCTGGAGCCCTAGAAATTAGTCAAATTATTTACATGCTGTTGGGATAAGGGAAAAGTTAAAGATGTTCCTGGATAGATAGTGCTGTCATTCATAAGGTAGGGAACTCAGGATCCAGGAGGCTTATGGGGTTAGCGGGGTGCTGGTGGGAGGATCCTGAGTTTGTGGTGTTTGGAAACTCTACGTGTGAGAGGTCAATGTGACCTCATCTGCTCCAGATGCTCGCGAAGCAGCTGGCAGTGTGGCATAGAGATCAAGAGACAGGTCAGGGTTGTAAATCTTGATATCATCATGGTGTACACGAGGGTGGTATGAGAAACCATGAGAATGGCTGAGATTACAGCGGGAGAGAAGATATGAGTTGGGAAGAGGATGGAGCTGCAAAACCAGGAGGAGCCACATGTGTGGGGTGGGAAGAGGAGCACTGTCCTGAAAACCACAGAGCAGACATCAGGGTTTTGTATTTTTTTTTTGAGATGGAGTCTCGCTCTGTCGCCCAGGCTGGAGTGCAGTGGCGCGATCTGGGCTTACTGCAAGCTCTGCCTCCCGGGTTCATGCCATTGTCCTGCCTCAGTCTCCCGAGTAGCTGGGACTACAGGCGCCCGCCACCACGCCCGGCTAATTTTTTGTATTTTTAGTAGAGACGGGGTTTCACCATGTTAGCCAGGATGGTCTCGATCTCCCGACCTCGTGATCTGCCCACCTTGGCCTCCCAAAGTGCTGGGATTACAAGCGTGAGCCACCGCACCCAGCCTTGTCTTTTAAATTGAAGTACGTAGTGCCAGCGTTGACCTTGCCATCAATTAGCGATTCATCTTTGGAATGGTCCTTCCACTTCCTCATTTCTTGGTTTGCTCTTAAACAAGGGTGCTTTTGGATGCTGTGATCTTTATGAAGCTGCTCTAAACTTCAGTGATGCGGGTGGTAGCCTCCAGCAGCAGCTCCATCAGTGGGGTATTTGTTCCAAACAGGGTGCATAGAGCCCAAGCAGGAAATCAGAATTGAATGTCATCTCTGAATTTTCATTTCTGCATCCTTCATTTTCACAATGAAGCTATTCACCTCCTCAGTCACTGGAAATTCCAAGACTGGGAAGGGTGGGGAGTGGATTTCTTATAGTTAAATTGTCCTCCTGGCAGGGCCTTTGAAATCTGTTGGCCTGTGTAAAAGATTAGTTTACTATGATTAATAGGATCTGAACACGAAAGGAGAAAACAAATGTAGGAAGGGTGACTATTCTGTCCAAACTCACATCTGCTTTTAAAATCAGAGAGAGGTAAAAAGTCCCTTTCAGATCCCCATTCTGCATGTTACAAAAAGATTTTGTAACATTTCCCCATCACTGTGCTACCTGTCTGCCGATGAGACTGCTTGGTCTATGGATTGAGGGCGATTGGAAGTCAGGTGTCTAGTTCAGCCATTTCTGGGGAAATCATTTAGGGGAAATGTAAATAGAGAGGGAAATGATGAAGGTCACTTGGAACTTTTAATGACTGATTCACTTGGTTTAGGGAAAAAGGAGCGGGCGGATGGCGGGGGGCGTGGAATTTTCTCCCTTCTGATCGATTTAACCTGACCTTTACAACCTTCAGTTTTTAAACTTTGATTGATGAGTGGGATAAAGTAATTATATTTCACTTAAAACTTGAGGATGATTGTTCTTTTATTCCAGATTTTACAAAAGCAGTGATTTGCTTCCTTCATAACAACAGTTTCTATTTCATTAGTACTGAATTAAACCATTAGTTGCCCCAATAAACCCTATACCCTTCGTCATGATTCAAGGAAGGGTTGTTCTAGGATCCCTTAAAAACATCCCAGAACCTGGTGCGAGTTACATTTATTTTCTCTTCCAGAAGAAGCCACTTGTAAATGCAGCTTCTCTGTTAACAAGGTATAGAAGGGACACCACATTTATCTGTTTACTTTCCCTGAAACACCTGGTTTTTAGGAAGGCTCTAATTTTTGGAATTTCAGTGTGTGGATTATCTTTTGTTACAGAAACCGTTTCATTGTACCTCACTCCATCTGCCTCCTTCCCATAGATTTCTCCCTGCCCATGGGAGAAGCCATGTATTCAACAATTTATAAGAGTATCTCCAATCAATGCAACTTCTCCAATCAAAAATCACATCAGTCCCCAGAGGACAAAATATAAGCTCCTTGGCATAGCATTTAGTGCCTTTCCCCCTCAGAGTCTGATTTATCCTTCTGGGTTTTTCTCCAGGTCCATGGCCTCGCAAGTGCTCTGCACCCAGCCCTTGCCTATCTCTCTCCTTGTCCAGAGACTCTTCTGTCTGAAAACCCTTCTATATGTTTCTGTTGATAAAACTCTTTCTTTTGACTGAAGCTTGATTCAACCTGCCCCACCCCACCCCAGGTCTCTCCAGGGCATTTTGTTGATTGCACAACCACAACCACAATCCTTTCACGTGACCTTGCTGACTTATCCTTTTTCCCTCCAGGACCGTGGGCTCTGAGTGTAGGGAACTTATTTTCTCATCTCTATGTTTCCAAGCTCAGGGATCAGCAGGGAGAAGTGGTTCAATAGACTGAATGGCATCATTTGTATGAAGAAGCTATTGGAGCCATTTCTCCTTCAGAGGCTCTCACTTTATCCTCCCAGGCAAACCTGCGGAGCAGGGTGGGAATCAGCGTGTGAGTGGCTGAGAACCCCATGGGGAAAACATCTGCCTTTCTGCTCTTCAAGAGCTTTGAGCAACAGGCTTCTGACCTGCTCCTCAGCTTCCCTTGTTGAGAGGGACAGAGGCTCCCCCAGAAGTGGCTTGGATGGGGTCTGCTTGGTGTTTACTTCAGCTAGCATTCACCCTGCCGTGCACAGCGGTGGTGGAAAAAGGCAGCATTGCTTTTCTGATCACTGGAGAATAAAACGCATTTACTCCTGCTTCCTGTGGAGGCCATAAGAGGATGCATTTGAGTCTGTTGTGCCTGCTTGGGTAGGATGTTATTAGAGAGAAAATAGACCATCCGGCCCTTGCCACTGTGTGACACCTGTGTGTCCTCTTATGAAGAGCCGCTGTGCTTCTGTGCCATCTTCTACTCTGCTTCATGGCTCCCTGGGCCTTGACCCCCAATTTTGCTGCAATCACCCACAAATAGTGCAATAAGCAACTGTTTCCCCCTCCATGAGTTTCTGCTCTAATTTGGCCTTTGCCTATCACCTGGTAACATAATCTAATTTAAAAAGTAATTGGTAAAACACTGTACTACGAAAGGAGCTCAACTGCAGATTTCGCAGTCTATATAGCTTTGTGTCAGACAGAAATGCATCAGCCAGATTTTACAGCTTCCTCTCAAAAGCATGAATGCTCAGTTACTGCCTCTTGTGTACCAAGGCAGTTGGCAACAAGACTTCATCCAGATGTGAGGAAATCAGACATCGGGGTGGACATGTGGGGGACAGTCCAGGAGGCCCCGTGTCTCATTCTCAGAAGAGTGGAATGAGGAGACCTACCCATGATTTCAATGAATTCCCCCTCTGAGGTGTTTGAGCCCTTCTACCTCGCCATGGGTGTCATGGTGGGCACCTTTGGGCATCGGTATCCTGATCTGAATAAAGGAGCCAGGTCTGAGAGACAGGCGTCTGGCACTGGTTTTTGGTTTTGCTTAGAAGGAGCACCTCCTGGGGAGATATCGTTAAGAGGCCTGAGTATCATGGCTGAGCAGCAACCGCACATCATGCGCCATGGAGACGAGATTTTCCTGCAACCACAGAGCAAGATAAATAGCTTTGAGTTGGCAGCAGTTGTCAACTGGAGGGGTGCATCTGAATCACCGATCAAGCCTACCACAGAAATAGGTCTCCAGGCCTCACCCAGGCCTGTAGCATCAGAGCCTATGGGTGTGCAAGAAGTTGTCATGAGCATCCCTGTGAAAACCACCACTCACGGTCTTTTGGAGTTTGCTGGGTTTTTAAGAAAGAAAGGTGTAATATTTGCTCATCCAAGTGATTGTCATTCCCGCATGTCTAAGAGTTACTCAGCGTAAAGTTATTCCATAAAAGGCTGTTTTAATGGCCTCCTCTTCACCCTGGTGGTGAGGGAAGGATTGCTGCTCTAGCGTGATGGAAATGCCCACACATGATACCCAGCACTGGACAGTTGAGGTCAACAGCTGTTTATTAGCCACATACGCTCATGGCTCCAGGGAGGAGGGCTCCGTGAGGACTGCACTGAGGAACCGTGTGAACACATTGGGTCTGTGGGAGGCAGGCTTTGTAGTAAAAAGAGGGCGGGGTGACTTTGGTTTCCTGTGATCCCATGATAAGGAGGGCTGTTTGGCTGGGGGAGCTTATCTGAGGGAGCAGCATGGGAGAGGAAATATGATAGGCCATCCAAGGCCCTCATCATTTTCCCCAGATGTCAAGGCACAGGTCATACTGGACCTCGATGTTAGGCCTTTCACCAGGAGGGCCTGGCAGGGGGAGAGAGAAGATGTAGAGGAGTGGGCAGAATGAGACCAGCTGGGACCCAGGGATCAGCACAGCTGCTGATCCAGATGTGCTAGAAGGTGTGACAGAAAGTTGAGACTTGGCTCCTAGGGGCATGGTGAGAGGCAAGTGTGGACACCAACCAGGCAAGAGGCAGTGTCAGGGGTGCAGCAAGAGGACACAGAGTCCTCAGAGGAGGCACATTTTGGTGACTGGGAATGTAGGGTGGGGATACAGTGGAAAGAGATGGTGCCCAGGTCCCACACACATCCCTGGCTCATGACCAGCCCCATCCAGAGCTCCTGAGGTCCCAGGATCGGGCAGAGGAATCAGATCCAAGTCATGAATTCACTTCCCAGAGCAATGCAGAAATCTGAGTTCTAGACTGGGCCTAGGGAGGCAGGGGGGCCCAGTGAACCCCGACCTAGAGCCCGCCATCGCTCTGAACTCAGGAATGCTGTTCCATGTCAGCAACGACACCGCTGTTGTCAGCCACGCTGGAAACCTGGAGTCTTTCTGCCTTCCCTCACTCCAATGTCCAACCATGAGTAAGTCCTTCTGATTTGCTTCCTCACCATCTTTGGGGCCCAGCCTCTTCTCTCTAGCCACTGACATGCTGGCCTGGACTCCTGCAATAGCCCAACTGTACCTTCCTCATTCTCATCTCCATCTACAGCCAGAATGACCTGCTCGGACCACACCACCCCTGCTTAAGACCCTTCCATGCCTTCCAGTTGTTCTTGGAATAAGGACCATTTTTATTGTGGTGCAAAAGGCCCCGAGGCCCTGGGTCCTGCACCCTGCACTCCATCTCCTTCCCACTCTGTCCCACCCTCTGCCACCATGTGCCTACTGCTTTGGGATCCCTGCCCATGCCTGTGGATTCCATCCTGCCAAGTGGCCATGACCCTCACCGACCTGACCTGTAGCCCCTTACCTGCATGTCCTCTGGAAGCCAGCCCGATGTCATGACCAATCGGTGGTGTCCACCTTTCTCTCCCCTGCTGTGCCTGTTGCAGTCATGCTTTCAGGTTGATTTGGATTTGATGAATACTTGCTCCTCCATCCAAACCACAAGCTCCGCAAGAGCAGGGGCCTGTCTGATTTTGCTTGCCAGTCTCAGTGCTGTGCCTAAGCACTCAATAACCCCCTGGTGGGGGAATGGGCTGGCTGGTGGGAGGTAGGAGCTAAGTCTAGGATGAAGTCTGGGTGGGGCATGGAGACAGGGAATCAGGCCCATCTCCAAGGCAGAAGGCAGACATCAATAGGACTTTGAGACGACACAGAGTGCATGTCCCCTTGTGTCTGCTTTCTACTCACCACGCTGAATCAATCTGCCCTCCTCCTGGCATCAGCCTCCTCTTCTTCCTCTGACTCCATCAGTCTGTCTCCTCCTGGTGTTGCCTGGCCCCAGAACAAGAACGCTAACCTCTGCAGAAGTCCAAGTTGGGCTTATGCATTATTTTTGGTGTGACTTTCGGCTCCTTTAAAGAAAGAAGTTTATTTGTTTCGACTTCCTTATTAATTGTTAGTTGTATATCAAGAGCGCCCCCCAAGAGAAAAATAATACTTACAAATAATCACTGGAAGTCACACACTCCTTCCAAGGGCTGTATGTTATCAGGAAAACACTGCACAGAGAGGGCATGTTCCCAAACTCTTGTGGTCCCCGCTGTGCAGAATGCTGCTTGTTTTGGTGAAATATTGTTAATAAGGCATGGAGAGAATAGACTTGGTTATGAGCTAAAGTGTTATTTTTATTTTTTTTAGTGGCTTTTGCTCAGTTGGCTATCTAAGGAAAGGATTTCTAAAAAAGAAAAAAGCATATAAACAAATGCAACATAAATTGAAAGTGACACAAGGAATTAAATGTATTTTTGAAGCTTATTGTGTTATTTAATATAATGGTCATGTTAATATCCAGCTTCCCAGCAGAAAAGGAATATTTATCTGGAAGCTGAAGTGTGGCAGAGCTGGAGGAGACAAGGACAGGTGGAGTGAAGCAACTGCCAAACAAAACACAATTATTTGTCCTCTCATTACACACCTATGACTTTTCACGGCTTATTTTATATCTTGGTAAAAATGTCAGTGTTGGCCATGAGACCATTATCATACAGCATCTTTTTTTTGGAACGAATTACCTCCTAACCTGCTTGCCTCTCTCTTCTTTTTCAACAGTGAGTCTCTCTCTTTCTCTCTGTGTGTGGTACGCTGATAACTTGCCCTTAACTCCCCTTGGTGAAATGCGGTAGGCAGGAAGGCCCACGCCTGGCTGAGACACAGCTTGTAACACGTGTGAGGGGTCATTGTTATCAAAAACAGAAAATTAGGGCCGATGATCTCTTTCCAGCTTCCAAGGGGGTACAAGGATGTCACGTGTCCTGCTGCAAATTGTATTTCTGTGTTTGAGCAGAAGACAGGTAAGGTCTGGCTTCTTGTTCAAAGGTGTCATTGTTCTTGAAAGAGCCCTGGCTTCATGTCACATGCCTACCTTGGGTACATGAGGAGACCTTATGATTATAAAACCTCCCGGAACCTTCTCCCTTTAGGCTGGTATTTGACAATGCCACCGCTTGACCTCTGCGCTGAGGGGAGAGCTCCTGAATAATATTGTGAGAGATTCAGTTGTGAAGTGTCTGTCTCTCAAACTACCTTGACCATTTGGAGTGAGTACAGATCACAGAGGGCTAGGTTTCCCTAAAGCAGTTTATATTTTTAAATGGAAATCTTTCTGAAGAGAAAATCTTATGGGAGGCCAGGTTATATAACAGATTAAAGTGGAGGAGCTCTGGCTGAAGGAGGACGGTGAGCACCCCTGCCAGGTGGACCCACTCCCCTGAGCAGTTAGAGACATCCCATAGTGTGTCAAACATGATTTGAAAACTACTGTCCGCAGGTCTGGGAGGGGAGTGCAGACCATATGAGTGACACTGATTGCTTTCTCATTGAATATTGAGATTGCATCTCGTTAATCTGGAGCTCCATGGAAGGAGCAGGTTATCACTGTGGTGGTCCTTTTTAACCCAGAGACGGGCCCTGCTTCTTTATTGATCTGCACTCCAGTTCCTAAATCCTGAGCCCACTCTATTTTATGGCTCTCACGAATGTGATTATCTTGGTGCCCTTAAGCCACAGCTGATATTTTGGGCTCTTCGAGGGTGGAATGGTTCCTGGCCCCTCTTCTCCCCGCACCCCCCATGCCTTGAATGGAGAAGAGGTGGTAGATGTGTGCTCTGGGTTTTAACTGGAAGATGGGAAGAAGCAATAATCTGTAATAGGACCGTGCTTTAGAATTTTCTTCCTTTTCCGGTATTAAATAGCTTTACTTTAATGACCCTCAGCTTCTAGTTTCTTTTAGAACCTTCATACCAGTGCTGGCAGGAGTCCAGCTACCAAATCATCTCTGAATGTGGCGTTCACTAATGCCTTGTGTGTGCTTAAGCTTGATTTGTTCTTTTTATGAGACTTGGGAAACAATCTGTAAGGGTGATTAAACATTGAGACAGGCAGCCTGAGGCGGTTGGCCAGGCCTTGTTCTTGGACAGCTTTGAAAATGGGCAACACTGGGGGTCAGGGACTTCCCTTCCAGAAAGCCGCACTGTGTGATGAAGTTTGGGAATGTGGATTCTTAGCTTGGGGTGCCCAGAGCACGGATTAAAATTTTGTGTCAAAGGATACTGTTCTTTCCTTAGGAGACAAGATTGAGAGTCAGTGTCTGGGTGAAAATAGGAGGCTTTGGAAAATCCCAGCTCTTCCACGGTTCATGCTGTGACCATGAACAACTTAATTAATTTTTGAGACTCAATTTTACAATTTGTAAGTGAAAAATGATAGTACCTACCTTGCATTGTTTTTATGAGGAGTAGTCGTAATAGATATAAGACACTCATCATAATCTTTTTTATTATTGTGCTCTAAGGATACTTAACATGAGATTTACCCTCTTAGTAGATTTTTTTTAAGTGTACAATACGCTATTGTACACTTGTTGACTCTAGGTGCAATGTTGTATAGTGGATCTCTAGAGCTGACTCATATTGCTGGACTGAAACTTTATGCTCATTGATTATTAAGTCTTCATGTTTCCCTGCCTTCCAGCTCTGGTAACCACTGTTTTTTGACTCTATGAATTCTGCTATTTTAGATACCTCATATCAGTGGAATAATATAGTATTGGTCCTTTTGTGTCTGGCTTTGTTCACTTAGCATAATGTCTTCAAGGTTCATTCATGTTGTAACGGGATTTCCTTCTTTTTATAAACTGAATAGTATTGTTTTGTGCCTATACACCTCATTTTCTTTATCCATTCACCTATTGATGGACACTCAGGTTGATTCTTGGATACTGTGAAGAGTGCTACAGTAAACATGGGAGTGCAGATATTTGTTTGAGAATCTGATTTTAAGCCTTTTGGATATATACCTAGAAGTGGGATTGCTGGATCATGTGGTAGTTTTATTTTTAATTTTTTAAGGAAACTCCACATTGTTTTCCATAGTGGCTGCAACATTCTACATTCCCACCAACAGTGTGCAAAGGTTCCAATTCCTCTGCTTCTTCGCCAAAACTTATCGTTTCTTCTTTTTTGATAACAGCCATTCTGACAGGTGCGAAGTGATACCTCATTGTAGTTTTGATTAGAATTTCCCCAATGAGTAATGACTAATTCTAATCATTAATTTTTAAATTAGCAGCACATGATATCAACCTCTCCACCTGCCAAAAGATACAGATGCTTACAGGTGTGTCCATGTAATTATTTTCTTTTCTGAAGCATTATGTTTCCTGCGTGTTGGGGGAAGCAGAGAGGTTGGGAAGAGGGAAATAGAGTGAGCACTGGGGTGGGTCTCACAGAAGGGAAGGACAACCTGTTGGATGACCTGAGAGCTCACTCTGAGCCTGCCATCCCAGGAAGTCGGACATCTCCCCGCTTGCTAGTAACATGCACAGTTGGTCTCCATGCTCAGCCCGTCCCCACGCCTGGCTTTTTCTTTATTCCTGCAGCCTCATCCTACAGGAGGGGCCACTCTTCTCCCAGCTTGCCACGGAGCCTCCTTCCCCAAATCTTTCTGGGCCAGGAGCCCTGCAATGGCCAGCTTTGTCCTTGGCCTTGGCCATGTTCATCAGGCCATCCCATTGGGTGGATCAGGCCTGTCTCCTGGCCTGTACTTCACAGCGGGCCAGCAGGGGCTGGTGACCTCACAGCTCCTGTGTGCTGCTCCACCTCAGACAGATACTGTGAGATATTCTCCAAGACATCATGTGGCCCTGGGATGTCCTAGGCCTCCCTTTCCACATCATTTCTTGCCCATCAGCAAAATTCCTGCCTCATAGGTCTTTGGGCAGTTGATGGAGGGAGGATGGAAAATGCCTGCAGAACCTGGACATCACCCCCTTCCAGGCAGTTTTATCACATGATTGGCAGGGGTAGGGGCATGTCTGTATGATGGCAGAAGGTGCCATGTAGATCCAGAAGTGCCATTTTGTCAGAGGACCTGGCATAGGCTTGGGTATGAACGGCCATGGGATTCAGGTATCTGTTGCCACAGTGCCAATAAACAAAGCATCTTCCAACTCAGTGGCTTATGGAACAACAAGCATTTCTTTAGCTCTCAGGGCTGCAGGTCGGCAGTTTTGGTGTTCTGCTCTCACTGGGCCCGCTTGTGGGGTCAGTGAGCTGTCAGTTGGGGTGATGGCTCTGCTCACTCAGGCTCATCTAAAAATGTTCACAAGGTGAAGGCTGGGGCCAAGCACAGAAGAGAAAATGCATAAGTTCACATTCAAAGCAAAGTAAATATAATGGCACAACTCCGAATCTAGAGGTGGAAATACAGACCTTACCTCTTGATGGAAAGATCTAAAAGTTCATTGAAAAGAGCAGGGTCCCTGGGGAGGGGCTGTAGAGAATTGGAGCCCCTATTGCCATGCTTCTACAACAAAGCAGTAGTGCATAGTGTCTGGGACCAACTCCACACCCAGCAATTCACTGGGCATTGAAAAGGATTTGTGCTATTTTCACAACCACTACATGAGAATGGTATAAAATGAATATTCCCATTTGGTAGATAATACTGAGATCTGGAAAAGTTCAGATCTCAGTATTATCTACCAAATGGGAATATTTATGGGGTTTCTGAATTGCTCATGCCTAAGATGGAGGTCCTATTTCTCCCTCAAGGACTGCAGTGGGGGCCAATGATCTGGGGTGTATTAAGTACTCAGAGAGGCAGTGCTGGATGCCTGCTAGCTTGGGAGCCTGAGGCCCAGCAACTGCCTGTGTCACCCTCCTTGCTGCAGCCCCAGCACCCAACACAGCATTAGAACCCAATACACAACTAGGGACTGGTTGTGTGGCAACATTAGAGGGTGGGGTGGAAAGGCCTCAAGGTCAGGCAGACCTGGCCTGAAACTTACCGTCACTTATGAACTCTGAGACTTCTGGTTTCTGGGCAACATGGTGTCTCTTCGAGGTCATTCTTGGAAATTTCCTCATCTCTTCCATTATGAGTTTCGCCAGTTTCTTTGTGTTGGGATTCTGGGGCTGCTCTCCAAGGCCACTGTATTCCAGCTCTACTGGGGCATCTGCGGCTACACACGTGAGGACAGTGTCTGGTCCCCTGTGTCAGTGTCTGACGCCTGCCCCATCTGCTCTTAGCACTCCTACCGTGACCTAGTCCTCAGGCTGCAGAGGAAGGTCCACGTTGTGGTTCTTTCGTGACTGTCTCGTTCTTTCTGTGCTGCTGCCTGTGCCTCTGCTTGCTGGGTCTTGGTGTTTATGCTGCCTGTCCTCAATTTCATTTGTTGACTGTTCAAGTCCCTGCCCTGGGTGTTGGTGCTGGTGGTGTTCTGCAATCTCAGAGGCCAGGGAGGTAGAGGGTGGCTAAATCAGAAGGGTGGTTCCCCTCTTACTGAATACTTCCTATGCACCAGGAACTGTGCCGGGCACTGAGCATGCAATGCTGAGCAAGAGATCAAGGGAACTTGCTCTCCTGAAATCTATGTTCTAGTGCTTCAGGAAAGGCAAGCATCAAGTGGACAAACAAGCAAAATTACTGCAACAAAGAGATAAGAGAGCAAAAACCAAGGGCCATTCTGCTTCAGGTGTAGAGGGTTGAATAGGAGTTTGCCATGCAAGCAGCAGGGCAAGGGGCAGCTGTCTCCAGGAGAGGAAGCAGGATCTGCAAACGTTTTGAGGAAGGAACGGGACTGGTGTGTTCAAGGAGCCAAGATAAAACTCACTGTGGCTTGATCCTACCAAGAAATGGCGTGAGTAGTAGGAAAACGAGTTGGAGAGCTAGAAAGGAGGAGGGCTGAGGTAACAGTGGCGAGTTTTCTGTTTGGTGCAGGAGAAGCTGCTAACAGGTACAAAAGGAGGGAGTGACAGGCTTCGTTTTGCTTTGTGAGAAGACTGTTGTGCATGCTGGAACAGATTCTGGTGTTATAAAGCCTAACACCTGGATAATCTGGCCAACCCTATTTAAGAAATGGAAGACAAAATGACAAGTACAAAACTGCTGTGGCCCCTTCTAGAGGTGTGGAAGGGTGTACATGTGAGTGAGTATCCTCTGCTCCACGCGGAATCTCCCTTGACGGTATGAATGAAGGAGGGCAGGAGTGAACGCTGGAAACACATCAGAGGCCTGCAGCAGCTGTCCCAGTTAAGGAGGGTGATTCCCAGGTTGTTGCAAATAGAGCCCCAGGCTTGGCTGGAGCATTGGATGTGGATGGTAAGGGAATGGAGGGTGGAAGATGATGTCACATTTCACTTCATCCTCTTAATAGATCCAAGAGCTGCTGATTATTATTTTTAGTTCAGAAGTAAAGTAACTGACACCTGGAGAGGTTAAATAACCTCTCTAAACCTGGCCTGCCACTGGAGTACCTGCTTGTAAGCCTTTGTCACCATGGTGCTTGTGGGGGCTTCAGAGCCACAGACAGCACTGGGTGATCACTCATGGTAATTGTTGACTTTAGACCAGACACACGGAGCGTCTATCAGACGGACTTGGCTTGAGTGAAGTTTCTGTCCTTTCAAACTTCCTCTTCACTGCCCCCACTCTGCGCTCTTCTCCCCGTTCCCGACCCCACCATCGCCAAGCCCAGGACCCCTCTACACTTCTCAGAGCCCTGCCTGGGCCATCACATCAGCATGGTCACCTCTCCCTCCTCCCTTGCCTATCCCAACCCCCATGAGCTCAACCACAGAGTGACTACACTGGTGCCATGCTGGGCCCTCTTCATCCAGCATCTGCAGGACTCAGCACAGAGTGGGGGTCCAGACAGGATTTGCTGAATGAAGGCCTTCAACATAAAGGCAGAGCAGCGTGTTGGTGAAGTACGAGGGCATCAGGGATTTAAGATATCCAGCTCCATTTTGTTGTTATTAAAGTGGGACAGTTATAGTCCCTGCATCACAGGGACATCAAGAAGATGAAATATGGTCCTGCCGGCACCAGGCCTTGCATGCAGTGCACACACAGGCAGCCGCTATTTTTATTATCTATATTTTAAGAGGAAAGAAATATGAGCAATGTCATATAGTTAATGCAGGATAAAACTCAGAGATATTTGCAAGCTAAAAGAGAAGTTGGTGAATGTAAAAGGGAGGCTTGTCTAGCAGTGAGGTTTACAGATGATCATTGGGGTCTGGAGACCCCACCCTCCCACCACCCTCACTTTTCCTTGCAGCTGACATTCAGCAAATCCTGCTCTGCCTGGCCTGTCCCTGGACAGTGCTTTGCCGGGCTCATGGCTCCTGTCTTCACTGAATACCAAGTATGTGGATTTAGTAATGGAAAGGGATGTCATATCCACCTGGAATACAAAACATTCATGGCCATATTATTTATAAGCCTATTTTCTACAAATGGCTACTCATCCCTTGTGAGCTTCAGGTTTCCTGGTTAGTTTAACTAAAATTTTAAGTATATGGAATTTAAAGCTACTTTGAAAACTTTCCCCCTTTCAAGTCATTGCATAAAGAATAGATCCCTTCAGATGTCTGCATCTGTCAGGCAGCTGGTAGCTCTGTCTCCTGCTCTTGCTTTTAACACCTGTCATTTGTCTCTGCACAGACCTTTCTTGATAATTGAGATGTGCTGTGCATCAGGGAGGAGGCTTATCTGAGGGTGCCGAAGAGATGGTCTCTGGCCAGATGTTTCTCCTTCATTAGAATGTATCCATCAGACATTGCTCATGAGAACTCTTTGCTAGAGAGTGTCTGCCTCTTTCATCCTATTAGCTAGGATAAGCTGGGCTTCTAGTTCTCTCGCCAAAAAGATGGAATTAGCATCTAAGAAGCTGTCGTCATAAAAGTTTTTACCCTTCACAATTAATGCAGGAAGAGGTCAGTGATGGTAAATGAATGCCGTTGAAATCAGCCTTCATCGTTCGTGAGCAGTTAGAGCCCTAAATGCCACATTTGAAGGCTGCTTCTGTCTTCCAATCCTGATGAGGATGTAATTGTCTGGAACACTGGCTTGTGTTTGGAATCCTAATTTGTGCATTGGCAGTGTCACAAGGAGTTCTATTAAGAGCCCCGATTCTTACAGAAGCACCATGCAGAGATCTCTTTAAAGGCCAGGGTGTGCCACGGGGTAGAGCAAGTGTCTACACAGCGGTGGGCACCCATGATAGCAGTGTGTTTGGAAGGGGCAGAGCTGTCCCAGACCAGCCCCTGCCCCTCTGTAGTGGCTGGGATCACCAGTTGCACTCCTGCCAGTGAGGAACATGGAGAGTGAGTGGTGGGCAGGCAAGCCTGGTTTCTGCAGAAGCTGCAGGGACTGGATACAGGACAGGCAGGCAAGTGAGTGGCTGGGGAGACGCCCAGGTCAGGACAGCTTACTGCCAAGTGTTCAGAACTGTCCACTCTGCAAAACCATCCCCAAATTACTTATTGAACTGTTTTCACTGCTGAGAGGCAGAGCCAATAGAACTTGCCTTGCATTGGGGAGCCTGACCTCTAGCAAGATCAGCATGCCTCCCCCTGGGCTCCATTCAACGTTCCCAGTGACCACCAGACCTCAAGCAGAGGGCTGATGGTGAGTCCTGGAATTCTCCACAAATAAAGAAGCTGTGAAACAGCAACAAACACAACATCCAATCACCCAAATCCATCCTATTTTTTTCATCTTTTTATCCATTCGTCTATCCATCCATCCATCCGTCCATAGATCTATCCATCCATCCACCCACCCATTTTTCCTTTCCACCACCTAATGGACTCTTTGAGAAAGGCTTTGACAATATATGAATAAGACATAGGCCTTGGCATTTTAAATTCACTATAGCAAATGGACATTTGGAGATCCCAAGAATGTCAAAGCCAGAAATCTTTAGAGGCTGCCTTGTCTCATTTGTCCAATAAGAAAACTGAGCCACAGAACACAGGAGTGACCCAGCCTGGTAGGGCTGGAATCCAGGCCTCTTCCCTGCCAGGCGAAGGTGTTTTCACGTGTTACATGGAGGGAACTAATTTCATGATAAAGACAAATGTCTACTTTATAGTTTGGGTATAATTCCATGCACTTTTTTTTAAGAGACACTTGCTCTTTCGAGATTAAAAGAACAAGCAAGTTTTCTCATATTCGGAGAAAACTGGCCCAGCATTTTGAGAAATCAACCAGCACTATTCATCTTAACATGAAAACAAGTTCTGCTTTATAGCCGGGCACAGAGGCGCATGCCGATAGTCCCAGCTACACATGAGGTCGAGTTGGGAGGATCGCTGGAACCCACAATTTCAAGACCAACCTGGATAGCATAGCAAGACTCTGCCTAAAAAATACAAGGGAGGAGAATTCTGCTGAGTACCTAGGAGTTGGGTTTTCTTTTTGCTGAGGAGACAAGAGAAAAGAAATTACAGTGCATAGCTTTAACCTATTAACTTACTCCTTTTTACCTTTAACTGCCAGAAGGTAGAAATGAACTAGCAGTGAGTATTCTAACAGCAAATCTCCCTTTCACCCATGCTTCACCTCTTTCTTTTTTTTTTCCTTTTAACCTTGGAGCTGCCAAACTTCTGGAATTTCAGCCATGATTTCCAGGCTGGAGGCAGGAACCCCACAGAGACAATCAAGACGTGTGCTCCTTTGCAAAGTTTCCCTGTAGGCCTCACTCCTGGTAAATTCGATTCCATTACACCCGCATGGACCACAGTGAAGTTTTCCTAATCATTCATGAGACATGTTACAGTGGAACCAGTTCTTAGAAATGAAAATAACCAGTTATACTCATTGTTTAAGAAAAAAGAGGCCAGGTGCAGTGGCTCATGCCTGTAATCCCAGCACTTTGGGAAGCTGAGGTGGGTAGATTACTTGAGATCAGGAGTCTAGACCAGCCTGGCCAACATGGAGAAATCCCATCTTTGTTAAAAATACAAAAAATTAGCCGGGCGTGGTGGCGCATGCCTGTAATCCCAGCTACCTGGGAGGCTGAGGCAGGAGAAGCATTCCAATCCAGGATGCGGAGGTTGCAGCGAGCCAAGATTGCACCACTGCACTCCAGCGTGGGTGACAGAGCGAGACTACGTCTCAAAAAAAAAAAAAAAAAGAAAAGAAAAAGAAAAAGAAAAATCTAAATCACAGCTCCTGTCTGTTCAACCTGGTTTCACTGAGCCCTCTTTGAATTTAGCAACATGGCCTTTGTCATGGCAGCGGAGGCAGCTGCTGAATGAATTGTCCTTGCAGACGGAGAAGAGTTGAGAAGTTTTGACAGCCCCAAAGAAAGTTACACCTTCACTTAAAAATCAAGGTGAATGCTCCTGGTGAAGCAGTTTCAGCATCAACTCTGTTTTTTTATTGCCAGCAGCAGCCATTGCACCAATATAGCTCACTGTATCGATCCCTGTGATTCAGTTTCTGCTCCAGGCACATTTTAGCACTTTTAACACTTCAGCACAATAGTTCAAAGATCAATCATTATTTCTCCTTACTGATCCATTTTAATTGTGATGTCAAAGATGCAGTAATGCTTCCTTAAGTTGGAAGAACATATCTCAAGCCAGGGTAAGGTTTTATTATCACAGTAATAAGCCCTTCACACACGAGGCAAGACAGGTGGCTCTTTGGTTCTTGCACTGACCCCAAGCGTCTGGTACCCCTGAGCTTAATAGAAGTTTCTGTACTCAGCATTCACCAGCCAGGCGACGTCTTTCCCTCACTCCTCATCAGGACAACTGTGGGTTCTGGGAGGCAAATGGTCCCCATAGGACAATACAGATGCAAGTCACAATGAAGGAAGAACCCCTCCCTGTCTGTTCTAGGATGCTTCTGTCCTGAGGGGGTGGACAGAGCAGTGGAGGCAATGGCCAGCCTTCCCTGGGGCCTTCTGTGATACCCACCTTCTGTTCAGAAGAGAGGGGCTTATTTACCAGGAAATCAACGGTGTCTGGAGCCTTCTCACTTTTTTTTTTTTTTTTTTTTGAGATGGAATCTCGCTGTGTTGCCCAGGGTTGAGTGCAGTGGCACGATCTCAGCTCACTGCAACCTCTGCCTCCTGGGTTCAAGCAATTCTCCTGCCTCAGCCTCCCAAGTAGCTGGGATTACAGGCATCTGCCACCATACCCGGCTATTTTATTTTATTTTATTTTTGTATTTTTGGTAGAGATCGGGTTTCACCATGTTGGCGAGGCTGGTTTCTAACTCCTGACCTCAAGTCATCCTGCCACCTCGGCTTCCCAAAGTGCTAGGATTACAGGCGTGAGCCACTGCGCCCAGCCCACCTGCCCACATTTGTGAAGGAATTCTACATTTCGTGGAAGGTCTCCATCCACCGAATTGAAGATTGTAATAAAAATTCCAATGAATGACATAAAGGAATAAAGTTAGATTTCAGCCCCCAAACTAATTTCCATGTTCCCACCTATTCACTTCATTTGGAGGCCTTGATACCTTTAGAAAAATGAAGGAGTCATCCAAACATCATTAGCAAACTCAGCCTGCACTGCCTCTCCTCTTGCTCTGCGCTCAGAGTTTCTCCTGTCAGGATGCACTGGAGCCAACCAGACAGGAGAAGGGGGGCAGGAGTGCACCCTAAAAGAACCCTCGACTCTGGACGGAGTTTCCCAAAGGAAGTTCGGCAGGATACAGTTAAGCAGGATGCTAAACACCTGCTATATTTTATAAAAATGTCCTGTGGTCAAGTCAGCTTGGAAAGTAACACTGTGGTGAGCTGTGTTCTTTACTGAGGGGCCTCCTAGGGGCCTCACTATGCTAATGGACATATTTCTACAAGTTCTGCAATCCTGCTTGGCCTCTGTGTGATGAGTGTCTTGCAGGACAGTTGTCAAGTGGATAATACATGAGGAAGTGCTGCTGAGGCTCAGGGGCTCCCAGCATATTTGTTGAAGGGGGTCCAGCGTGGGCTTGAGGCTGACGGGGGAAATGGCACGTGAGTGTCTGCTTAGGTACAATTGCTCCACTTCCAAGAAGGAAGACTGTGGGGGAGATGCTGGGGTCCCATCAGGCTCTCTCTTCAGCACCCTCAGCTCCCTGCATCAGCATGGACGGGGGCCCCAGACCTGATGCCTCTTACAATTGTGATTTAACAAGAGGTGATTTAACAATAGAGTTTAACATTTTAATAGACTGCCCGCTCTCTGAGGGCAAGGGCCAAATGGTAATCGTCCATCTTTGGCTGCTGGGTTCATTTCCATTTTCTACTAGCTTGCCACGTTCTGTGTAGGCCTTAACCTGCTGCGGGCAACCTTGTGGGGAAGAAATATGGATGCCTGCCCCCCACTGTGGGGGCTAATGGAGTCCTTAGGCAGATTTTCTGCCAGACCTTTCCTTTCCCTGCTCTGTACACTCAGCAAAAATTCAAAAGGTGACACCTATGGGTGCTCTTTCCTGGGACTTTGACCCTGGGATAAGTAACATAAGCAGGAAATAAAACAATCTCAGGTTATTTGACTCAATGCTCTTATCCTGACTGTCTGTCCAGCTATGGAACCATTTCTAACTCTCTACTATTTCATTCCCAGAAGCCTACTTAGTTCCTGCTAAGTTCCAAGTCTGGTTCTTAGCCTTTTTAGCAATTTTGTGAGCTCCCCAAATCCCACTGGCTTAGGTTAGCCAGAGGCAGTTTCTGCTGAGAACTTCAAATGCAAAGTGACACACAAAAAGGGCCATGTTGTACTATCTCGTCATCATCCTCTAATGCCAGCATTCACAAAACCTCAGTAGGAGTCTCTCTCTCTTTTTTTTTTAGATGGAGTCTCATTCTGTTGCCCAGGCTGGATTGCAGTGGCACAATCTCAGCTCACTGCAACCTCCACCTCCTGGGTTCCAGCAATTCTCCTGCCTTGGCCTCCCCATTAGCTGGGACTACAGGCACCTGCCACCATGCCCAGCTAATTTTTGTATTTTTGGTAGAGACAGGGTTTCACCATATTGGCCAGGCTGGTTTCAAAGTCCTGACCTCATGATCTGCCTGCCTCAGCCTCCCAAAGTACTGAGATTACAGGCGTGAGCCACCGCGCTAGGCCCCAGTTGGATTCTGATACCTATTTGCTGAGTTGACCAGCAAAGTTCCTCATCTCTTTGCATTACCAGGGTTGACCCCAAAATGCGATGGTGGAGTCATTCATTCCACAAATATTTATTAAATATTCACTCTGTTCTAGAAGCTAAGGGTTTCTAAGGGCTGGGACTGTAGCCTGGAGCAAAGACCCTGTCATATGAAGCTCTCATTCTTTTTTTTTTTTTTTTTTGAGATGGAGTCTCGCTCTGTCACCCAGGCTGGAATGCAGTGGCGTGATCTCTGCTCACTGCAACCTCTGCCTACTGGGTTCAAGCAATTCTCCTGCCTCAGCCTCCAGAGTAGCTGAGATTACAGGCGCCCACCACCACCCTGACTAAATTTTGTATTTTTAATAGAGATGGGATTTCACCATGTTGGCCAGGCTGGTCTCAAATTCCTAACCTCAAATGATCCACCCACTTTGGCCTCCCAAAGTGCTGGGATTACAGGCATGAGTCACTATGCCCAGCCTCATGAAGCTCTCATTCTACTTGGGGAAAGAGAGAGATCAAGGTAGAAATTGTCAGGTGTTGGTGAGCTCCGCAAAGGAAAATAAAATGATGTGAGAGGGTAGAAAGGAACGGGGTGTACTACCTTATACAGGTAGTTGGAAATGGCCTCTCAGATAAAGTAATGTTGAGAGACCTGAGGAATGGGAGGAAGTGAGATATGCCGAAATTTGGAGAAGACAAAACTCTGAGGCCTGGACATGTATGGAGGGTTTGAGAATAGCTCTGTGCCCAGTCTGGAGCCAATGAACAAGAGGGGTAGTGGGGATGACCTCATGGGGGTGTCCTGTAGCCTTTTAGCTTATACTCATGGTGAAGTCCAAAGCCCAAGAAAGATTTTGAGCAGGGAAAGCCTTGCTCTGACTTGGGTTTTTAAAACACTCCTCTGAAGTCTGCAATGACATGCAGCTGTGAGCTCATCCGACAGTTCTTAGAGCTGCTGGCCAGGCAGGGTCGGGGCCCGAGGTCTTGCCTGTGCCATTGTCTCTAACTTCTACATCTCCCATGGAGGATGATGGCATCGAGCCTTTTGAAATCAGATGTTATTCTTAATATTTCGTGCGAAGCTTTCCAATATTGCTACTTAATTTGTAACAATGAGGAGTCTGCGTGAAAATGTGTGCTTGCACATGTAAATTAAATAATTTTATGTCAAGTAGGTATCTGAAGGGTTGTTGAGGTTTCTTTGCATAATAGAAGTATGTGCGCCTTTCTGACTACAGCATGGTTAATGCTGTCAGAGCCAGGGACTGCAGCTGCATAAAAGGGCATCCTGGCTATGCCTAGTGAAAAATCTCCCTGTCATTCAGGTTTCAGGGGAATGGAGACTGTTAAGTAGTGGGCAGAGTGGGTGAGAGAGGCTAGAGTCATTGGGAAGAGTTTCATAAAGGAGGGGTCCTCAACCTTAGCACTATTGACAGTTGAGGCCAGAAACTTCTTTGTAGTGGCAGGGATCCTGAGCACTGTAGGATGTTAGCTGCACCCTGGCCTCTACCCGTTAGCAGTGGTACCTCCTCCTTCCAGGGATAAAACCCAGAAATGTCTCTAGACATTGGCAATGAAACCCTGGAGGTTGTACCTCACCTCTAGTTGAGAACCAGTGTCATGGAGTACCTGGGCTTGGAACCTGAGGCTTTTTTCTGGGTCACAGGGGAGAGAGAACAGAGTTCACCAGTGGGCAGGGGTGATGAAGATTGGAAAGTTGGGTCTGAGTCTCCTTTCTAAGTCTTACAATATTCTTCATCAGCCGAGCTAGAGAAGGTTGGTGGATGTGGAGTTTCCTTCACTCATTTTAATTCACTCCACAATAAACCTTTGATTGCTACTATGTCCCAGGGACTATGATAGATTCAGGAGTGAAGGGTGGGAGTCGCATAAGAACGAACCAGATATGATCCCTGCAGACAGTTCTCACACTGTGTGGAGCTGCTATGAAAAGGAACACGTTCTGGGTGCTAGGAGAAAATGGGAGGAGGACCCAACCAACCCACGGGAGGGATAGGCCAGGACGATGCTTGCTAACCTGGGAATCTGAAGGTACGGGGTAAGCCAGTTAGGGGGTGGTGTGGGGCAGGGGTGGTAGAAATGGTGGGGAACAGCATGTTCAAAGACCATGAAACAAGAGAGAGTGCAGTGCATTCAATATTGCTGAAATGTAAAATAATCGTCAAGCATGAATAGCTGCATATTGATGAGTTAAAGCAAAGTCAGGGGAATTCTCTTTAAAGTTTCCATATTTATAGTACATTAATCATACAGAGGAATTTTTATTAATATCAAGAATGAGTGGAACGGCCTCAGAAAAAACAATCCATAAGATTGTCAGACTGAAATAACCAAATTGGGGATTCTTATTCATGGCAGATGCCACTAAAAATAAATATACCATATGTCATCATTATCATAATAAACAATCAACATTTATTAATTCTTTCCATGCACAAAGCACAGATGGTGGGAATATATGGGGAAGAATACTTGAAACAAACACAACTCCATCCACTCAGCAAAAATTGATTGAGCACACACTGCATGCCAATCACTTACCAGCCACCAACGATATGAAGAGAAATTCCACATTGTTCCTGACATGAAGGGTCACAAGTTCGAATAAAAAGCAAATAACGACTGTTTTTGCCATTAAGTGTCATACAAATTGATAAGAAAAATATTAAGACCTTGTTGTATCAATGTACAAAGAACAAAAAGGAGATGTAACTAGGAAACACATTGAGAAATATCCAACCTCACTAAAATGTAAATTAATTCACAATTTATAAGTAAAATCTAAGTTTATATGTTGAAACTGAATATTTCCAGTGGTTATGTAAAGTCGTAGAGTCCACTGGGAAAACAGAATTCAACAGAGGCAAAACAACTATATACTTGAAGATGTTCATAGCAGTATTATCTATTCTAAGAAAAATCAAAAGCAACCTAAAAGTTTAATAGCAGGGAAAAGGTTATATAAATTTTGGTAATATGCTTAATAAAATATTACATTCATTTAAAATGGAAGTTATGAAGAGGTTGCAGTAATATAAAACATGCTATAATTCTTATGTCAAATTAAAAAACAGTGACAAACTATGCATATAAAATAAAGACCAGGCAGAAATACACAAAAATCCATAGTTGTTGAGCTAGTTGGAACTATAGATCATCCTCCCTTCCATTTACTGAAATTTATGAAGTTTTTTTATGGCTTCTATAAATTTAAAACCAAACAAAATGAAAACAAATGAATAGCAGTGCACCTTTCTAGCTTTTTTTTTTTTTCTAGCCCCCACTGACCAGTAAAAATGATTCTGGATTTGTTGACATTTTTGTCCTCTCTCCCACCCTCCAAGGAGGGTCTTCTATTTTTTTCTGGCTTCTAAGATGGAAAATAAGATAGTGGAGTAAAGGAGAAGGTGCCAAGAAATAATGTTCAAGAAATACAAATAAAAGTTTCAAATTATTTTGAAATTCCTTTAGCATTAATGAATGACATTCTTTTAAACAAGACTGTGTCCTAAGGATGAATCACATGAGTGACAATTGATAACGTGAATTTTAATATTTTAAAAAATTGATTAAGGCCAAAAACGCCAGAGTAATCAGGACAGTGTGGAATTAGTATAAGGACAGACTTGAGAGCCCAGCCACAGACTTGCAGGTGTAGTCACCCGGTGTGTGGCACAGGGGCCACAGCAATGACGCAGGGGGAAAATGGTCCTGACTCAGTTGGAAATTTGTATAAAAGTTTGCTTGCAGATGGATTACTGACTTAAATGTAAAAGCTAAAACAATAAGGTTTTAGAAGATGGCATGGAAAAATATTTTCATGATTGTGGAATGGGAAAAACATAAGACACCATAAAGGAAAATGTTGCTGACTTGAACTGCTGTAAACTTTAATTAAAATTGAGGACTCTTGCTCATAAAAGACACCATGTAAAAAAATAAAAATGTGAGCCACAGAGTGTCAGAAGATAATTTATATCTATGATATATATTAGATAATAGATTATTGATTAATATAAAACAAAGGATTTGTATCCAACATCCAGAATATATCAGGAATTTCTAAAAATTAAAAAGAAAAAATGACTAGGTGCAGTGGTTCACGCCTGCAATCTTAGCACTTAAGGATGCTAAGGTGGGCGGATCCCAGGAGCTCGAGTCCAGCTTGGGCAACATGGCAAAACCCCGTCTCTACAGAAAAATATAAAGATTAGCTAGGCATGGTGGTGTGCACCTGTAGTTCCAGCTACTTAGAATGCTGAGTTGGGAGGGTCACTTGAGCCTGGGAGGCTGAGGCTGTAGTGAGCCTTGATTGCACCACTGTGCTCCAAACTCGGTGACAGAGCAAGACTGTCTCAAAAACAAAACATAAAAATGAAAAAGAAAAAAACAACCAAGTTTTTAAAAGTGCCAAACACTTGAACAGATTCTTAGTTAAGGAGGATATCTGATGACCAACACATTTATGAAAAGGTTCTCAAGATCATTAATCATGAAGGAAATGCAAATTAAAACTTTGATGAGTTATCACCCACCAGAAGGTAAAATGAAGTAGACGTTGTCAAGAGTTTATAAAGATTTGAAGCAGTTGACATGCTTATGCATTGCTTGAAGGAGTAAGAACTGGCGCAACTACTTGGGAAAACTGTTGAGCGGTCAGTGCTGAAGCTGAACTGATGCTCTATGCCAAGTGATTCAACACCCGTGTATATTCCTGACAGGAATACGTGCCTATGTGTCCTGGAGGGCGTGCATAAGACTATCCATGACAGTTATTCTGAATAGGCATTAATGAGAAACAAGCCAAATGTCCATGGAAAGTGAAATGGATAAATGTATTGTTACAGTGAAAAGGAACAAAGCACTGCCACACACAGCAAGATAGTGTGCACGGTGTTACGTAAAGAAAACCAGCGCAAAGAAGTATAAGGATAATGGATAATGGCCATTGTACTTGCTAAGGATAATGCCTTCCAGCTCCATCCATGTCCCTGCAAAAGACATGATCTCATTTTTTTTATGGCTGCATAGTATTCCATGGTGTATATGTACCACATTTTATTTATCCAGCCTACCGCTCATGGGCATTTAGGTTGATTCCATGTCTTTGCTACTGTGAATAGTGGCTCTATGCTGTATGCTTTTGAAACTGTATGCTTTCCTTTATACACAGTTTGAAACAGGGAAAGTGCAGCTCTGGTTTTGAGTGAAGTCAGAATGATTAATTTGAGGATGGGAACGAGGAGTGGAAGGCACAAGAGAGGCTCATACTTTTTAAAAGTCAGCATGGTGATTCCTCAATATGCTCACTTTGTACAAATTCCAAGCTATCCCTTTGTGATTTGTTTTTTTTTCTATATATGAATCATACTTCAGTAAAAGGAACTGAGGTCATTTGACTTACAGGAGAACAGGCTGGAGTGCTTGCTTACTGTCTTTAAGCAACTACAGGATTTTATTTAAAATAAGGAGGAAGAGGTTTAGCTTATTTCCAGGTAAGTGGGAGATCAAGCAAGTGTAAATTAAAGTAATACAGAGTTTGGCCAGGCAGAAAGAAGGACTTCTTGAGAATAAGGATGCTTCAAATATAACAGTATGTGGGGAGGCGGGAGGCCCCTGTCTTAGAGTGTTCAGTAAGGACACAGTGTCCTACACCAATGGTTGAGTTTCCATGTCAATGTCAGGGGCAAAGCCAGATAAAAACAGCATATCTTTTTGACTCTAAGATGCACATTTTGTCACATTTTAACATCTCTGAAATCGAGATGCATCATGCGGGCCATAGCACTTGACAGTTGATGGTAGTGTCTCTCTTTCTTAGGTCCAAAAAATAATGGTGCATCAATATAAGATTGTAAGATCAAAAGGCACCTTCAATTTGATGAAATATGGTAATAAAATTCCTTCCAGCTTGAAGATTCTCTTCTGAGCCTCATGGTGAGGGAGCCCTATTCCCTTAGGAAGGCATTTTCTATCCCTCCTGAGGGTTTGTTGCACAAGAGGGTCAGAAGGGGCCTCATCCATTATGGGCACTCAATAAATATTAAGCATCAGCCATGGCCCACAGCCAGCTCCCGATAAAAATTGGCATACGTTAACATTTATTGCTCATGGATCTTGTGACTGATGATCTCTCCCTCTCTCTTTCTCTCCGACTGTATAATCTATTCTCATAATGGCAAACACAAGGTAGGACAGAGGTAGAGCTCATGGGAGATGCTTTTTTTACTGTAGAGATAAACTGTGGGATGAGGTAGCAGATCAGCCTGGCAAATCTGATCTGAGAGAGGAGACCAGGACACAGACAAGGACATGGGCTTTCGTTTCAGAGCTCCTTGCCCTAGCAAAGACCTTGGAAGTTATTCCAGCAAATGAGACACAGTGGTGGAGAATGCTGCTCTTGCAGAGAATGAATTGAGGGGCACCTTGTGTCTGTGTGTGTCCACACCCAAAGACTGAACATTCACCTGTGATATGTACACCTGCTAAGAGGATTGAATCTGTGTGAGAGAAGCTGAGGATCCCAAGCCATAATGGCTCAACCTAGTGGTTTGGAAGAATCCAAGCCAGTCATTATGAGCGGGAAGGCACAGTATCCCTGAGCAGGTATTTAGGTCAGTGGTGTCATCTTGCTGTGGGACACATGACAGGCTGTGGTGTTCATTCTTGCCAAAACTGCAAGCAGAACTTTCTTTTCATTGGCCTCCTGGGGAGAAAACTGGAGATCAAGCTCTGCTCTTATCCTGCTCTGGTTGGAGACCAAATTGGACCAAACTCCTAAAATGTTTTCTCTGTTGGGGTGGGATGTGAGTGGGTACAGTAGTTTGGGAAAGCTAAAGAAAAAGCAAAGAAAATTCACCCCGCCACACAGAGAAATGTGTATATTTAATTATTCCCAATGTGTTTTTGCTCTGCTTCTCTTTGTGTTATGAGAAACAGGAAGAATTTTGTCTAGGTAGGAATTAAGTCAGTTTCATTTCCTGACTGCAAATGATGTCCGAGAGATTTGGCAGAAACACAGTCCAGGAATTTTTGTCTCCCGTTGTCTTTCAACTTAGATAACATAGCCCTGGTTAGAAGGGGAGGTGTGGGAAGCAGGAAGGCAGGTCACATATCAATGTTGCGGACCTACTTTGCTGGGGCACTGAAGGTCATGGGATCCCAGAGGGAAGACTTACTGTTATTTTTCTTCCTGCCTGAGATTCAGTTAGGAGGAGACAAGCAAAGAGCAAAGATTAAAAGATTGTGCTCTTCAAGTGGCATGAATTGCCACAAGCTTGGCTTTAATGGTGAATGGCCATTAATTAAGGAGATGGATTGTATAGACCAGAAAGATGAAGCTCAAATAGCCAAAAGCCCTGCCTCTGACCTCCAGAGTTAAGTTAGTAGACAAAGAGCCACCATGTTGCTGACCAAGCTGCTCATGTCTCATGGCTTTCCTCTGTGCCCGTGTCAGCATCTATTAGGCGTCTCTGACTCTCGAAATCTTCCCCAGGCCCAGCTCACATTCCACCTCCTGCTGAAACAAACAAGTGTCAACTGGAGCTATTTGGTAGCAATGCTCTCTGGAAGATTCAATGGGGTAGGGAGAATCATATTTTGAATAATTAATTGCCGTACTTCTCTCTTACCTTCTACCTTTATGCTCATCAAATCCTCCGGTGAGCCCTGAAAACCTTTCTCCTAGGACAGCTAGACATGACTCACCCATTGCTTGTCGGAAGAGGGCCACTGCAGAGAGGGAAGCATAGATGGTAGTACACTCTTGATTATTATGTTCAATAAATACGAGGCAGATGGATGTGGAGGCACATTTGCAGAACCAGTTTATTCCACACCTAGAACAGATAAAAGACTCACACTCTCGGAATTAAGAGATCCTACTCCAACAAGAAGTGCTGGGGTCTTGGGTGGTGGGGGGCCTGTGTATCTCTGGTCAATGGTCCAGCAGAAATGATGCGCATTTGTGCCTCAAGGCAGTTCTCAGCTCCACTTCTAGCCATTGCAGGGGACACGCACATGGTTAATAGTACAAGCCACTCACAAATCCCCTAGACCTTGGACACCAGTGAAGGTGATGGTGGCCTGATGGGAAGGCTCCAGTAAGTGGCCAAATTGGAAATAGATGGAAACTGTTTGGGGAGCCCATGAAGCTACTACAGTGAGGGATCATAGGATATATACACAGCCTGATCTTGAGCCCGTTTGGACTTTTCTGTGTCTCTCTACTCCCATAATGCCTTTCCCCATCTCTTATGGTGAGTATGACCATGATCTGAGCATAGGTGTTATCCCTCCTAGTCAGGTAGAGATGGCATCTCTTACTCATTTTTGGTCCCTACAATGCCTTACACGTCGTAACTACTGAAAAAAAGATGTTTGCTGAATAACTGAAAGAAAGCTTAGGGGGGTAAAACATAACCATTTGATTAGAGAATAAAATATAAGAAAATTAAAAGTATGAGTTGAATGTGATCATTGTGTTAAGATTTTGTATTTTTATAGCCTTGCTTCAAAGGCATCTTTTTTTCATAGATAATGGCTACTGAAGTCATATTATGAAATATTACTAACAAGTAAAATAACTTGGTGTAAGATACCTATTCAGTGTTCTCTATATCCCATTCAACAGAAGAGATGTCCTTTGCTGGTTTTGGGTATCCAAGACCTCACATCTGGGATAACTTGGGGTAGGTCTTTGTAGAAGTGGCCTCCAATGAATTATGCATCTCTGTAGCCACACCCTTGGGTAGTTCCTCCCCGCTGACCCTGGACTGGGTCATGTGACTTGCTTTAGGCAAAAGGATCTTAACAAATAGGATGCAGGCAGAGGCTTGACAGGTTTGGTGAGGTAGGGCGCATCCTCTCTAATTTCTGGAAACCTTTGAGCCTCCATCTGAATAACCTCAGCCCAGCCTCCGTGGAGGATGAGAAAACACTAAGAGAGCTCCAGCATCCCAGCCGAGGACCCAGGCATGGAAGCAAGGCCACCTGGAACCATCTAGCCTCAGTCAAGCCAGCCAGAACAGAAGCAGCAGCCAGCTAACGTACAAAATGATGAGAAATAATAAACATATGTCATTTCAGCACAGAGTCTTGAAGAACTTTGTTATGCTGTAAGTCCTAGTTGATATACAACTGAACCCAATAGCGGCATAGAGAAAAGAGTATTTCTACTGCTATATTTCACAGATAATCTCCCATGTTATCCAAATATGTAAATTTATTGAACAGAAGCTAATACTCTGTGTCATGCCTTCTCAAGGGATGATGTCCTTTGGAGTCATCGAGCAACGCCCCTCTCTATTCACTGCTGTTCTTCGAGTTTGATGAACCTTCCCTAGCGTTGAAAGGCTGAGCTAAGCATAGCAGAAATAAATGGAGGAGGATTTCCCCTGGACTGGGAACCACCTTAAGCATGGTAGAACTGGTCTCCTCAACTAGATCCCCAGTGGCCCACATCCACCCCCACATGGCACCTCAATCCACAGGCAGGGGAAGGGCAGAGATCATCTGAATTTGTGTAGCTTCAGGATTGAGCAGAAGGTGATACATGTTGCCATAGGCTTTTTTTAATGCTTTTCTCTAACCCTGAATCCACTGAAGGCTGTTCTTGACCTTGGAATAGTCTGTAGAGTATTTATCACATTTTTATTCCCTTTGAATGTTTTTATTCCCTTAATGGTGACTAGACATTGTGATTCCTTTCTAACCCCGATGACCTTGAGTGAGTCATTTGATTTCTGTGGTTTTCTCTGTAAAGTGAGGATAAGACTTTACTTCCTTGGGAAAGTGGGCAGGGGGAGTCCTAGGGGCTCAGTGCAATGACCTTTAAGGTTTCACTCTGTCCCTGAAAGACCTCAGATTGTTCTCACCCTTGAACCACCTTGAAAATCACATTAACTTTTCCTGATATCCTGTTGCTGTTTTGGGGACCCACTACGCAAGGAGATGAGAAGTGTGATGAGGACATGTAACCCACCCATATTATCCATGAGGAATGTAACAGGCCTTTAAGGAAGGGGAGTGGCATCAGATTCATGGAGCCTCAGTTTTCTGGACTCCTTTGGAAGAGGACTGGGTGGCTATCCCCATTTCCTAAGCATGGGGTGAGGGTCAGGTCATCACAACCAGCCACTTCTTCCAGATTATCGCAGTTTCTGTTCAGATGTGAAACATTGAAAGCCTTGGCTCATGCATAAGCCAGAGGCTCAAATCCAGAGGGAAGGGTTTCCCTCGCCCTTCAGTCTTTACCTGAAGGTCACGTGCTTGTGAATTTGATTTATTCTAATTGAGAAGTTACTGGTTGCATCTTTAAAACAAGACCTAGCAAGCACTTGTTTGTCTGCAGTGATTGAAGAGGGATAAAGGCTCTGGGGAGGACTTGGCTTTTCAGTTTCTTCATATAGTTTTTCAGATTTGAATTGGTAATTGCACAGTTTTGCATCAGTGGATTAAAATAGTCATCTGAGGCCGGGCATGGTGGCTCATGCCTGTAATCCCAGCACTTTGGGAGGCCCAGGTGGGAGGATTGCTTGAGGCCAGGAGTTTGAGACAAGCCTGGGCAATATAGTCAGACCTTGTCTCTACAGAAAAAGAAAGAAACAAAAAGACTAGCTGGGTATGGTGGCACATGTCTGTAGTCCCAACTGCTCAGGAGACTGAGGTGGGG